>NC_000008.11:139943312-140245390 GCF_000001405.40 Homo sapiens | reverse complement strand
CTAAACTGTAGTTTCATTGCTGCATGCTTACGTGGTAAAATGGCAAAGAGAAGCAAGGCAGTGACTAGCACAAAGTCTGGGTGGTGGGCCCTGTGGGCGAGGGAGGACGTCAGCATTGGGATGGGCAAATCGAGGGCTTCTAGGGGGCTGGTAAAATTCTGCTTCTGGACCTGTGTCGTGTTTTCTAGGGTGTTTGCTTCATAATAATTCATTAAGTGATACCTTTATTTTTGGTGGTTTTGTCAATCAGTGTTGTATTTCACAATAAAGTGTTTTTTAAAAGAAGAGGCCAGGCGCGGTGGCTCGTGCCTGTAATCCCAGCACTTTGGGAGGCTGAGGCGGGTGAATCATGGGGTCAGGAGATCGAGACCATCCTGGCCAACATGGTGAAACCCCGTCTCTACTAAAAATACAAAAATTAGCTTGGTGTGGTGGCGTGCACCTTAATCCCAGGTACTCGGGAGGCTGAGGCAGGATAATCGCTTGAACCCAGAAAGCAGAGATTGCAGTGAGCCGAGATTGCGCCACTGCACTCCAGCCTGGTGTCAGAGCGAAACTCTGTCTCAAAAAAAAAAAAAAAAAAAAAAAAAGGAATTGGAAACACCTTAGTAATAATACTTCTGCGTAACAGACAGCTTTGTCATCTGATGAGATTGAAAAATTATTTTATCCAAGAAGGTTTTCATGAAGGAATTATCCAGAAGATCGAGCCAGGCTGCTGCACGTGCCCTCTTTGTCTGAGGGACATGTTTGAGCACAGGGAGCTGTCGGGAAGATTGATAAATTAGTGTTTTGATTTTATTGGGATTGATGTGTCACATGAAAACTGCCTTTGGGTTGCCGTTTCTTGACGGTGGGATGAAAGCATCACCTGCTTTGGTTTCCTTTTCAATTAATTAATTATTTAATTTGGTTTTCTTTCTCTGTGTACTTTTTGGCTTTTGGTTTTGTAAGAGAAATGTCAACTTTCCCTGCTGACAGTTTCTGTTAGACATGATAATTAACTGTGGCATTTCAGTTTCAGTATGGGAAATAGTGATCCCTAGTATCACAGAATGAGACGAGACGGTAGATGTCAGCTAATCAATTTGGTTGACAGAACAGGAACCTGAGTCCCAGGAAGGTGGAATGATTTGTCTAAGGCCTCACACAGCAGCACCAGGGGCCCTGCCTGCTGCGGAGCTTGTCCTGCTGTTATCCACTCCTTCCTTCCCTTTGGGCAGCGGTCCCCAACCTCTTTGGCACCAAGGACCAGTTTTGTGGAAGACAGTTTTTCTGCGGACCATGGTGGCAAGGGGATGGTTTTGGGTTGAAACTCTTCCACCTCAGATCATCAGGCATTAGATTCTCATAAGGAGCGTGCAACCTAGATCCTTGGTGTGCACAGGTCACAATAGAGTTTGCACTCCTGTGAGAACCTGAGGCCGCTGCTGAGCTGACGGGAGGCAGAGCTCAGGCTGCAAAGCTCGCTAGGCTGCCACCCACCTCCTGCTGTGCGGCTCAGTTCCTAACAGGCCACCAGGGGTTGCGGGCCCCCGCCTTAGGGAACAAACAGAACAGTATTTCTAGGTCCATCTTTGTGGTACCTATAAACTTCTGGTTTGCTGGGAAGTGAATGTCACAATTCTGGTGGACAAATGGAGACTTGCTTTTTTCAAAAATGGGGATATGATAGCAGTTCATGTAAGGAATCTTCCTGTCTTTGTCAGAGAGGAGGGTAATAGAGAGTGGGCGGCAAACCTGGTCCTTTAAGTCATCTGCTGCTTTTGTATCTTGAGAAGGGGACAGGTTGACTTTGGTGAGTAGTGCCCATTTTATCCCATGAATTTGAACACCATGGGGAAAATATGCTTATCTGTATCATAGGGCTCTCCCACTAAACATTCATTCATCAAAACACAGGGGCAAGTGTGTGCCTAGTTTCAGCTGTTGTCAACATGCCACTTTTTTTAAGGCTTTTCCCCACTCTTGTATCCCTTCCTCTCAGCACATGGTCTCTTTTCAAAGATCCACAGAGGCCATCAGGCAGAAACCTTCTCTGCTTCCCCTCTTTCCTCTGGGATACACTTGTTTTTCCCATCTGTTTCGTTGTAGAGGAAGATGGGCTCCTCCTCTCATCAGAGGTGAATCGTCTGACTTGTGTTCCGGATCAGGTATCCTTTCTCTTTGGTCTTTTGAACTTGCCCTTGTTTTTGTAGGTCACGGCCCATGGACCACCTGCATCAAAGTGTCTTTGCTAAAACGCAGATTCCTCGGCCCACCCAGCTCTTCGACATCCCTTTCTGTGGGCGCTGGGCTGCGATCTGTGTTTCTGACCCATTCTCTGGGGGGTTCTGCGCACTAAGCTTTGAGCAGTTTTGTACCAGTCCCTCAGCCGATATGCCCAAATCCTCTTCTAAACCATGGGTTTCTCTCTGGCTACTCCTTACTCTTTCCCCTTCACTTTTTCATCCTTCTTGTACTTTTCCGCCATTGAAATCAGGCTTTTAACCTCCCTCCCCCTCCGTGGTTGCCACTTACTCATCCTTGGGAGACGCCAGTGACTGGCCAGTCCTCCTGTAGGTGGGGAGCTTCCCTCCCCTGGCCCGTGCCGTGCCACACTGACTGTTCCCGACTCTGCTTCACTGCTGCATCCCCAGCTATGGATGTTCCTAACAGTTTTGTCCTTAATACTTACCATACACTATATTTTTCCTAAATGATTTCACAGGCTCTAACATGATGGTAATGACTCTGAAATGTCTATTTCCGGTCTTGAATTCCATGTCAATGTTTTTAGCTGGCTTCCTGACTTTTTCACCTGGCAGCCCCGAAAACACCTCCAGTTCAGCTTGTTCAAACTCTGATGGATTGTCATTCTCTCCAGACGGGCTCACCTTTCTGTGTTTCCTTTGGTGGCAAAAGCCATTATCATCTGCTGGGAAGTGCCGGCAAGAGTCCTGGGGCTGTTGCAGATGGTTCTCTCACCGCTGGAGTTCCATCCGTTCTTCCCCAAGGCTCATCTGTTCTTTCTCTTAAATATCCCTCCATCTTCTCTCCCTCTTTGCCTTGGTACACATGCCAAACACGTTTTATCTGAGCCTTCACGGGAGCCTAGTTAACTCTTTCGCTGTCACTAGCCTGGCCCTCTTGAATCCATCTTCTGGTGTGTCTTACAGTTTTCTCAAAAACAAATGGGCTCCTCACTTTGGTGTCTAAGTCTCTATGTAATCTGGTCCCAGTCTCCCTCTCTCTCTCTCTCTCTCTCTCTCTCTGTCTGCCTCTTCGTGTTGCTGGGCCCTTGCATGCCGTACCCTGGCCTTTGTGAAATGCCCTTCATCTGTGCTCTTCCCTCCACCTGGAATGTCCGTCTCTCTTTTTCTGCCAACCCACTCGGCCCCTCCCTCCTGCAAGCCCTTGAGTGTCCCCTCCCTCCATGTCCTGTGGTGGCAGAGCTCGAGCTCATCCTTCCCTGAGTCTCCCACGTAGCTGCCGTGTGCTCTCTCCTTTCCCAGTATGCAGTGAGGCCTGGTCAGAGCAGCTTCTTGGCATACGTTAAGCAAGTGAGGGACGGAAGGCACGCTGCGAAGGCTGCCGAGTGTTCCACACCCTGAGTTCAGAGACGGGAGAGCTGTCTGGCTGTGAGGATCTGGTGTTGCTTTCTGAACTCTGAATGAAGGGTCTTTTAAAATCTTTTTAATTTTAATTTTATTTTTTTGAGATGGAGTCTCGGACTGTTGCCAGGCTGGAGTGCAGTAGCACTATCTCAGCTCACTGCAACCTCTGCCTCCCGGGCTTAAGCGATTCTCCTGTCTCAGCCTTCCGAATAGCTGGGACTACAGGCGCACACCACCATGCCCAGCTAATTTTTGTATTTTTAGTAGAGACAGGGTTTCACCATGTTGGCCAGGATAGTCTTGATCCCTTCACCTCATGATTCACCCACCTCAGCCTCCCAAAGTGCTGGGATTACAGGCGGGTGCCACCGCGCCTGGCCCAATTTTTATTTTTGAGATGGAGTCTCACTCTGTCTCCCAGGCTGGAGTGCAGTGGTGTGATCTCAGCTCACTACAACTTCCTGGGTTCAAGTGATCTCCTGGGTTCAAGTGATTCTCCTCCCTAGTAGCTGGGATTACAGGGACACACCACCATGCCCAACTAATTTTTGTATTTTTAGTAGAGACAGGGTTTCATCATGTTGGACAGGCTGGTCTCAAACTCCTGACCTCAGGTGATCTGCCTGCCTCGGCCTCCTAAAGTGCTGGAATTACAGGTGTGAGCCACCACACCCGGCCTGAATGGTCTTTGAACAGGTCCTGACTAAAGATGAGCTGGATGCCACCAGCAGGGATGCAGGTGACAGGGTGGCCCTGAATAAAGGCTGGTCTGGACAGCTTAGATGACCCAGGAGCAGGAGGGGATCCCCGTGGGAATGGCAGGCCCAGGTAGGCTGTGGAAGGCCTGAAGTTCCAGAAGTAACTTGGACTTCATTGAAAGATACTGGAGAGCCGCTGACAACTTTTTAAAAGAAGGCTGGTATGATGGGAAACTCTGTTTTAAGAAGGTGAGTGGGGCTGGGTGCAGTGGCTCACACCTGTAATCCCAGTGATTTGAGAGGCAGAGGTGGGAGGATCACTTGAGTCCGGGAGTTGGAGGCCAGTCAGTGCAACAAGACCCCATCTCTACAAAAAATTAAGCAAAATGAGCTGGGCTTGGGAGGCTGAGGTGGGAGGATTGCTTGAGCCCAGGAGTTCCAGGCTGTAGTGAGCTGTGTTTGTGCCACTGCACGCCAACCTGGGCGACAGAGTGAGACCCTGACTCAAAAAATAAAAGAAGGTAAGTTGGCTAGATTTGGGAGTGTCATCTGAGATTCACCTACCTGTGTATGGCAGGCGGTAAGTGTAACCACCCGAAGTTGAGGCAGGAAGGTCTTAACCAGGAGTGTGCCAGGTGAGCTGGAGAGCAAGAGGCGATGTGGACATGCAGTGGTAGGGGAGATCCCGTAGCCTGGGGGGGTCAGAATTCTCCCCAGTCCTCCCCTCGGAGCCCCTGCGCACTGTCACCATTGGACGCTGCTGGGTTTGCATTACACAATTTAGTAGCAGGTCAAGTAGTTTCGTGAGCTCCCATTAGAATCTCTTCTGTCCCCCCCTAGAAAAATGCAGTTCTTTTTGCCTGAAATGCCTCATGTTTATCAGGCGAAAGACAAACTGCCTGTGGGAAGTTGGAATCAGTTCAGTTCTTTGTGCAGAACTGGAGACTAGGGTGAAAAAAAAACATGTCTATTTGGCATTTCATTATATTTGGCTTCTTCACAATTTAATGATAACGGATGCTTCCACTTATCATTGTGGTCAGGAATTAATTTTATTCGAGAGCCATCGCTCTTGAACGCATTATATTCACTTTCATAACTTGCCCCTTCCCCCCTTATTGTACTCTGAAATTGGGACAGTTATTCAGTGTCTTTGTCCTCATCTGCTACTGCTCTTGAAAATAAATACTAATTTTTGGAATTCGTAGTCTTATTTTTTAAAGAACAGTGACTCATCCTGAATTACCCAGAATTCAAAGACAAAGGTGATTGGAATCTTAATGCCATAATATTTCTTTTTCTCTTTGCAATTTCTATTTGCCTGAGTTTTTCCCACAAACGTGTTACTAAGAAGAAGGCCAGGGATTTCATGGAAACTTGGGTTCTTTCCTGAGGCCAGAGAGCCCAGGGGCTGGCGAGAGCAGAGGACCTGGCGGAGTGCACGGTGTGTTGGTGTAGGTGTCCAGGCGCCTCCCACGCATCCCCTCCACGGCCGTGAGGAGGTGGATGCGGCCTCCGTGCCAGTGAGTCCCGAGCAAAGGGAAGCACACCTGCACTTTGGTCCTTCTCACTCCACCACCCTCATCTCGCGGGCAGGGCCGGAGTCTTACTTGTTTTTTGTTCCTAGCGCCTGGTGGCTGCATCCTCCCCCAATACTCTTGCTTTTCTTACTGCCTCAGAAGCAGCTCTCTGTCCCATTCAGTTGGAGATTCTTCCTTTTCCTCTTTACCTGGAAACACTGGAACTCCCGAGGGCCCCATCTGAGGCCCTCTTACACTTTGTTCCTAGGCTCGGTCTCTCCAGACGTCCTCATGTGCTCATGCAGCTCAGCGCCCCTCCACCCCCAGCTGCCCGCCTGCCTGTGGGCTCCTGATTTGAGGGGGCTGAGGGTGGTGCGTCTGGGTGGAGGCTGGCGTGGGGCTTCCCTCCGTGCCCTCACACTGCTGCCGTCTTCGTTGTTCTTCCCTCTGCTTTGACTCCGTGAAACAGAAAGGGAGGCTGGCCTGGTGCCCCCAAGCCAGCTGCTCCAAGGAGCAGCTTTCTCCGGGGCCTGCTCCCTCTTCCCAGTGAGCTCCTGGTGGGAAGCCCCTATGTCTGCAGCGCCCGGGCCCCTCCACTCTTGCCAGCCCACCCTAGCCTTGGGCAGTTCCTGAAGGTTCCAGCTGAAGCTTTTTGTTGCTTTGCCTGGTGTTTGCTGGAGCCCCGGCGTCAGCACGGGGGTCGCGCTTCCCCTGCAGGGGCCTCTCTCTCCATTCCAGGCTAGCTGTTTTCCCCGTGGCCCCAGCTCTCTGATCAGGCAGGGAAAGTTAATTTTCAGTATATCCAACTCTTTTACCTCGTCACAAGAGGGGCGCATTGTTGTTTCCAGCTCTCTACATCTTCGAGCTGAAATCAATTCACATCTTACAGTTTAATTCAGATCTGCAATTATTTTCGGATTATGTTGGCCATTTGTCATATTATGCGCTACTTTTGTTTTGTGTTCGGTGGGTTATCCGCCTTTGTTCTGAAGGAAAAAGGTTAATGACGCGTCGGACAGCCTGCCCAGCGTTATATTTAGCCCGTGCCATCTCCCCGGAGTCTGACTCATAGGCAGTAATTTCACAGCGTGGCGGCGCAGCCGAGGGAAAGGTCAGCCTGCTCCTGCTTCCCTGGAGCTCTCAGGAGCACCTTCCTGGTGCTGGGTCTCCTTTGGACACTGAAAGTTTTCCAACACCCGTAAGCTGAATATGCCCCAGACATCTGTCTAATAACCTGTAAGTGCACGTCTCCCTAGCCACTGTTAGCCTGTAGGTGGGGAGGTTGACTCACTTCTTTGATTTAAATTTGGGTTGGAAAATAACTTCCTAAACTAGCAGGATAGAATGAAAATCCAGGTGTTTGTCATTCATCAGCAACAGGTGATCCCCATTGCAGGCAGCCGGAACCGACGTCTCCTGGACCACTGAGCTGGCTGTTCTCATTACTGCCCTTTCCGCCCAGGCTGGCGGTGACTCACCGTGAGACAAGTCAGCTAGGTGTTCAGGACAGGGATTTCAGAGTATTTTTGTCCAAAGAGGAAAGGGATGATTTCTACGGATCACTACCAGTTGGTTTACTGTTAGCTCATCGTGTTGATCACACCAAGTCTTGCCAATTTGGTTTTCTAAGTATTTTCACGCCTTCTCCTCGTGTCCGCGTCACTGCTCTGATTCAGGCCCTTGTCATTTCTCATCTTTGCCATTTTAGTAGTTTTTGGATTGGGCTCCCGGCTGCTAATTTTGTCCCCTTTTCCACTATCTTCCACATTGTCACCGCAGTCATGTTTCTAAGGCAGAATCTCACTGTGCCCCTCTTCTGTTGGGTGACTTCTGGTGGCATCCCGTCACCCTCAGGACAACCTTTCCTGGGGCCTGCCCGCTCTGCTCTTGCTGCTGCCTCCCTGTCCCCCTCCTCCCTCCTGTGGTTTATATTCCAGGAATTCTGAATTAGTTGCACCGTGCTCTCATATTTACTGCAAGAATAGACCAGTGGTTCTCCAGCTTTTCTGCACTCTGGAATCACCTGGGGGTCTTTAAAAAACACTGCCTGGCTCCTAGTCCTAAATTTGGAGATTTAACTGGACTTACAGTTTTTCAAAGCACCCCAAAAGATTCTAATGTGCAGCAAAGTTTGGGAACCACTGGTATAGACTGTCTTCTGCTTGTTTTCTTGAAAAACTCTTACTCATTCTCTGAATCTCAAGGCAGTTGTTCCAAATTCTGGGTTTCTCCAGGCAGACCTAGTTGCTGCTTATTCTCTGTTCCCTGCGATGATGAGTTTTGAGGTCTGATGGGGCAAGTCTCCCTACTAGATGATTGTTCAGGAGCTTTTTGGATGTTCTTTGTCTGATGATCTTCCACATCAATTTTATTTTATTTATTTTTTATATTTTTTTGAGATGAAGTCTCACTGTTTCGCCTAGGCCAGAGTGCAGTGGCATGATCTCGGCTCACTGCAACCTCCACCTCCCAGGCTCAAGTGATTCTCCTGCCTCAGCCTCCTCAGTAGCTGGGACTACATGCGTGTGTCACCACGCTCAGCTAATTTTTTTATTTTTAATAGAGGCGGGGTTTCACCATGTTGGCCAGGCTGGTCTCAAACTCCTGACCTCCGGTGATCCGCCCTCCCTGGCCTCTCAATTTCTGGGATTACAGGCATGAGCCACCACGCCCAGCCCACATCAATTTTAGAATCAGTTTGTCAAGTTCCTCAAAGCAGTATGTTAGAATATTGACTGGGACTGCATCAAATCTATAGATTAATTTGGGGGAGAAGTGACGTGTTTATGGTGGTTAGTCTTCCTATCTATGAATATTGTATGTCTCTTCATTTATTTTTCATTTTAAATGTCTTTCAAAAATATTGCCTCATATTCTCTATAAAGGTCCCACAGATTTTACTAGATTTATTCCCTGATATTTTTTGTTAAGTGGTGTTTGAAGTCTTTTTTTATGGAAGTGTAACTTACATACAGTAATGAACACAAATGTTAAGTTTATAGCTTGATGAATTTTTATGTTCATATGAATCTATGTAAACACCCAGCTCATGATATAAATAATTTTCAGCACCCTCCAGTTCTCTTGAGACCTGTGGCAGTCAATAGCTGCCCACAAAGATAATTGTCAATTATGACTTCTATCATCATAAATTAGTTTTGTTTTTACTTAAATTCCGTGTAGAAGAAATAAGTGACTGGGCACTCTGGCTCACGCCTGCAATCCCAGCACTTTGGGAAGCTGGGGTGGGTGGATCACTTGAAGCCAGAAGTTCGAGACCAGCCTGGCCAACATGGTGAATCCCCATCTCTGCTAAAAATATAAAAATTAGCTGGGCATGGTGGCACACGCTTATAATCCCAGCTACTTGGGAGGCTGAGGCAGGAGAATCGCTTGAGCCTGGGAGGCGGAGGTTGCAGTGAGCCAAGATCACGCCACAGCACTCCAGCCTGGGTGACAAAGTGAGACTCTGTCTCAAAAAAAAAAAAAAAAAAAAAGGAAATACAGTGTACTTTCTTTTGTTTTCTTTTTTCCTTTGGCCTAAAGTGTCACAACTGTATACTCTTAATGTCTCCCTGTTAGAAGTCTGAAATCAGTGTCTCTTGTTTTTTTCCTTCTTCCTCCACATGATATCTGAGATGCATGCATATTGTGTGTTGCATTTGTTCTTTTTTATGGCTGGATGGTATTGCGTGAAAATACTACAGTTTATTCATTATACTTGTGATGAACATGTGGGTGGTTTTTACTTTTGGGCTGTTATGAATGATGCTGCTATAGACATTCTTGTGCATGTATTTGGTAGACATAAGCTCAGGTTTATGTTGGCTTTAATAGATCCATAGCCAAACAGATTTTCAAAGTGGTTCTTGGGATTTCTGTACATCCCAGCACTATGTATGAACTCTCTCTTGCTCCAGCTCCTCGCCACCCATTGGTATTGTCAGTGTTTTAAATTACAGCTGTTCTGGTCTACATGTGGTATTGTCTCACTGTGGTATTAACTTGCTTTTCCCAAGTAGCCAGTGATGTTGCACATCTGTTATATACTTATTATTTGGATATATACTTTTGTGAAGTGTCTATTAAAATATTTTCTTCATTTTTTTATTGGGTTATTTACCTTCCAACTGATTTATAGTAGTACTCAACATATTTTGGATATTAGTCCATTGTCAGCTATGAGTATTGCACACATTTTAGATTCTGTGGCTAGGCTTTTTACTTTCCTGATGTTGTCTTTTAATGAAGAGAATTTATCAATTTTTTAAATTAGATTTCTTAACTAAAAATTATAAATTTTCAGCCAGGCATGGTGGCTCACGCCTGTAATCCCAGCACTTTGGAAGGCCAAGGCAGGTGGATCACCTGAGGTCAGGAGTTAGAGACCGGCCTGACCAACATGGTGAAACCCTATCTCTACTAAAAATACAAAAAACTAGCTGGGCATGGTGGCAGGCGCTTGTAATCCCAGCCTACTCGGGAGGCTGAGGCAGGAGAATTGCTTGAACTGGGGAGGTGGAGGTTGCAGTGAGCCAAGATTGTGCCATTGCACTCCCTCCTGGGCAACAAGAGTGAAACTCCAACGCAGAAAAAAAAAATTGTAAATTTTCTTAGATTTCTTAATTGTATTATAATTATTTTCCTCTTGGTTAGCACTAATTTTTGTTTAGGAAATCTTTACTTACATCAAGGTCATGGAAATATTATGTTTTCTTCTAGAGAATGTATTGTTTTAGTTTTTGCATTTAGGCCTATGAACCATCTTGAATTAACTTGTGTGTGTAGTATTGTGTGGCACATATTAAGTACTCACAAGTATTTGTTGAATAGAGAGCAGGAATTATAGAAGATTTGGAATTATGTCATACGGTCTTAAATTATGGAAGTAACTAATTCTTAATGTTCTCTTCTAATCAGGTAACAGGACTTACACAATTTCCTTCTTTCTGGGTTTTTATAAAGTGGGGCACGGTTTAGCAAAGAAAGCAGTCATAGTTCTTTTTTTTCTCTGTCTTCCTCACAAATACTTATTGCATATCTGTTTTATTCCATGCACTCTGCTACTCTTGGGAGTGTCTAGATTAAAATAAGACACAGTCTCTGCCCTCTAGGAGCTCAGCGTCCAGGGTGGCACCATCCACAGAACTTTCTGTACTGGAGGGAATGGCCTGTGCAGTACTGTCCACCATGGCAGCCACCAGCCACATGTGGCCTTGGTCACTTGAGACATGGATGGTATATCTAAAGCAGCAGTCCCCAGGCTTTTTGGCACCAGGGTTGGGTTTCATGGAAGACAGTGGTTTCTGGATGAAGTTGTTCGACCTCAGATCATCAGGCGTTAGATTCTCATGAAGAGCGTGCAACCTAGATGCCTCGCGTGTGTATTTCACAGTGGGGTTTGTGATCCTATGAGAATCTAATGCCTCTGCTGATCTGGCCCTCCACTCACCTCCTGCTGCATGGCCCAGTTCCTACAGGCCACGGACTGGGGGTTGGGGACCCCTGATCTCAATGACTCATTATTAATTGTATTTAATTTTAATTACTTTAAATTTAAGTACCCACATTTCTCTAGTGGCTACTGTATTAGCATAAGTCTAGTGAGAGGGATAAGCAATTTCACAAATAAATGAAAAATTATAACTGCTAAATGCTAGGTACAGAATATGTGATGCTGTGAGTATATAATCAGGGTTCGACTTAATTTAAAGGGCTGGGAAGGCTTTCTCTGGGAATAATTACTGAGGTAAGATTTACAGAAGGGGCAGGACTTAAATAGGTGAAAAGGGTAGGGTAGGAAAAGGTTTTTTTTTTTTTTTTTCTTTTAATGTGTGTGTAAAAACTCTGTGGCAGAAAAGAGCAAAGCCAGTTCCAGGGACTGAACATTTGTGTGTGTGGTAGGGGAGAGAGAGGGTGTGTTTATGTGTGTGTGTGTGTGTGTGTGTGTGTGGTGGGGAGAGAGGGAGGGAGGGAGGGAGAGAGCGAGAGAGAGAGAGAGAGGAAGTGTGTGTGTGAGAGAGAGAGGAAGGGAGGGAGGGGAGAAAGAAGCCTTTATAAAGTTAGTCCTTGAGGCTGGGCACGGTGTCTCACACCTGTAATCCCAGTACTTTGAGAGGCTGAGGCGGGTGGATCACGAGGTCAGGAGTTCAAGAGCAGCCTGGCCAAGATGGTGAAACCCCGTCTCTACTAAAAACACAAAAAATTAGCTGGGCGCGGTGGCAGAGGCCTGTGATCCCAGCTACTCGGGAGGCTGAGGCAGGAGAATCGCTTGAACTCGGAGGGCAGAGGTTGCAGTGAGCTGAGATCGCACCACTGCCCTCCAGCCTGGGTGACAGAGTGAGACTCCGTCTCAAAAAAAAAAAAAGTCCTTAAGAAACTTAGGCCATAGGAGTTAAAACTAATTTGTGCAGAAGAAACATTTTGAGGGATGATGGGGTGAGCCTTTACTTTGGAGACTTTTAAAAATCAATGCTCTACCTTGAAACTGTCAGCTCTGTGATTTCTTTGATTCGGCTGACTGTTTAATGAAGAGATAATGGCTTTGCCTGTCTTTTAGGGATGCGCAGTGCTTTGGTACAACTGTGAAGAACACACGAAACACTCAGATTATACTTTGAATTTCTAGTTTCTAAAAGGAGAACAAGCACATGTCACGCTTTGGCTTGGGAAACCACCATTCTTCCTTTATTATCCTATGAAATAGGCCTTCTACTTTAATCTCAAACTGACAGTGTTCTGGTTTTGTTTCCCTGATTTTTATCCTAAAATAACGTATGTTAATTGAGCTATTTCTGTGGCTTTCTTTGGGGAATTGATGTTCATTTATTTGTGTTTCTCTTCAAGTAGAAATGGAGTAACACGTATAAACAAGATACAAAAGACACAAAACCTGGGGTGGAGGCATAAGAGGATTGGAACCTCCGTGCTGTTGAGATCGTCACTGTTGATGCGCAGTGACGTTGAATGTCTTTCCTCAGGTCAGAGGGGCCGGGGCTTCGACTCCATATCTAGTGCTCCTTTCAGCAAATTGCTTCTGGGCAAGTGAAGAGAACACCTTTAGGACTTGAACCCAGACCTGCATGTCTCTTAATCCTTTGGGACTTCATCCAGTGACTCTGCTCCGGGCTAGGGTAATAGAGAGAGAAAAGGACAAAAGCAGTTCATACTACCTTGTGAGGAAGCCAGGTTCCCCCAGTTCCTCCTCCCTCCACTTGCTCCCCAAGATCTTGGCCAAGAAGTTACCTGCCTTCTGCTTGGCCAGTTCTAGTGACAAGGAACTCATTACTCTTTAAAGCAATCCATTCTGGCATTCTTATACTACAGAGAAGTGATTTATGGTCAGGCGCAGTGGCTCACACCAGTAATCCCAGCACTTTGGGAGGCCAAGGTGGGAGGATCGTTTGAGCCTAGGAGTTTGAGCTTGAGCCTAGGAGTTTGAGACCAGCCTGGGCAACATAGCAAGACCCATCTCTATTTTAAGATGTTTTTTTAAAAAAAACAGGCTGGGCACAGTGGCTCACGCCTGTAATCCCAGCACTTTAGGAGGCCAAGACAGGTGGATCACCTGAGGTCAGGAGTTCGAGACCAGCCTGGTCAATGTGTCAAAACCCTGTCTCTACTAACTGCTAAATGCTAGGTACAGAATATGTGATGTTGTGAGTATATAATCAGGGTTTGACTTAATTTAAAGGGCTGGGAAGACTTTTCTGTGGGAATAATTACTGAGGTAAGATTTACAGAAGGGGCAGGACTTAAATAGGTGAAAAGGGTAGGGTAGGAAAGTGTTGTTTTATGTGCGTGTAAAAACCCTGTGGCAGAAAAGAGCAAAGTCAGTTCCAGGGACTTAACATTTGTGTGTGTGGTGGAGGAGAGAGAGGGGCCTCTACTAAAAATACAAAAAAAAAAAAAAAAAATTAGCTGTGTGTGGTGGTGCCACACCTGTAATCTCAGCTACTTGGGAGGCTGAGGCAGGAGAATTGCTTGAACCCAGGAGGCGGAGATTGCAGTGAGCCGAGATTGCACCACTGTAATCCAGCCTGGGCGACAGAGCAAGACTCCATCTCAAAAAAAAAAAAAAAAAAAAAAAAAAAAAGAAAAGGCAGTGATTTACTAGCAGTTTTAAAAAATAATCTTTGGATTTGAAAGCCTAGCAACAAACTGCTTTTCTCTCTTTTTGCTGGAAGATGGTCATTTACTTATTCATTCATGAAGTCATTAATTCACAAAGTCATTCATTCATGTCCTTATTAGGTGCTTTTCAGTGCAGGCATACAGTTCTTGGCTGCCACATGACACAACTTCAGGGAGTGTCCTTGCATCACTGTCCCTGGAAATGCTGGCCTCGGAGGCGTGTCCTGGGCTTCCCATGTGCCGGGCAGCACCTGAGGCTGCGAGGCATTTCTTATCACAGAGGAACTAGGAAATGACATTAGCTCATTCATTCACCCAGCAAATATCTTTCTCCATAGCTACTATGTGCTAGGCACTGTGGCAAACTATTTGGATACAGACTTTAAATGCAGGCTTCCTGCCCCTAGCACTCTATGGTCTAGTAAAGATGTCAGTGCAGGTCACTGTTGTAAGCGCCCAGATCCAAGTCTGACTTCCTGTGTCAGTCAGAGGGACCCCCTAAAAGGGGTCCTAAAAGCCCCAGCCACAGTTTCCACTTCTCTTGATGATTTCCGCAGAAGAGGGCCTACCCTCCAGGACCGATCCCCAGTGCTCACAAATGCCTTCCTTACCTGTGGCTGAGTCCTCACCTGCTTCAGTTTCATCCACTTTTTTTTTCTTTTTTTTTGAGATGGAGTTTTGCTCTTGTTGCCCAGGCTGGAGTGCACAGTGGCGCGATCTCAGCTCACTGCAACCTCCACCTCTCAGGTTCAAGCAGTTCTCCTGCCTCAGCCTCCCGAGTAGCTGGGATTACAGGCGTGTGTCAACCATGCCTGGCTAATTTTTTTTTTTTGAGATGGAGTCTCACTCTGTCGTCCAGACTGGAGTGCAGTGGCCCGATCTTGGCTCACTGCAAGCTCTGCCTCCTGGGTTCACATCATTCTCCTGCCTCAGCCTCCTGAGTGGCTGGGACTACAGGCGCCTGCCACCATGCCCAGCTAATTTTTTTTGTATTTTTAGTAGAGACAGGGTTTCACCATGTTGGTCAGGCTGGTCTTGAACTCCTGACCTCAGGCGATCCACCTGCCTTGGCCTCCCAAAGTGCTGGGATTACAGGCATGAGCCACCGTGCCCAGCCCTACTTCTTTTTTTTCTTAACCATCTTTAGAAGGGAAGAAAATGCAATAATATCCTTCTGCTAACAGGACTGTCCAGTGCTTTAAAAGTGCTTTGTAGTTGGTTTTCTGTGTGGCCAGTGTCTTTGTCCAGCAAAGGAGATCATTCTTACCAGCAGGTGCCACATGCAGTCTTGGTTGGACGTTGGCTCTTGGAGCATGTTATGTGCTTGTGCCTGTTGTGAGATGGCCTTGCTGCTGTGTGAATGTTTACATTTCCCCTGGCAGGTGACAGTCTGGACTCCCTGTGAAATGACTGGGAGGAAGTGTCTGTCTGTGTGCACTGCCATGTGGAGTTATCTGGGACCCTAGAAGGAAATCTCACTCTCAGATTTTAGGGCTGCAACTTTAAAGGACCTTTTCTGCCTATGTGATGTTGCTTTGTACGTTTTAGAGGCCAAGGGAATATTTGGTACATTGAAAACATATGGAGGCCAGGTGTGGTGGCTCACACCTGTAACCCCAGCACTTTGGGAGGCCAAGGCTGGTGGATCACTTGAGGCCAGGAGTTTGAGACCAGTGTGGCCAACATGGTGAAACCCCATTTCTACTAAAAATGCAAAAATTAGCTGGGTGTGGTGGCGTGCGCCTGTAATCGCAGCCACTTGGGAGGCCAAGGCATGAACCTGGGAAGCAGTGGTTGCAGTGAGCCGAGATCGCGCCGCTACACTCCAGCCTCAGCGACAGAGTAAGACTCTGTCTCAAAAAAGAAAAAAGAGGCCGGGTGCGGTGGCTCACACCTATATATAATTCCAGCACTTTGGGAGGCCGAGGTGGGTGGATCACGAGGTCGGTCAGGAGTTCAAGAGCAGCCTGGCCAAGATGGAGAAACCCCATCTCTACTAAAAATACGAAAAAAAATTAGCCAGGCTTGGTGGCAGGTGCCCATAATCCTAGCTACTCGGGAGGCTGAGGCAGAGAATTGCTTGAACCCGGGAGGTGGAGATTGCAGTGAGCCGAGATCACACCACTGCACTCCAGCCTGGGCGACAGAGAGATTGTGTCTCAAAAAAAAAAAAAAAAAAAAAAAAAAAAAAAGAAAAAGAAAACATACGGAATTGACTAAAGCACAATGTTCGATGTATCTGCTTGCCTACTGCTTTCTGTGTTTCCCATTCTTTTCTACATCTTTGACCTTCCTTCTGAAATTATTTTCTATGTACCTGAAATATAATATTTAGAAGTCCCTAGTGAGAACGTGTTGGTGGTAGGTTCTCTTAGTTTTTAGCCAAAAAATGTGTTTGTCACCGTCATTCTTAAAAAAAAGTTCTGCATATACCTAAGTCTAGTGTAGCAGATGAATTTTCTTTCATATTTTGAAGATGAATTCTTATGACTTCCCTTGCTGCTGGGAGGTTAGCTTCTGGTCTAATCGTTATTCATTTGGATATAATCTCTCTTTTCTCTTTATCTTCCCCCCTACCCTCAAAGTGTGTTGTACTGTAACACAGTTGTACTACCCTTTTAGTTTTTAAAAAATATTTGTTGTGATAGAATTCACGTGAGGCACAATTCAGTCACTTTTAGTGTATCCACAGGGTTGTGCAATCGTCCCCACAGTCTAAGTTTAGAACAAGCTGGGAACCACCCAGAACATTTCACGTGTTCAGCTGGTAGTTACAGCCTCCTGTACATGGAGGCTTCTGATGTCAGTGAGGGCAGAGGACTTTACGTCTGGTCCCACTGCAGGGAGCATCCAACAGAAGGAAGACCAATCTCAAAGTGAGGCTGCCCATGGGGAATGTGGACTGTTGCCATTTGAATAGTATGTGAAGGCCACTATTCCTGTATGATTATTTTTTCTTTCCTAAGCATATTCCAAAGTTTCTGAATGAACGAGCATGCCGCTTTCTTTATGGAAATTAAGGATGAGTATTGGCTAATTTCTTAGCCAACTGCTTCTACTGCTTTGGTTTTCTTGAGGATATTTTATGATAACCAGATGGGCTTTTTTGGCACCTGTAGATTTTATGACTAAATGAGAAAGCATCTTTAAAATATATTCTACCTGGAACAGCATACCCTGACAAACTCCCACTGAGCGATTGTTGCCTCCTGTTGCCTTTGTTAATGTATTTTATTCTAGTTTATTTTTGGTGCCTCTCACAAGAGAGTAAAATGTATTCAACCTTATGCATTAGTGTCTCTTTTGAAAGTGTACCAAAATGGACACATCCCTGCATAGATCCCACCACTGGAGATAGATGCTAAGCCCCTGCAAGGGTCCTTGTGATCGGTTTAGTGGAACGCATGGTGTACAGTTTTGACCCAGTGATGTGCTACAGAACAACCTTGGCTGGTGAGCTTTTCTGGAAGCTCAGTGTGGGGACTGAAATGTATTCCTTGGGTCAGTTTTGCTGGGTAGTGACCAATCCAGTTGTCATGAGGCCTAGTTCTGGCTGTGCTTCTGATGAGCTGTGTGATATTGAGCAAGGTACTTACCTTCTCAGAGCCTCAGCTTCTTCATCTGTAGAATTGGTAAGAGAATGCCTGACTTTGCAGGGTGTGAAGAGTTGGATGGTGTGCACTGAGCGCCTGGTGCCAGGCCACGGACGTGGCCCTTGGCCCTCACCCCTTTCTAGAAGAGCTGTTTTTATTGTGACTCTGCTTTTTCTTTCCCCTGCACAAATTCTGCTTTCAGCTGTCATTTTCCCCAATTGTCATCATGGTTGGGATATGGCTGAATTCTAGAGAGAAGTATTATTTTAGCATACAAAATTGTCTTTCTGAATTTCCCACAGAGTTGCTCTTAATAGAAAAGTTGAGCACTATAAATGGGAAGTATGAAATTCTCTCTGAAAGCTCAGTTTTATTCATGATGATCTACCAGACTCATACCATTCTTAAATACCCTCTGTCCTGATAAATCCACTAAACTCTTTAGTCCTCCTACTAGGCCGCCTTCATCTGTTTGTAACTTTTTTTGTCCTGTCTTCCTATTAATTGTCATCCCAATCTGTTCTCTGTTCTATTTGTGATAGCCTGTGTTGGCAGAAAAATTGGCTAAATGATTGAACATAATTTTCTCCCCTCCACCCCACCCCAGCTGGAGAGAGATCCTTCCCAGGCGCGCCCAGTGATTTGCTTCCCTGCTCACGACATCTTATTCCATCTCATCTCTCGCCATCCCTCTGCAGCTGCCCCCTTCTCTCCAGCTCTGTTCCTGTATGGGCGAAGGGCTCAGCTTCAGTTTTCCGAAGGCTGGCTTCTGCCTCCTACCTGTCCCCATTTGTAATTTATATGCTTCTTGTGTTTTGTATCTTTAGTTGGATTTGAGAACAGACTTCTGTAGTCTATAAAGAATCCATGGAGTGGCTTTCTTAGTATTTTTCTGAGCTTGAAGATGACAGGTTTTGGGGGTTTCTTGGAGATTTTGAGGTCTGTGTCCAAAAAGGAGGCAAATTTCAGATGGAATTTTAAGACTTTTTTCTTTTTTTTTTTGCAAAGTGCTCATATCCCACAGCCTCCTAGTTCTAAAACATTGCTGATTTGTGTTTTTCTGAAGTACTTTTACATCAAATCTCATTGAGTTTTTTAGTTGGTTCCTGTTTTAGAGCCAAGAAAACTAAGGTTCATAGAGTTGTGTGTTGCCCAGGGTATCTCAATGTGTTGTGGAAGGAGGGTTGCAGGCAGGCCCCATACCTGGATCTTTTTCTTTTTTTTTTCCTTTTTCTTTTTCTTTCTTTTTTTTTTTTTTTGAGACCGAGTCTCTCCCTGTCACCCAGGCTGGAGTGCAGTGGTGTGATCTCAGCTTACTGCAACCTCTGCCTCTCAGGTTCAACCAGTTCTCCTGTCTTAGCCTCCCCAGTAGCTGGGACTATAGGCATGCACCACCACGCCCAGCTGTTTTTTGTATTTTTAGTAGAGATGGGGTTTCACCATGTTGCCCAGGCTGGTCTTAAACTCCTGACCTGAAGTGATCCGCCCACCTCAGCCTCCTAAAGTACTGAGATTACAGGTGTGAGCCACCACGCTGGCCCATAGCTGGATCTTTATAACGTGATTCAGAGGAAGACAAACCGGAGTCTTTTCTTCCTAGAATTTGTAAATCAAATCTCAAAGGAGGGCTTTTCATGTCCCTTCTCGTACCTTCTGTTTGTTCTCTGGATACACACTGTTGATGGGATGTTTTCATCTCTGGCCATGGCAGGATCAAGGCCAACCTTGATCCCACCAGAACCACATGGGATGAAGAAGGAGCTGCTCCCCAAAGAAACGAGAAATGCTGGGCAGACAAAAGCCAGATGTTCACTCTGCTTTCCTCTACAGGCCAAAACTTCTGACCATTTCCAGAAATGAAGAATTTACCATTGTTATAAGTGTAAAATAGGATTGGTATTTCCAAGGCAAAAACAAACAAACAAAAAGAATCTGGGTCCTTCAGGAGATAAAAGCGTTGGTGTAATTTGCGAAGGATGGGAGCCTTCCCTCGGGAGGAGCTGGCCAGGCTGTATTACGGGTCCTGTGTATATGTCAGAGAGAGGGGTGGAGATACAGAGAGACACACAGACACACACACAGATGAGATGGCAAAAATACCCCTTTGGGCACCTGGCCTTCACTCAACAGAGGACGGCTTACTGGGTGAAGTCACATTGAGTGGTCTTTCATACCATGCTTGCTTAGAGGTCCGCTTGACCTGGTTCCTGGGGTAACATGCTAGAGAAATGTGGAGTTTACGTTTTGCACATGGCTCTGTTCATAATACTAGTACCCTTCACAGCAGGCATTATGGTGTCGTGGAGAGATTTTATAAATTGTGTCCATGGTGCTGAGAGAAATGAGAAAAAAGAGAGAAAATAAACTCATTCAAACTTAACAGCTTTTGATTGAGTCTTTACAAATAAGTCTTCGCACATATCTACCTGATGAAATTTCAGTTAACCAGGAGTTGGTTGTTGAATGTGACTTTGGGATGATGGAATTTTTATTGAGCGTGTGTGTGTAAACTGTGTGCGTGTCAACTAAATACTGGATTTGACCCTGTAATTTATTCATTCATTTAGTTACTATTTACTGAGGGCTTACAATTTGTTAGAGCCTGCATCAGCTACTATGAGGGGCATAATGGTGAATCTGACAAGAATTCAGTCTTCAAGGAGTTTGTAGTCATGAAGGAATGTAAGACATGCATAATTTGCTGCAGTAGGAATAAGAACAGCTCTTTTTACTGAATGCTTGCCCCGTACCAGGCGTTGTGATAAATCCTTCCTATGCAATAATTCGTTTATTCTTCTGTATAACCTCACAGTATATGTGTTCTAATTATTCCCATTTAGGGGATGATGGATTTAAAGCTTGTAGAAGGTTATTTGACTTGATGAAGTTCATTCAGCCAGGTAGAAGGGGAGCCGCACCTCAGCCCCGACCCCTCTGATCTCCTACCGGGCTCTCTGCATGTATACAGATCAGCAGGAGGTAGGCACGGGTCTCAGGACAGAGAAGATGCTGGAACTCTGAGGAAGACGTACTTGCTTTCCATTAGGACAGCTAGGGGAGGCATTATGGAAGAGGTAGCATTTGAACTGAGACCAAAAATTGGGGCATATTAGGATATCAGATTGTCAGAGGGAAGAGAATTACCAATACATAAAGGTAAAAAAAAATGGGGGTAGAACAAGGAGTGACAAGGAATAAATTCTGGTAGAAAAATGGCCTACCAGTTGCAGGGACTGACATGGTTCAAAGCTGGGCCTTAGGCCCAGTGAGGGCTGCTTTATTTACGGTCTACCCTTTGCTTTGTGGCCCTACCTGAAGCTTCCCAGATTTGCTATCCACTCTCCATGGGGAACACTGAACACCACTGTTTTTCACATCGAGTCCTTTGAGTATGTCAAAGGTTCTGCTCAGATTCTGCTCAGATTCTCTTGGTGAACTCTTCTGAAATCTGCAGGCACCTCTAGGGGATGTTTGTCAGGCTCATGTCTCTGTCTTTCCCCCTCTGCTAGACAGTAGCCCTGTAGTTCTTGTTAGCTCTCTGATGCTTGCATGGATTTTAAGACTACTTTGTCCATGTTTTCTAGCTGTTCTCAGTGGCTGAGCTGGTCTGAGTTGTCTAGCTTGTTATGAGGAGTAGAATCTTCTGAAGTTCATTTCATGCCTATTCAGCCTGAGCTGCTTGTGGGACATCAGGTGGACCTTTGCTGCCCACATGCAGTGCTTGAAGAGGGGCCAGTTGGGCACCTCCATTTTCTTCTAAGTGCAGAGAGGACCCTGCTCTTAAGTGCTTGATCACAGTCTTCATACGTGTCTTCCATAGGCACCACCAACAGAAACAGATCAGTTTGTCATTTTTCTTATTGTAGATGCACAATGTCTGATTCCTTCATGTGCTATTTTGGGCATAAGGTGCCATGGACTTTTCAAGTAGACTATTTTTTAACGTAAGATAATTTAGCTTTTGAAGATTTGAAGCCTCTAAGTAGAAAATTGCTTAATTCTTCTTTACCCAGTTGAATATTGTTTGTCATCCTGAAAATTGAACTACTTAAGGGGACATACCTTAGCAAATGATGCTTAAGAGAAGTGTTTTTGTTTTTTTTTTTTTAAATTATGAACTATTTCTATTATGCTTGGTTAATTGCATATTTTTGCAAAGAGATATTAGGCATAGGGCCATGGGCCTAAGTTATTGCGAATTTGGAAATATACATTTTGTGTCAATTAAAAGTAAATACTCTTCATCTTATCACAAGAAGCTTTAGTTTCTTAATAAGAAGTTACTTAGATGGGTTCGTTTGAGATATGCAGCCATTGAAATTTTCTTTCCCAACAACTGTGTTAAAGCGAAAAGGATCCTAGGCTTAGAATCAAAAGCACCGAGTGTGAGTTTCAGACTTGCCACCCGTCTACCCATCCATCCATCCAATCAAGTTTACTAAACATCCATTCATGTGTGGTACGATGCCTAGGATCAATGACTGCCAGTATGACTGCGAGCAGGTTGTTTATTGCTGTTCTTTAAAATGGGGACAAGTTTCATTATCCTCAGCAAACTAACGCAGGAGCAGAAAACCAAACACCGCATGTTCTGTCTTACAAGTGGAAGCTGAACAATGAGAACACATGGACACAGGGAGGGGAACAACACACGCTGGGGCCTGTTGTGGGGTGGAGTGAGGGGAGGGAGAGCATTAGGAAAAATAGCTAATGCATGCTGGGTTTAATACGTGGGTGATGGGTTGATAGGTGCAGCAAACCACCATGGCACACGTTTACCTATGGAATAAACCTGCACATCCTGCACATGTACTCTGGAACTTAAAAAGAAAGAATAAATAAAACGAGGGCAAGTTTAGAAAGCATAAAGTGTCATACTGATGTGAGTCCACATCTTACCAACCTCACTTTCTACCATTTGCTCTTTTGTCTCTGCTGTTGCATGTATCTTAAGTCAAAATCAGTATGAACGTGATTTCTTGCACAAGTTGCCTCTGGTGGTTTGTTCTCTTGGCCTGGTTTACACTGGAAGTCTGTGATACTCGCCATACTCATAGGTAGACTTCTCCCGCATGCCAGCTGGGTTCTGTTAGGGAGCTGCAGCTACTTGAAGATAACTCCTCAGGAGGCAGTATCTTTACGTTCTTGAGAATATATAAAACTGCAGTCAAATATCTCATTCATTCCGCCAGGTCTTCTCTTCTGTTAAATGGTGTATCATGCAGAGGCCTTGGAGACCAGTGCAGACTTTGACATTTCCTCTTGAGTGCTAGGGGCAGGGTGTGAGCCCCCTTTCCTCAGGAGACTCTGCGAGCTGTGTGGGGAGTTGACTTAGGGAAAGGAGTGAAGGCAACGGGGGAGAAGAGCCAGGAGGAAAACTACAGTGACTCTGAGTTGGTGCGAACCACGAAAGCCATCCCTGGACATACTCTCAGAGCTAGCAGGATTTCCTTTTGGGTTGGACATGCGACGTGAGATGCAGAGAGGACTTAAAGATGATTCGTGGGTTAGACCCGTCAATCGATAGATACTGTTAACAAGTAAGAAAAAAACCCAGATGGCAGAGTGTGGCTCCTCGGAGGTTTAAGTAGGGTCTTGTGGCAGAGAGTGGTGGCTGCTTGAAGCTGGGTGAGGAGGTAGCACTTAGACTAAGGTCAAGCGGCAAGAGAGAGCTGGCTGCACGAAGGGAGGGGAACTCATTCCAGCCTGAGGAGCGGCTCAGCAGAGGCCCAGGAGAGAGATGGGCTCTGCGTGGTCCAAACGCAGAGGGAAGGCTGGGGCCTTGGTCATCACATCCAGGTGGTAAGGAGCTGTCCTTTTTAAGGACTGATGCACTCTCAGCTTTTACTCATAGTAGATGTGAATATGTGCTTATGGAGGACACATCAGGCAGCTGTAACTGATACAAGGTAGAATAGTCAGGACAGAAACTGGCATGCTCCTTACAGTCACAGTTTTTGAACAAAATCCCCTACATAAACAAAAACAAAAACAAAACCAGCCTGGGCAACGTGGTGAAACCCCACCTCTACCAAAAATACAAAAATTAGCCAGGTGTGGTGGCGCACGCCTTTAGTCCCAGGTACTAGGGAGGCTGAGGTGGGAGGATCACCAGAGCCCAGGAGGCAAAGGTTGCAGTGAGCAGAGATTGCACCACTGCACTCCAGCTTGTGCGACAGAGCGAGACCCGTCCCAAACAACAACAACAACAACAAACCCCAAAACCAAGCTGACGTGTTACTTATGATTTTTGTTCTTATTTTGTAGATGGAATCAGTGTGAGTGGCTTTCCCCTGTCCAGTCCTTTTCGGCAGGTCGTTCGGCCCCGAGTGGAGGGCAAACCTGTGAACCCACCCGAGAGCAACAAAGCAGGCGACTACAGCCACGTGAAGGTGAGTTGGTATGGCAGACGGCATCTGCCACGTGCCGTTCGGGCTTCTGCAAAGCCGTTTCTGAAGCACAGCTCTGAGTCCTTTTCAGAAAGGAAAGGCTATGTGTATTTGAAAGCTGGATTCTTGGTATTCTTTGTTCTTGGACAATGTTTTGGAAAGCCGTCACAGTGAAGCTTGAGTGCATTGTTTGGTGTTGCAAACTCTTATGTCCTTGGAACACGGAGATTCCGTGGGCTGAATCCAGGCGTGCGGTGATTAAAGCAGACTCTCTCCTGCCGTTTCTCTATTCATTTGAAAAGTTTATTTATTGCATACCTCAGTTCGGATGTTTACCCTGTACATTTTTCTTAATCTTTTGGCAACCCTTCCCAATTGTTGGTTTGGAAGCACCAAGGAAGCCAAGACAGATATGCCGGTAGCAAGTGAATGTCAGTGCAAAGCTACGTGCCGCGGGCTTGTAGGCCAGCAGTGAGCAGAGGTGGCTGCTGGCTCCGTGGAGAGGCCTACACAAGTGCTCCGGGGTTTTGAGTCTTCAGCACATGGGAAGCTCTGGCTGTTTGAGCTGGCCCAGGGACAGCGTGTAGAGCAGGAGGACTGCAGGGCCTAAGAGCTGTGACTGGGCTGCAGGCGGCAATGTCACTTTCAGGCACACTTGTGTTCAGGACCAGCCTTTGGGATGCTGTTTACAGTCCTCATGCCAAATTTAAGAGGGCAGGGACTGGTTAGGAACATCAGAATCGCTTGGCCAAGATGCTTGTGAGTCAGTGATACAGTGGACTTTGAGGCATTGGAGCTGCTGTCACTCAACCAAGAGGAGGGGTGGAGGAGCATGGGGTGCTATCTGATGAGGTCATGGCAAGAAGGAATAGGCCAGTTCTGGTTGATGGAGGTCATGTCAGTGGATTGAACTTGGAAGGAGCTAGTTTTAGGGGAAGAGTCCTCTCCCCTTTTGGGCTCTGCAGTAAAGAAGGGGGTTGTTGGTAGCGGGGAGTGCCCCATTCCTGGAGAGCTTCTGTTTGCACGGCAGCTTGGTTACTGTGTTGCTGGGCTCTTGGGTTAGCCAAGGGGACTGGTGTGGGAGAAGCTTCCCAGCAGAGGCAGCAAAGGCCCCAGAGTGCAACTGCACGGCACATGCACGGAGCTACCAAGTACGGGAGGGTGCTGTCTGGTGGGCTTGAGGCAGACTTTCTTTGCATGTCTCATAATTTTTTGTGGAAAGCTGGATCTTTTAGGTAATGGATCGTAGCAAGTTGGAGGCTGAGCCCCACCACCCTCCCCTGGCGCTGCGTGTTGCTGTTCTTCTTGTTTGTCCATCAGTTTTGCAACTTGCCTTGACTTACCTTCGTGGAGTCTGTTTTCCTCAGTGTGTGACGTCTCTGCTTTGTTGGTGATTTTCTCCTTCCTGTTTTTACTGCTTGCCTGGATTCCCAGGGCGTGCCCCAGGTGCCCTGGAGCTTTGTGGGCAGCCAGTGTCTGATTAGAGGTTGTGCTGAAATGCTTCAGTTCAGCAGGCCTTCCACCATTCCCCGATGGATCTGCACGTGCCTTGGGGATTGCTGTCAAACTGCAGGGCTGTTTCTTTCGTCTGAATTCACAAGGCCTCACATTGAGCCAGGGTCAGTGGCTCATGGGGGCCCTCTCTGGTTTGTCCTGAACGTGTGAGGGCTTGTGCATGTGCACAGCTGCCCAGGTTTCCAGCGTTGTGGGACCAACAGGCTCGTTTGCCCCGTGTATAGTAGCAGACCCATGACATGGAGACAGCAGGGTTTGCAGCGAAGAGATAGTTTAATGACAGCAGGAAGCCACACGAGGAGGTGGGAGGAGACCCTTAAACCCATCTCCCTGAGGAATTCTGGGCTGCGGGTTATAAGGGGGTCGTGGAAGGTAAGGACCTGAAAAGCTGGGGTCATTGGTTGTGGTGAGGGGGATGAAACATCAGGATGTGGAAACTGCATTCTTTGATGAATTAACTCTCCGTGAGGTCCCTCAGACACCTGGCATAAGTGGGGTCCTTCAGGCCAGCAGATGTCGGTAGTTACACTGGTATGCGGGACCGGAAGGACTATCTCAAAGGGAAAACGTAACGTTTTGTAACGTTCAAGCGGCTATCGACGGAGCTCTTAGGGGAACTAGGGTCTTGGAGCAAGGTCTGTGTGATTCTGGGGCAATTCAGGCTCCGGCAGCGCTGAGGAAGCAGGCCGGGCAGGCTGCCCTCGCGATGATCGCCGAGTGTGCTGCAGGCTTTTTTGTTTTTCCTTCTCCCCTTCCTTTCTTCCCTGATTTATTGTATAAAGTTTATAGAAACGGTTTCACTGGGGTAACTGGGGTCTCACCAAGGCCTTCTGTGCTCTTTCATTCACTGGCTCTTCCTGCTGAATTTCTGGCGGGTCTGCTGTTTTATCATTTCCCCAACTAGTTTTGTGACTTTAGGCCAGCTGCAGTGTTACCTTCCCTGACTGTTTCCTCCTAAAATCCAGTTTTTTTTTTTCTTTTAATTTGAGATGGGAGTCTCGTTCTGTCACCTAGGCTGGAGTGCAGTGGTGCGATCTCGGCTCACTGAAGTCTCTGCCTCCTGGGTTCAAGCGATTTTCCTGCCTCAGCCTCCAGAGTAGCTGGAATTACAGGCGTGCGCCACCACACCCGGCTAATTTTTATATTTTTAGCAGAGACGGGGTTTCACCATGTTGACCAGGCTGGTCTCGAACTCTTGACCTCAAGTGATCCACCCACCTCTGCCTCCCAAAGTGCTGGGATTACAGATGTGAGCCACCACACCTGGCCTCCCACTGTTATTTTTGACAACACCCCTGGACATGTGTTTTCCACCCTCTGATCCAAATAAAGTCAGCCTCTTCCAGCAGGTAGCAGAGCAGCAGACAGTCTTCTGCTTGTCTCTCCTGGCCAGGTAGAACTTGTGTGCCAAGGAGTTGGGAGTAGCAGGGGCAGTGGAACCAGCCCCTGTCTAAAATGCCACAGTCTCCCTTGCTCTTACCAAGATTAACGAGATTGTCATGAATAAATGCTTCTCAATTTGTTGTATGCCTTTGGTCAGTTTGAACATCTTTAAATGGTTGTTCTTGATGACTTTGTCCATTTGCATCTTTGCTTTTTGGGCAGAGGTTTAGCCAAGCTTCCCACTAAGCAATTCTGGAAATCCCACCCCTCAGACCTATTTACCTTCTGGTTATTCTTTCAGAGCTGGGGATAGAATGAAAAATGCTGATTTGGAAAGATGTTCCTTTGGGCCTACTAACATCTTAGGTGTTTATTCCTAAATGCTGGTGGAGTAGTGGAGAGGTTCGAGTGTCGTGGTGGCGTCGTGCAGCTCTGCTGGCCGTTTGCTGTGAGACCAGCTGCGATTTTCTGTATAGATTATTGGCACGCTTTTATCTGAGCACTTGAACTCCTTCTAGACTTTCGCCATGACTTTTTTTTTTTTTTGGAGACAGAGTATTGCTCTCTTGCCCAGGCTGGAGTGCAGTGGCGCGATCTCGGCTCACTGCAACCTCCACCTCCTGGGTTCAAGTGATTCTTGTGCCTCAGCCTCTGCAGTAGCTGGGATTACAGGCGTGCACCACCATGCCCAGCTAATTTTTGTGTTTTTAGTAGAGATGGGGTTTCACCATTGTTGACCAGGCTGGTCTCAAACTTCCGACCTCAAGTGACCTGCCTGCCTTGGCCTCCCAAAGTGCTGGGATTACTGGCATGAGCCACCGTGCCTGGCTCGCCATGGCATTGAATATACTAGCTTGCTCACTAGTGTGGGCCCTTTCACGATCTGTGTTCCTTGTTACGGTAGGGATTCACTGGCACAGGCAGGCCCCGGGAATTTTGGGGAGCAGGTGTTTACATGTGTCTGTAAACTGTTTTGACACAGCTGTAGGGGGTATATTTATTTGTATTATGCTGTAAGTCCAGATGCGGGGTTATAGAATCTTTCGTGGGAAAGGAGCCTGACTAGTGTCCCCTTCTGGTGTTACTCCTCATGCTTAGATCCTGCCAGAGGCCGTCCACTGCTACCGGCACCCTCTCATTGCGCAGCCTGTTCTCATCCTCAGACTCCAGTCCCTCACAGAGTTTACTTTCAACCCTGTGCTGCTTCGTGTCTTCCTCCCACCTTCCTTGTGCCATTCCAGACTTCCTCCCGAGTAGGACCTCCTCAAGGCCACAGAGGATGTCCTTGTTTTGCCTGGCCATCGCTGTATCACTCCATCCATTCTGCAGTGGACCAGATGTGGCGCTCTCCCTTAAGCCCCTAGCAGCGCTGACTGCAGAGGCTGGGTTCAGGCTTCCTTCTGACCCTCCCTCACTCTGCCTCTTTGCTGAATTAAAGCACAACGTATATTGTGCTCCAGTTGTGAGTCAGTTACGGTGCCCCGGGGTTGGGACACAGTGATGGATTTCAGGGGCCTCCTTTTTAGGAGCCCTCGAGTTGGGGGCTGTCATACAAGCCAGTAACTCAGCCTTGTCCACTGAGGACCGTGTTAAGCAGCGTGCCGTGTGATGGGGAAACAAGGGTGCATCATGGCTGTCTTGACTTCATGGAACTCCTGGGCTGGTGGCTAAGATACAAGTAAATAAAACAAGAAAAAGTGGTTAGAATACAGGTGATCCTCGTTGCTATGGCTGCACGGAGGAAGTCGAGGAAGGCCTGTGAGAGGAAGTTGCACTCAAGTGGAGTATTGAAGGAAGAAGAAGCTGGGGTGAGCTAGCAGGCCAGAGTGGAGAGGGCATTCCCGAACCTGCGGCTGGCAGGTGCAGAGGCCCCTGAAGTCTGTGTGTGTATGGCATGCTGCTGCAGGCCTGCTGTCCTGAGCACGGGAGCACGGAGAGGGCTGAGAGGAGACAGGCCAGGCTGCCAAGGGTTTCAGAGGCACGCGGAGTTTGTTGGTTCCTTCCTTTGCTTTGTGTTCCACTCATACTTCTTTTGGGGGGCATCTCTCACATTTGAGGTACTCTGTTAGACAAGAAGAGGATTTTTTCTGTGTCTCACAGGATAGGCTCTTACAGTTTAGGGTAACATTTCAAAATCTAGGAGATGCTCTTCACACTTGGTTGGGTCTTGGTGCCTGTGGCATGGATTTTGTTTTCTTCAATTGAGTGTTGCAAGGGTGAATGTGCTGTTTTTCTTTGGAATCATTATAAATGTATATAGATAGAGATGAATGTTCGTACATGTATTTAAATGTAATGATTAAAATATCATTACCGTTTACCGAGGAACTCTTGCATATCAGGCACTTGCATCGAAATTGTCCTTTTGGATTCCCTTGAGAGTTGTTTGAGTAGGTGCTATTATCCTCTAAGGAGAAAACTGAGGCTCCTTGAGGTGATGTCACACTCTCCAAGTTACCCACTTTGGTCTCTGTCAGTTACACTGTGACACCTTCTTCTTTCACTACAGCTTTTCTGAATTTTACCTGTGGACAGAGTCCCAACGCCTCTGTATCCTGCACTCGAGGCCTTTGATGCCTTCCCCTTGGACCATCATTTCATCGGTTCTCTGTCTCATTGCTGCCTTGCGACCCCCGTCTGCCCTTGGAGGCCAGCCACTTTCCTCGAGTGGCCTGGGCACCCTCCTCCACGGCTTTAGCGTGGGAACTGAGAGGAAGAGAACTGACGTTTATGGATTGGGGTCTGCCGGGCAGGGACTGTTTGGGTGCTTGACATTCCCAGGTTTCCTCAATCCTTGTAAATATCCTATGAGGTGAGTGGGGAAGCGGAAGTTTAGGGAAGACTTGCCCAAGTTCGCCGCGTCTGTGGGTGGTGGAGTCAGGGCATGAATCTTTGTCTTTTCCTTTTTTTTTTTTTCGGAGATGGAGTTTTGCTCTGTCGCTCAGGCTGGAGAGCAGTGGCGTGATCTTGGCTCACTGCAACCTCTGCCTCCCGGGTTCAAGCAATTCTCCTGCCTCAGCCTCCCAAGTAGCTGGGACTACAGGTGTCCGCCACCAGGACCAGCTCATTTTTTTTTGTATTTTAGTAGAGATGGGGTTTCACTGTGTTGCCTGGGCTGGTCCCGAACTCCGGAGCTCAGGCAATCCACCTGCCTCAGCCTCCCAAAGTGCTGGGATTACAGGCGTGAGCCACCGTGCCCGGCGCCTGCCCTCTGTGTCTCTTCTAATAATCTTCATCCTGTGGTCCCACCCTTAAGGAGGACAGGATCTGATGGGAAAGGTCCGTGAAGGGCCTTCTAGGTAAAGGTGCTGTGCCACCCACGGAAGGAGCGTGGGTGCGTCCTGGGTAAGAGGGAGCAGTTGGGTTTGCCTGAGATCCATCAGTAGTGAATGTGGTGGATTTCAAACCTGTGCAATCATGCGGCATTTTCTGGTTGTCGAGGTTTGTCTTCTGCGGGACGGCTGAGCCTCTCTGGGGACCGGAGCGGGAGCTGTGCAAGTGAAGTGGCTGACAGTGCTGTCTGTGGGGACATCTATTGCTGTAGGGGCATCTGGCACCATGAGCTTGTTACAGAGCCCTTCTCCCCGAAGCAGGAATGATGTGATTTAATTGGAATCGTGCTAAACCTATAAAACTATCACCGAGGAATGGTGTAGTCATGGAAACAAGTAATTCAGTGAAAGCTGCTCCTAGGGAGCACCCCGAGAAGTGGGAAAGATAACATGTGTTTCTCAGGTTTTCCAGAAAGATGCCTTCCTCCATTTAGCTAGAGTGACTGTGTCTGTCCACGTTCATGACTGTCTTTCCTGCGTGCCTCAGGAGGAATCTTCTAGGGTTGAAAATAGGGACTGTGTGAATTGGATGCATCTTAGAAACAATATTTATGCAAGCCAGCAAGACAGTCCAGCTTTTCTGACTCTCAGCATCCCCCTCTGTAAAATTGAACGACAATGCTTCCTTCATAGGATTGTTGGGAGGCTTAAATGATAAAAGAGCCTGGCAGGGGAAAGAAAGAAGGTTGGACCAAGTTAGGAAATAATTCATTGGAACTTCATTCTTGTATGTAAGGAGGAAAATGAGATTTGGTCAGTGAGTCCAGGTCAGTCACAGTCCTGCTGGTTGTTAACAACAAGAGCAGCTCTGGACTAGGCAGGGGTGTAAGGGCCTCTGGAACAGGTAGATGTCGGGTCCCCTGAGTAGCTGGGAGTCTGGTCTTTGCCCACATCAGCTGTGGGCCTTTGGCCAGGTACTTAGTGCTGCCTAGCCTGGCTTCCCCCAACTGCAAAGCCAGGCTGGTGTCTACCCTCTGAGTTGGATATGACGTGCCTAAAACATGTCATCGTAACCAGAACATGGCAGGGGCTCCATTGAGAGCCCTTCTGAGAAGGGCCCAAACTTGGTGCCCACATCACGGACTGGGGCTGCAGAAATGCCCGGCAACAGGAGGCTTTTCCCTGAGTTGGACTGTGTGCCGTGTGGCACTAGAGGTACCCATGGCTTTGCCTGTTGAAGGCATCCAACTTATGCACAGCCTTCAGAGCTGCATAGAGATGTGGGAGCCAGCTGAGACCTGGAGGATAAAGCATTCCAAGTGGCTGGAACGACTGTGAACAGTCAGGGAGCGGACACCAGCATGCACGGCTGCAGCCATTTATCGTGGTGTGCTCTCTGGCTCTGAATAGATTCTACTACCCTCCATGTGCAATACTGCTCTGTAAACACTCCACACCTGCTTATAGCTTGCTGGAAAGCAGTTTTGAAATCCTAACGAAACTAGTTTGCCAGGAGGCGGGGCCAGGCCTCCCTTAAGCTCTGTGCATGGTTGGCTTTGGGGAGCCTGTTGGTTCCTGCTCCCCCTTGTCAACATCTTATCTCTTAACATTTGAGCAGGTAGGTGTAATAGCTGTAGCTTCATTCATGGGAAGCTCCTGTGGGAGCCAGAGGTTGTGCTTCACTTTAAGAAATTAGAAAAAAAAAATGTAGATTAAACCCAAAGTCAGTAGAAAAGGAAATAATAAAGATCAGAGTGGAAAACAATGAAATAGGAAACAGAAACCCAACATAGACAAAGCAACCAAAAGCTTATTTTTGGAGAACAGTTAATGAAATTCATCAGCTTCCAGCCAGATTGATCAGAGAGAAGACACAAATTAACAGTATTAGAAATGAGAGAGTTGGCATAACACAGATTTTATAGATATTAAAATGATAAGAATATATTATAAAAAGTTTATGCTAATAAATGTGAAAACTGAGATGATGTGACAAATTCCTTAGAAGACACAAAATACCAATGCTTACACACAGATATAGACAACCACAATAGACATAGCCACTTAGGAAACAGAATGTTTTGTTAAAACCTTCCCATATGAGATCATGAGGGCTCAGAAAGAAAATTGAAATGGAAAATATAATAAAATAAAAAAGTCAACAAAAAAGAAGATTAGAAAGTAAAAAAACAAAAAAACAAAAAAACTTTTTTTTTTTTTTGAGACAGAGTCTTGCTCTGTCACCAGGCTAGAGTGGTGCAGTGGCACGATCTTGGCTCACTGCTACCTCTGCCTCCTGGGTTCAAGCGATTCTCCTGTCTCAGCCTCCCAAGTAGCTGGGACTACAGGTGTGCGCCACCATGCCCAGCTAATTTTTATATTTTTTGTAGAGACCATGTTGGCCAGGATGGTCTCGATCTCTTGACCTCATGATCTGCCTGCCTCGGCCTCCCAAAGTGCTGGGATTACAGGTGTGAGCCACCATGCCCAGCCAAAAAAAACTTCTTAAAAAAGACAAAAGAAAAAAAACGCCTTCCCATAGAGAAAATTTTGGGGCCAGATGGCTTACTTATGCATCTTACCAAACACTTAAGGGAGAAATAATATGAAATCTATGTAGACTCTTCCTTCAGGAAACCTAAAAATGAAGGAATACTTCTTAAGTCATTCTGTGAGGTCAACATTTCTCTGATACCAAAACCAGGCAAAGAGATCATGGGGGAAAAAAATCCCCAAAGAGTACAACCCAAAGCACTACAGACCAATATCCCTCCTGAACACAGATGCAAAAATTTTAAGCAAAAATTGAGCATCTACTATTTAACCCTATGTAAAATATTGACGGACTGGGGTTTATCTGGGGAATGCAAGGTTAGCTTAACATGAGAAAACCTGCAAATGTAATTCTGCATATTGGCAAACTGAAAATGGAAAACTATGTATGCCATCTCAAGAGACAGAAAAAGCGTTTGATAAAAACCCAGCATCTATTTAGAATGAAAACTCTCAGCAAATCAGAAACAGGATGGAGCTTCCTCTGCCTGATGAAATGCATCTACCAGCCCTGGGCAGCTACCCCTGTCCTTCACCATGAGAGGTGGCCTGCGCTTGCCTGAGGCCAGCCATCCGCATCTGCTTACCTGGCTGGATGAGGCGTGTCTTCTTGCATTGCTGGTCCTGAGCGCAGGCTCTTTGCTTGGCTGGGCCTTCTTGCTCACTTCCTTTCATTCATGGCATGCTCCTCTGTCCTCCTGGGTGAGCTCTGAGGTCACCTGGTCTGCTGAGCCTTCCTCCGCAAGTGGCACACCCAGAGTCAGGCCCTTCTTCCTGTGTCCTCGTCTGCTGTCCGTTCCCACCTGGATGGTAGCACCTCCCACACTGTTACTGTTGTCCTTTGCTTATATTGCTGAGCTCCCCATCACTGTAAGCGCCTCGTGGCCATGGGCTTGTGAAGCATGCCTTCTGTACACATTTCTTGACCCGGATATTCCAGACAGTGAGGCCAGACAGCCCCTCTCCATGGGGTTGCCTGAAGATTCTCTTCATTAGTGAGGCAAAGCAAGGCAGTAAAGTATGTTTTATCTCATTCGATCAGAATAAAGCTTAACTCTGGGTTTTTTGGGATTCTAACAACATTCAGATACGTCATGTAAAATACGTTACTTTAGCTTTTAAAATAAAGAATTGTGGGATGTTTATGAAGTTTCTATATACTTTTATATTTTTTTCTTAAGAGACAGGGTTGTGCTCTGTTGCTCAGGCTAGAATGCAGTGGTGTGATCACAGCACACTGTAGCCTTGACCTCCTGGGCTCAAGTGATTCTCCTGCCTCAGCGACTCAAGTAGCTGGGACTACAGGTGCGTGCTACCACACCTGGCTAAGTTTTGTATTTTTTGCAGAGACAGGATTTCAACATGTTGCCCAGGCTGGTCTCGAACACCTGGGCTCAAGTAATTCACCTGCCTCGGTCTACCAAAGTGCTGGAATTACAGGCATATGCCACCATGCCTGGCCTTCCAGCTAATTTTAAAAAAAATACTTTTTTTTATTTTTAATTTGTTGTAGAGATGTGGTCTGGCTTTGATGACCAGGTTGGTCTTGAACTCCTGGCCTCAAGTGAACCTCCTGCCTTGGTCTCCCAAAGCACTAGGGCTGCAGGTGTGAGCCACCACACCCAGCTAACTTTTACATTTTAATAATTACAGTTGCAAATGGACCAAAAGAATCTGTAAAGACAACTTAGGAGCAAATGTATTCAAGTTTTTAAAAAAAAAAAAACCCTAGGATATACAACAAATAGCATTGCTTCTTAATCAAGCTGTGTTACAAATTAAAAATGGTTTCCACGAGCCCTTCGGGGCCTGGGGAGCAGCAGAATGGCTGTTCCCATCAGCGGCGAGGAAAACACGTATTATGCCAGTTACTCCTTGAACACTTACAGCAGCCTGATTTGTGTGAGGAGCATGGCCACAGGCTTGCATAAGACATGCTTCTGCCCTTGAAAATCTTGCAGTAGAGCCGGGGGAGAGAACATCCACAGAAGCAATGGTGCCCAGCGCTGCTCTTGCCGTAGAGGTGTGCAGTTGGGACTGTGGCCTTCCTTGGGGACAGGCAGTGCCTTCATCATCTGTTTGTTCCCAAGACAGCCATGTAATCGTCGGTTTGCTGGGTGGGAAAGGGGGTGCGGGTACAGGGAATCCAGGAGAGAAAGGGCTTAGGCAAGGGAGGGAGATGAAGCTAGCGGGGGCGTGGGGGGACATGGAAGAGAGAAGGCTTCCCGGAGAACCGGCTGGGATTCTTCAGGCAGACGGGGGGATGGGGAAGTCCAGAGAGAGTGGAGGAACCCCCCACTTCCCTCCAGCAGCAGCAGCCGCCACAGTGTCCTGTCCAGCATTTTCCGATGCTCACTTGGTGCTGGGCCCTGCGCCTGGAGTTTCCTCTGCATTGACGGTGCGCGTTCACCACAGACCTGTGAGGCGGGGGTCCCTCCCAGCATTCCTGTTTTCTAGATGAAGACAGCGGCGTGGCCCTGCTGGGTGCCTTGCCCTGAATCACCTCAGTAGTTCAGCGGCAGAGGCAGGCTCGGCCCTGGGCCAGCTGATGGCAGAATTCACGGTTCCGGCCCCTCTGCTAGGCTGGCACGCCCAGGCATGGCAGGCAGCCGAACAGGCCGAGGCCAGAAGAAGAGCGAGACAGAGGCTCGGGATGTGACGCCGAGGAGATTTAGCGCGGTGACAGTGTTTACAGATTACTTCCCTCATGACTACAACTTCCCATCATTCAAGTGGAAATGACTGAACAGCTTAGAAAGATTAAGTTAGCCCAAGGTCAAGCAGTTACTAAGTAGAAGTTAAAATTCAAATCAGGATATGTCTGAATCCAAAGTTCACGCTGTTTCCGTGATATCCTGCTGCCCCTTTACGTATAATTTCTAAGTTTCCCAACTTATTATGGGATACAAAACATTCTGTCTCAATTCAAACCATATTTATAGAGCAGTGGAGTATAAACCCTTTAGCCTATCTGACCCTCAGTTTCCAATCTGTGAAATGCAGATAATAATACTTTCTCCGGGGCTATTGTAAGGAGTTAAGTTTCTGCTATTAGCCTTGGTAGATAAGAAAAGCTTACAAAATAGCAAATCCAATTCAGTTCCAAATTATTTCTAATCTGTCCCAGTAATAGTTACAGAGACAGGGAATTTCTTTCCACAAAGTTTAAGCATAAAAGCTTCAAAGGAATCCTTTAATCTGCTCAACAATTTCAAAACTTAATAAGAAATGTAGAAGTAAGAGATGCAGAGAGAGTCTGCTGCATGTGGAATTCTAACACAGATGTTAAGGACAGAGAAGGGGGACGGCCTGTTCCTTGAGTTCCTGTCCTTTGCCTTGCATGATGATCACTGTCTCCAGGAACCCCTGTGACATTTCATGTAATCCATTCCTTCAGCAAACATCCAGTGAGCACCTAGAGCATGCCCAGTTCTGAATGCTGGGGGCGTAACAGTGAACAAGGCGACGTTCCTGAGCTGACATCCAGCAGAAGAGACAAGCAGCAAACAAATACCACGTGGACAAACAAGGAAAGACACGGGAGTGACTCCTGCTCGTTGTTTTAGGCGGATCGTCTGCAGAGGCCTCACCACAGAGATGCCACGGAAGAGGCAGAGTGTGTCCACGGGGCCCCTTCAGGGCCTATGTCAGTGATGGTTTGCTGTGCTGAGCAACAAACACTGTCTGAACAACACCAACACCAACTGCCAGCGTTTTAAATGATGGTCTCCCCTTGGTATACACGGGGGATTGGTTCCAGGATCTTCCATACACCCAAATCCACACATACTCTAGTCCTGCAGTTGGCCCTGCAGAACCCCTGCATATGAAAAGTTGGCCCTGCAAATATGTGGGTTTCACATCCCACCAATACTGTGTTTTTGTTGCACCTTTGGTTGAAAAAAAAATCTGCTTCTAAGCAGACCTGCTCAACTCAGACCCATGTTGTTCAAGGGCCGATGGCATGTATGTGTGGTTTCCCCAGTAGACTTTGTGTCCATGGATCAGAGTGGGATACCACAGGAACCTCTGCACTTCCAGTGCCTGCTACAGGGGCTGACATGGAGCAGGCTGTCATTAAACGTTGGATGAGGGAACAGGAAAGCAAATGAAATGACCTCTAAAGAATTGCTCTGCTCTTCCAGTGTGTCTTCCTGTTGATCATAGGCTGCTACATCTGATCATGCCAGCAACTTAAGGCAGTGGCATCTGCGTTAACCAGAATCAGCATCACCTGGAAGGCTGGTTATGCCACAGCTTGCTGGACCCCATTTGCAGAGGGCCTGGGAGTTTGCATGTAGAATAAGCCCCCAGGTGCTGCCGCTACTTCTGGTGTGGAGACCACAGTTTGAGGACCACCACCTTAAGAGATGAAATATTTTTCAATTTGTTTTGACATTTTTTGTTGTCTTTAGGACTGGACCACAAGCATCCTTACGGACACTTCCGGTGTGTCTCATAGAAATGGTACATGGTAAGCTCTCTCAAAGTAGCTTAGTTTGGGGTGCCTCAGCAACTAACTGATAATACCTGAATTCCTGAGAAGGAATTTTAATAAACATTTGAGATTAATTTTTTTTTTTTTTTTGAGACAGAGTTTCATTTTTGTCGCCCAGGCTGGAGTGCAACGGTGCGATCTCGGCACACTGCAACCTCTGCCTTCTGGGTTCAAGCGATTCTCCTGCCTCCGCCTCCCAAGTAGTTGGGACTACATGCGTGTGCACCACACTCGGCTAATTTTGTATTTTTAGTAGAGATGGGGTTTCTCCATGTTGGCCAGGATGGTCTCAAACTCCTGACCTCACGTGATCCTCCCGCCTTGGCCTCCCAAAGTGCTGGGATTAAGGCATGAGCCACTGTGCCCAGCCTGAGATTAAATTTTAACATAAACATCCAAATAATCTAGGCATTGACATGCTTATTTGGAGGAAGCCTAGAAACACCTGTCTAGCAAATGTATAAAGCTGCCAGCCCCGCTTCAGTATTCTCCCAGGTTATGATTCGTGGCAGCAAAACACCAGGATTCTCAGAAACCCTGAAATCTTTGCAAGACGCTGTCACCGCGAAGCACCAGGTAGTTCATCCGCAGGGTCCGCAGGGACTCTGGGGAATCTTTGCAGTGCTAGGTGGGACTCACGAACTATTCTCTTAAAACCAGCCGCCACCAGTGCGTTCAGCATGATCCATGTGAAGACAGTAGGAAAAAAACCAGACAGTGGAAGGAGATGTGTGCTTTTATTGCATTTCTTGCTAAACAGGAAAATTGTGTTAGATTTGCTATTGAGAATGACTGACAGAAAGCCAATATGTTTGCTTTGGGTAAGGACATTTAGGTGACATTATTAGTTTCTAAAAAATCCAAAGCAGTTTAAATAGAGACAACGTCAAACAAAAAGAATTCTATCCCCCACCCCTAGAAATATCTCCACTACTGAAACAGGCAGAATGAAGGAGGGAAAACCTTATATTTATTTGGCTTCAAACAGATCTGTAATGAACCTCAGCTTTTTACCCGCTTTGTTAGAGTGGACGGGTTACTTCAGGCCATCTTTGAAATGGAGACCATCCTTAGTATGTCAACAGGAGTTCTTATGGTGAAGGAGGTTGCACAGAACCCAACTGCAGGGAATGCTCCGCTTCCTGAGAGCTGAAGAGACGCACGGCTCCTGCCTGCCTTCTCCAGGTGCAGTCTCATCATCACTGGGCGGAGTCGTTGGCACTGTCCTTGTCTGTCACCCCACTAGACTTCAAGCTCCGTGAAGGCAGAAGTGCTTTCCTTTCATCTTTCCCCATGCGTAGCAGACTGTCTGGCACATGACGGGTGCTCGACAGATGCTTGTTCCCACTAAAAGGGTCACAGACGGCTTGGGAAGGAGGCAGGCAAAAAGGCGCAGGGAGTGGTGGAAAGGCATTCTAAGCCAAAGGACCAGCCTCAGCAAAAACAAGGAGAAACGGGCTTTTTAAATATATATATATATATATGTATGTATATGTATGTGTGTGTGTATGTATGTATGTATTTGGGGCAATATTGTTGAAGTAGGGCCATAAAAGATGAGGTCAGAGCATGTAAGGTGAGACCACAAGTGAAGAATCCTGAATGCCACTTTAAAGATCCAGACTCCTTAATGCAGACTGTGGAGCCACCTTAAGACCGTAAGGGAGTAATAACACTGTGACTCACCCCTAGCCAGAATTTATTAGTTTTGTAAATCAAAACTTGAATATCCTAGATTTTTTTCCTTGTTCTGCCAAGGAAGACAGGATACAGAGAATTTTCTGACATTCATTTCAAGGCATAAGATATCCTATGATAAAGAAAATTATTGCTGTATAAATAATAGCCCCTCAGGAAAATTGTAAGACAAGAAAGAAAAGCAAGAAAGCAAACGTAAGACTGCAAGCAGAAAAAGAATTAGATGTTGTTTAGTCTTTGGCTGACTTTAAAAGCAGTTCTGTAACATAAAAGATAATTGTTTTATCTTTCTGAACCTTATAGTCCTAGTTTACTGATAATTTTTTTGAAAAATTAGGAAAGGATACTGAATTTTCCCGAATGCTTATTATGTATCTTTTGAGATGATCATATTTTTTCTTTCTTTCTTTGTTAATGTGGTGACTTAGATGGATTGGTTTTAGAATGTTAAACCAACCTTGCATTCTGGGGATAAACCTTACCTGGTCATGATGTAACATCCTTTTCAGCCTCAAAACAAATGACACACTTAGGAATAAATCTGACAAAATGTGTGAAGGATCGGTTCAGTGAGTCATAGGGAAGATGGTGAGGGTTGGAAATAAGACTGAGGATGAGGGGGTGGGCCAGAGTGGCCACTTGTCAGAGACTTCTCCTAGGTAATGTCAGTAATACTGTGTGGGAATCAGCATCTGGAGAGTGAGGTGAAAGGACAAGAATGGTTGCATGGTTGGGCAGATGGTGACTCTGGGTAGCTGAGATGGAGACTGTAGGAGGGGTGGTGAGCGGGAGCCCACATTCGAATTAGGTTGCCCAGGCCTGCCTGAACTAGCTGTCTGGATGGCAGCTGAGCTACATTTAAGAGGGCTCCTGGGTGGGGATTCCTCCTCCTCATCTGTATTCTCATTAATCCATTTGAGTTGTTCTCTTTGATTTTTAAAATAGTTCATGTAGTGCATTCATGATTTAAAATTTCTTGTTTTCAAGTAGGCCGTGAAGTGGCAGTCTTCTGAGAATTTCTGTTTATTTAAGTTAAAGTTCTTAATCTTAACGATTTCCTCTGGATCAGAGCACTTGAACATTAATTCTGTGTTAATGAGATTTACATAGCACTCTCTTTGTAAATGATGCTTTTAGTGATGAATGTTTCCAATCTTTCTACATATTGTAGTTTGGGTTCTTGTTCTTACAAAGCAAAAAATAAATGAACACATTTACTGTAGACTTCAGGAAATGGTTTCCTGTATCATGCAGTATAAACTTCTGATAACTTTTGCTTTGTCAAATGACTTATCCATGCTTTTGGTAATCTTTGTATCTTGTGAATACCAGTGATATCTTATTTAACTCCTGGTGACACTAAGAATTTTCTAGGCAGCATAAGTTATACATTAGAATCATTGTAAAGGAGATGTCAATATTGCTACTTAATGTGATCACATTGTATCTACTTTGAGTATTCCTACACATACTTTCTTCCTTCTTTTTCTTTCCTTTTCTCTGTTTTTAAACTGACATCTCCGTAGATGATTTTTAAATTTCTTGAGCAAGCTCCTCCAGCGTAACCTTCTGGCATCTGGCCTACATCCTCAGCATTTTGATGAAATTCCGTTCACTGGAATTGTCTGATAAGATTTCCTCTCAATAAAATCCAGTGATCTTTTTCTCACTGACCTTGTTCATCATTTCTATTAGTCTGTTTTCATTCCTGTAAAGGAACACCTGAGACTGGGTAATTTATAAAGAAAAGAGGTTTAACTGGCTCATGGTTCTGCAGGCTGCAAGGAAGCCTGGTGCCAGCATCTGCTTCTGGTGAGGACCTCAGAGGCTTCCAATCATGATAGAAGGCAAAGGGGGAGCTGGTGTGTCACAGGGAAAGAGCAGGAGCAAGTGAGTGTTGGCAGGCTCTTTTATTTTTTTATTATACTTTAAGTTCTAGGGTACATGTGCACAATGTGCAGGTTTGTTACATATGTATACATGTGCCATGTTGGTGGGCTGCACCCGTTAACTTGTCATTTACATTAGGTATATCTCCTAATGCTATCCCTCCCCCCTCCCCCCACCCAACGACAGCCCCCGGTGTGTGATGTTCCCCATCCTATGTCCAAGTGTTCTCATTGTTCAATTCCCACCTATGAGTGAGAACATGCAGTGTTTGGTTTTCTGTCCTTGCGATAGTTTGTTCAGAATGATGGTTTCCAGCTTCATCCGTGTCCCTACAAAGGACATGAACTCATCCTTTTTTATGGCTGCATAGTATTCCATGGTGTATATGTGCCACATTTTCTTAATCCAGTCTATCATTGATGGACATTTGGGTTGGTTCCAAGTCTTTGCTATTGTGAATAGGATGGCAGGCTCTTTTAAACAACCAGCTCTTACTTGGACTCACAGAGTGAGAACTCACTCATTACTGTGGGGAGGGCACCAAACCATGAAGGATCCATTCCCATGACCCAAACACCTTCCACCAGAACCACCTCCAACATTGGAGGTCACATCTCACCCTGAGATTTGGAGGAGACCAAACATCCAAACCATATCATCGTCCATCTTTTCACCAAGTTTGACAGCACTGGCCACTGTAATCTCCTTTATGTACCTTGTCCTCCTGCAGTTTGTCTGTGTGGAGGGCTTTCGGGTTTTCTTGATGTTCTTAGTCTTTGGAGCTTAATACCTTGGCCTCATGTGTGATCCTTCCACCACTCCTGGTACCCAGCCAGTGGGGAAGTTCTGCAGACTCTTCCTTAGAAAGGACTCTTAGATGATTATGATGTTCCATGGCCACACAGAGCCACTGCCTCGGCTGAGTCCTTCTCACTTCCAGCAGAATTCGTTTGATCTCTTCCAGCTGGTCTCTTCTGTCTCTTCTGCGGAATTTACCTTGTGCTTGTCTGTTAGCTCAACCTTCCCGCAAGCACCGATTTTCACATCTTACTTCCTGCTAGGAAACTTGCCATTCATCAGGTGAAGTTCCGAAGTCCTCACTTGCATTATGAATGACAAGCCCTCACACAGGTGGAAGCATTCAGCACTGTCACTGTCCTGGCCTCACTGAGCAACACTGTGAGCCTGTTAGGACACAGGGACTTTTCAGACAAACAACAAATCGTTTATCATTACAGAAGCACTATCAGCAAAGACTAGTGCAGGAATACCGTTGAGACAAACAAAAATGAAAGGAGAGAAATTTCACATTCCTCCTGCCCAGAGATCACGACCATGAAGCCAGAGTGTATATCACTCAGGATCATTTAATGACCTGCGTATATGAATACCTGCGGGTGTGTTTTCCCCGTAATTCAAAATTAGATGACTATAAATACTATTTTGTGTCTTGCTTTGTTCAACTAGTGCTATTCCATTTTCTGTTTCAGTAATTTTTTATTGCTTCTACTCTGCAGATGATTTTAAAATTTCTCCCATTTGATCCCCAGATTTTATTATAACAAGGTAGTCCAAACCAGTATACAATACAGGACCACTCATTGCATTGCATTTTGCTTTTAAGTTTGTTTTCAGCTAGCACCACTTTTTTCTTTTGGACGCTTGTTGAAGAGACCAGATCAGTTGTCCTGTAGAATGTCTTACCTTTTGGATTTGTCTAGTTGTTTTATTGGATCTGTTTCTCCATCCCCTGATTTCCCTTAAAGTAGAATTTGTATGCAAAGTCTTGATGAATTCACACGAAACATTTTTGCCTAGAATACTTCATAGGTGAAGTTGGTACTTCAGGTTGCATTACCTTAGAAATAGATGCCCAGTATCTGGCTGTCCCACCACTAGTGAGGTTAAGATTGACCTCTGGATAGGGCAATGAGAGCCTGAGCCCATTGTTTTTCTCCTTGCAACCAGAGAATATTCTGAGGGTCAATACTTTGGCAGTAGTACAAATATGTCAGTCATGCATCTAATGTTTTAAAATCAATGGATAATCTTTGCCTGATTTAATAATGTCATTCAAGTTCTATGAAAGGTTTTTCTCTATTATTTTTTCTACTTTTATAAAGTGGCCTTTTATTGTAAATTTTAGAACTTTTAGCTCAACCACTGGGGCTATTTAATTACCCAGGAATATAGTGCCTGGGTAAAAACAGAAACAAGATGCTACTTTTTTTCCCCCTTTACTTTCTAATTTCAAAGTAAGGGATTGTTTAAGAGCTTCTGCAGAAGTTGAGAAGTTGGGTTTTATTTCCCTTTTCTGTTTTTGAGTATCATGGTGGATGCATGGATTTCCGTTGATTCACTTACAGTCATTATTCTGTTTGTTCACTTGTCATAATTTGGCCAAAGAGAGCTTTCTTAAGTTGGCTCTCATGCCATTTTGACATGACTTACTAATCTTTGAAAGCCTCATTGCTTTTTTTTTTTTTTTTAATTACAGAAGATGAGCTTTTATCTCACCAAACAACCGTAATGTGTTGATATCTCCATTTGGAATGAGGAAACTGAGGCTTAGAGCAGATACTTTGTAAACTAATGTGGCTAATAAATGGCATTGTTGTGGTGCAAACTCATGTGTGCCTGACTCCAAAGTCTTTCCCACGATGCTGGAACCTTCCACATTTTTTCCTTAGAGCCCTTCCCAACCTGCCATAGCTCTGATGGTATGTCAGAGCTGAGCCTGACATACCAGGGCCAGCTGAGCCTTCTCGCTCCCTCTCGCCTGACACGGCACTGCTGCTGTGTGCTGTGCCAAGCTTGGTCATCATCCTGTCCCCCAGCCTCTCCCAGTCCCTGGCTGCTCCCCTTTTCCCATTCTTCCCTTCATAAGTTCTAGGATGATAATATTGACTTAGTGTTTGAGTGGGAGTTAGATGTATTATATAAAAATGTCCCCAGCATCAAAATGACTCAGAGTATGACTGTATTTTTAAATTAAATATCAAGACCTATCATCTGACAAAACATATGAATGACAATGAGATATAATATTTGAAATTAGATCCGTTCTGGGGAATCAAAGATATTTTGTAACAGTATACACAGTAGGCATTGGTAAGTAAATGAGAACTCTATGAGCTGTTTTCTGGAAAAGTTTAAAATAAAATTTGTCAAATATCAAATGATTGTTATAAAAAAATCAGTGGAGGCAGTATCCTTGGAAAAATCCAGAAACAGTTTTGTTTGTTTGTTGTTTTTTACATCAAGGCAGATCAGCAGGTGAACAGTGTTTGGGAAATATAGGACGGGAGACCTTCTCTCAAGAAACTACATAAACAACTGTAATTAATTCCATTGTGAAAATTGCATTCTGGTTTCCAATATCTATACCTCAGCTTAGAGGAAGCAAACTGGCTGGACCCGCAGGTTTCTGTTTTCTCTTTCGGAATATTTTGCTTTAGGATGCCTTAGACAGTCACGTGCTTCCCAGCCGGCCACAGTCCCGCCTCTGCCTGGCTGTCCACTTGCCTCCGTCACACTCTTCTTCCCCCTCTGGACTCTTAGAGGCCTGGGTCTGTGAGCCCTGCATCCGGCGTTAGAATAGCACGGTGGTGACATGCTACTGGAACACAGGAAGAATATTACATCTGTTTTCATCTCATCCTTTTGAAAAGTACCTTTTTATTTCAGAATGGTTTTAGATTTACAGAAAAGCTGCAAAGATGGAACAGAGAGTTCCCATGTATCCCTCATATCAGTTTTCTCCATTGTCAGTGTTGTACATTACTAGGGTACATTTGCCACACAATAAGAAACCAACGTGGGTGCGTCACTGTGAGTTAAACTCTATCCTTGATTCAGATTTTACTCATGTATCCGCTCCTGTCCTTTTCTGTCCTGGGTCCCATTCAGGACGCTCGATGACATCTATCCTCCGGGTCTTCTTAGTGTCTTCCGGTTTATGATGGCTTGTCTCTCCTTGTTTTTCGTGACGTTGAGAGTACTGAGGAGTGCCGGTCAGATATTTTGTAGATTGCGCCTCATTTTGGGTTTCTCTGATATTTTCCTTATAGTGAGAAGGAGTCGACGTGCCCTTCTTATGCCGCCGCCGCAGGGGTGCCCACCTGACTTGTTGGTGATGTTGACCTTGATCGCCTGGCCGGGGTCGTGTTTGCCAGGTTTCTCCATTGGAAAGTGACTCTTTTTGGTCCCCTTTCTATATTCTCTTCCTGGGAAGCAAATCACTAAGTGGAGCTCACACTCTAGGGCTGGAGGCAGGGGCTGGGAGGATGGGAACTGAGCTCCCCCTTCTGGTGGGGGTGCATCTACAGACATTATTTGGAATTCTTTACGAAGGTCTTGTCCCGGTTGGCCTTGCTTCTAGGCCCGTTCAGTGGATAGCGCTAGGAAACCTATGCATCTACACATCTCTGTAATTATTTCTGTATTTATCCATCTGGTTAAACATGAGTGTAACTGAGTCCAGTCCCACAGGGCTCATTCTAGCTTTCCTGTCTTGTTTATCTGTAACTTCCCTCTCCGGCCGTGAGAAACTAGGTCCCACCAGCTACTCTTCGTTGACTTATTTGACTCCAGTGTGCATGTAAAGCACTTTCAGAGCTGCTCCTCTGCACCCTGTGAGAAGCAGCTTTACCAACTAGAGTACACAGTTTCTGTGGCATTCCTTTTTTAAAAAAATTTTTATTTAAAAATTATTTTTAATTTTTGTGGGTATGTAGTATGCAGTTCCTTTTATCTTTAGCCCTATGGTTTTCAGTCAAAACATTGTCTTCCAAAGTTACCATCTCATCTGTTTTAATACTTATTTTTGCATTCTTTTAAAAATGTACTAATATATACTTTAAATAAATGTGCCTATTGGGGATGTATTCTCAAAAGTGTTTTTTTAAGCTCATAAGAGTCTGCAATAAAAAAATGGAAGATCTGTGGATATAGATTGTGGTGCGGGTGATGCAAAAATATTTACTTTTGACTTTGGGATGCTTAGTGATTTATTGAGTTGAGCAGATATTTATTGAGAAAGCAGCATGATGCAGTGGAAGGAAGAAAGGCTCTGGGGGCGTAGGAGCAGATATTTATTGAGAAAGCAGCATGATGCAGTGGAAGGAAGAAAGGCTCTGGGGGCGTAGATGGCCCTAGGTTCACATTCCAGCTTGATCACCTACGAACTGTGTGACATCAGGCAGGTTACTTAACTTGTCTGCATAATTATTTCCTCCAGTGACGTTGGTTAATATGCATTTCACAGGATCCCTGTGAGGTGGGAAGGTCTAGACCTGGATTTGTGTCTTTACATGTATCCAGATACCAGGGATAGTCCACACTCTTGCTACTCACAGTGTGGTTTACCAGCTAAGAACATCAGCACCCCCCAGGAGACCTGTCGGAAATACAGACCCTTAGGCCCCTCCCAGACCTCCTGAGTTTGGAATCACATTCCACAGACCCCCAGGTGACTCAAATGCATGTTCACGTGCAAGAAGCCCTGCTTTGTACTGTGCTTTGAGAAGCTGTGAGCCATACAGCTCCCCAGCTCCACCCATTCTTCTCTCTCTCTGAATTCTCCTGGGGGTCCAGGCCTCAGCTGCACTGTTGCTCCCCCCAGGAGTCCCGCACTCCCCGCTTGCCCTGTGCCGGGTGTTGCCGCGTTCAGCCTGCTGTGCTGGCATCATCTGTCTCCCTCTTTCCGTCTCACTGTGGTGTCCTTCATTGCAAGCACTGTATCTGGCACGTTGAATGTGCTAATAAATATTTGCTGAATACAAGAACGTCCTTGGTGCTAGGCCAACTTCTCAGACTACCAGAGGAGAGACATGGTTCCTGCCATTCAGGAAATCTCAGCCCAGAGAGGAGGCAGACTTGGAGTGGACAGTGACACCATACGATTGTAACCACCCAAGGGGTTCACTTTGCCTGCTGCCTAGACAGAGCGGATTCATTAAGACAGGGGAATTGCAATAGAGAAAGAGTAATTCACGCAGAGCCAACTGTGCAGGAGACCGGTTTTATTACTACTCAAATCAGTCTCCCTGGGCATTCGGGGAGCAGAGTTTTTAAGGATAACTTGGTGAAAGCCAGTGAGCCGGGAGTGCTGATTGGTCAGGGCTGAAATCATAGGGAGTCAGCTGTCTTCTTGTGCTGAGTTGGTTCCTGGGTGGGGGCCGCAAGATCAGACAAGCCAGTTTATCGATCTGGGTGGTACCAGCTGATCCATCAAGTACAGGGTTTGCAAAATACCTCAAGCAGTGATCTTAGGAGCGGTTCAGGGAGGGTCAGAATCTTGTAGCCTCCATCTGCGTGACTCCTAAACCATAATTTTTAATCTTGTGGCTAATGTTACTACTACAAAGGCAGTCTAGTCCCCAGGCAAGGAGGAGGTCTGCTTTGGGAAAGGGCTGTTTACCGTCTTTGTTTAAACTATAAAGTTTCTCCCAAAGTTAGTTCAGCCTATGCCCAGGAATGAACAAGGACAGCTTGGAGGTTAGAAGCAAGATGGAGTCAGTTAAGTTAGATCTCTTTTACTGCCTCAGTCATCATTTTGCAAAGGCAGTTTCAGGGTCACCCTGTGGATGCTGTGAATGCTCTGAGGAGGAAGCAGAGACAGTTTCCCTAGAATGGGTGTTGCTTAAGCTGAGCCTTGGAGACTAGATGGCCAGTGCACCAAGCTTCCTTCTCATCTTGCTGCACAAGATGTGCTGGGGAAAACTAGCCTTCTCTCGTTTCTTGAACATTATTGTGTTAGCAGGGGACAGTTCATCTGAGCTGCCCTGGGAGTGTCAAGGAAAGGCTCTTTCTGAGCCCCAAAGACCACCTTCCCTGCCCTTGTCTTTAGCCCGTGCTGGCTCCCCCGTGACAAATCTCGCGTTGTTTTCTTTTGTTCTGTTCTCTTTTGTTTTATATTCTGTGCTTTTGAAGAGATATGGCTGTTTTAAAAAGCAACAGGGAGCTCATTAAATGAAATATCCCTAAGGGTTGGATTGTGGCCCAAATGTCAATACGTATCTGGTAAGGAAAGAGGAAATTAAAACCCACATCACTGTATTTCATCTAGATAGTCCTTGATACCGAGGCAGATGCATCTCAATAGCAGGGCTGCATACCATCCAAACAGCAAAACAAAACCAAACAAAAAACAAAAACACCCCGGGGTTCGAATTCAGCCTTTATTTCCTCAGCCCCTTTTCCTTAGGAAAGTCACCGTGCTGCTCTGGGCCTCACGGCTCTCATCTGCAAAGTGAGGAGGAGGCGCCTGCCCTGCCCTCTTTACAGGCTTTTTAAGGGGCTCCAAGTGAAGAAAGGATTTGTGTGTTTTAAGACTGCAGTGCTCTTATGTTAACATCGGCTCGTGTTAGGGTTCTCAATTCCAAAGCTCATTCCCGCTTTATTTGCAAAATATTATCCTACATTTGTCTCAAGGTCTTCTCTTTCTTCTCTCTCCTTTTCTCTATCTTCTCTTCCTCGCCCACTTTATTCTCCTCCTCTTTTCTTCCTAGTGTCCTGATCCAGTCCCCTCACTTGTTATCAATCCCACAGTTTTCTGTGGAGAAGTGATGAAGCATGCATTCATCTATGATGCACTCACCTATGCATGTAGTTTACATTTACCGAGTGTTACTCTGTTCCTGGCAATTGCTATGCGCTGTGGATATAAAAGATAAAATGACATTTTCTCAAAAGGAGTTCACGCGTGGATCGTTGTGTGTGTTTTCATGTCACAGGTATGATCTGTATAGTGGATCGTTGAGTGTTTTAGTATCACAGGTGTGGTCTGTACGTGAATTGTTCAATGTGTTTTAGTGTCACAGGTGCGATCTGTACAGTGGATAGTTGAGTGTGTTTTAGTGTCACAGGTGTGAGCTGTATAGCGGATCATTGAGTGTGTTTTAGTGTCACAGGTGCAAGCTGTGTAGTGGATCGTTGTGTGTTTGTGTCACACGTGTGATCTGTACAGTGGATTGTTGAGTGTGTTTTAGTGTTACAGGTGTGATCTGTACAGTGGATTGTTGAGTGTTTTAGTGTCACAGGTGTGATCTGTATGGTGGATCGTTGAGTGTGTTTTAGTGTCACAGGTGTGATCTGTATGGTGGATCGTTGAGTGTGTTTTAGTGTCACAGGTGTGATCTGTATGGTGGATCGTTGAGTGTGTTTTAGTGTCACAGGTGTGAGCTGTATGGTGGATCGTTGAGTGTGTTTTAGTGTCACAGGTGTGAGCTGTATGGTGGATCGTTGAGTGTGTTTTAGTGTCACAGGTGTGATCTGTATGGTGGATCGTTGAGTGTGTTTTAGTGTCACAGGTGTGATCTGTATGGTGGATCGTTGAGTGTGTTTTAGTGTCACAGGTGTGATCTGTATGGTGGATCGTTGAGTGTGTTTTAGTGTCACAGGTGTGATCTGTATGGTGGATCGTTGAGTGTGTTTTAGTGTCACAGGTGTGATCTGTATGGTGGATCGTTGAGTGTGTTTTAGTGTCACAGGTGTGATCTGTATGGTGGATCGTTGTGTTTCAGTGTCACAGGTGTGATCTGTATGGTGTGGATCATTGAGTGTTTTAGTATCACAGGTGTGGTCTGTATGTGAATTGTTCAATGTGTTTTAGTGTCACAGGTGTGAGCTGTACAGTGGATTGCTGAGTGTTTTAGTGTCACAGGTGTGATCTGTACGGTGGATAGTTGAGTGTGTTTTAATGTCACAGGTGTGATCTGTATGGTGGATCGTTGAGTGTGTTTTAGTGTCACAGATGTGATCTGTATGGTGGATCGTTGAGTGTGTTTTAGTGTCACAGGTGTGATCTGTATGGTGGATCATTGAGTGTTTTAGTATCACAGGTGTGGTCTGTATGTGAATTGTTCAATGTGTTTTAGTGTCACAGGTGCGAGCTGTACAGTGGATTGCTGAGTGTTTTAGTGTCACAGGTGTGATCTGTACAGTGGATAGTTGAGTGTGTTTTAATGTCACAGGTGCGAGCTGTGTAGTGGATCATTGAGTGTGTTTTAGTGTCACAGGTGCGAGCTGTACAGTGGATTGCTGAGTGTTTTAGTGTCACAGGTGTGATCTGTACAGTGGATAGTTGAGTGTGTTTTAGTGTCACAGGTGCAAGCTGTGTAGTGGATCATTGAGTGTGTTTTAGTGTCACAGATGTGAGCGGTATGGTGGATCATTGTTTTAGTGTCACAGGTGCGAGCTGTACGGTGGATTGTCGAGTGTTTTTTAGTGTCACAGATGCGATCTGTACAATGGATCATTGAGTGTTTTAGTATCACAGGTGTGATCTGTACAGTGGATCATTGAGTGTGTTTTAGTGTTACAGGTGTGATCTGTACGATGGATCGTTGAGTGTGTTTTGGTGTCACAGGTGTGATCTGTATGATGGATCGTTGTGTGTTTTAGTGTCACAGGTGTTATCTGTACGGTGGATCATTGAGTGTGTTTTAGTTTCACAGGTATGATCTGTTCGGTGGATCCTTGAGTGTGTTTTAGTGTCACAGGTGTGATCTGTACAGTGGATCGTTGAGTGTGTTTTAGTTTCACAGGTATGATCTGTATGGTGGATCCTTGAGTGTGTTTTAGTGTCACAGGCGTGATCTGTACAGTGGATCATTGAGTGTCTTTTAGTGTCACAGGTGTGATCTGTACAGTAGAACCTTGAGTGTGTTTTAGTGTCACAGGTGTGATCTGTACAGTGGATCGTTGAATGTGTTTTAGTGTCACAGGTGTGAGCTGTATAGTGGATCATTGACTATGTTTTAGTGTCACAGGTGCGATCTGTATGGTGGGTCTTTGAGTGTGTTTTAGTGGTCAGAGGTGTGAGCTGTACGATAGGTTGTTGAGTGTGTTTTAGTGTCACAGGTGTGATCTGTGAAGAATACATGGTCAGGGGTGTGTAAGTGTAGGCATACAAATGCTCATAGGGATTTTAAAGCTTCAAAGACAGTTGATACCAGAGCTGGGTATTGAAAGATGAGTAGGTATTGAGGTTCCTTTGGGACCTTCCAGTCAGCGAGTGCCCTAGGTCCAGGCACAGAATGTGCCTAGTGTATTTCAGGAGCCTCAGTTACAGTTGGCCTCTGTGTCCATGTGGGTTCCACAGCTGTGGATTCAACCGACCTTGGATTGAAAGTATTCAAGCAAAAAAACTGCATCTGTACTGAACATGTACAGACATTTTTCCTATCATTAGTTCCTAAATAATACAATATAACTATTTACATAGCATTTACATTTTATTAGGTATAATAAATCTAGAGAGTAAGTTATACAGAAGGATGTGCATGGGTTATATACAGATGTGCTATTTTATATCAGGGACTTGAGCAGTTTTGGTATCCAAGAGAGATCATACTGAGGGAGGGGGATGACTGTGGGTGGGGTGTGAAGGGGTGCGGGCTGGGGAGAGACTGGATAGGAGGAGTTAGGAAGGCAGAGAAAGGAGGACAGTGAATGTAGAGGCGGAAAAGATAGACAGGGGCCTTTGCCATACTAAGGAGTTTAGATTTTAAATGGGTGGTCCTGGGGGTTTTAAGCAGTAGAATGTCTGGATGGAATTAATTTTCAGAGAGTTCAACCCTGGGAGCGCTAGGGTTACAATGATGGATTAAAACCGGGATTAGAATTTGTGGCTCCAAGGAAGCACTGGAGCTGGGACTGGACCCTGTGTTTTCTGAATCTGCTTTTTGGACTTTTCCCAGAATGTTGCCTTGTGCAAAATGACAAAATGTGTTAGCTTCTACATACTGGGAGCCTTCTTTGCGTTGGGCACTGTGCTGAGTGCTTTGCATGCATTGCTAGTCATTCTCAGACCAGCCCTGAAAGATAGGTATTACAGTCTTCATTTGCAGCGATAGTTTGTCCACAATCGCACAGCTTGGAGGTGGCCTTGGTCACCTGACCTCAAAGTGCATGCTCTTCCCATTAGCACAGCGGGCCTCCTGTGGACTGGTTTCAGCCTTTCCAGTGGACTTTCTAGCAGTAGGCACAATTACCAACCAAGCTTTTTTTTTTTTTTTTTTTTTTTTCTGAAAGTACAAAGATCCCTTCTGCCCTTATGGAACTTTGTGGGAGAGTGTCATTTCTTTCCTTCTGGCTCAAATCTGAACTTCTTAAACTTGCCAGTGATATAAAAAATGGACAGTTTGTGCTAGTATATGTTTTCAGCTCAACTTTGAAGATTTATATCCAAGACTTACATTCAGCTGACTCAGGTAAGAAGCTAGGCTTTGCAATGCCTACAACATGAAGCTTCTCCCTATTCTGAAGGCAGGTCACTCAGTTTGGGTGAAATTCGTGTTCATGATTTTAAAGCTTAGATCTGCAAGAATCTAGGCCTTAGTTCTAAGTGTGTAATTTAAATTTATTCCCGTGGGGGAAATAGCCAATATCTCCAGTAGAAAAGCACTTCAGAACACATTTTCACATTTTAGATTGATGAGCCAGGGATTTGAAAGATTATTTAGAAAATTTCCTCCAAGCAACTCTGGAATGAAGGTATATGTGGCAGAGGTGTTTGAAACCTGTCTTTCCCCAGTGAAATACTTGTTTTACTTCTGCAAGATTTAAACAGCCATTCAGCTGGGCATGGTGGCTCACATCTGTAATCCCAGCACTTTAGGAGGCCGAGGCGGGCGGATCACTTGAGGTCAGGAGACCAGCCTGACCAACATGGTGAAACCCTATCTCCACTCAAAATACAAAAATTAGCCGGGTGTGATGGTGGATGCCTGTAATCCCAACTACTCAGGAGGCTGAGGCAGGAGAATCATTTGTACCTGGGAGGTGGAGGTTGCAGTGAGCCAAGATTGTGCCACTGCACTCTAGCCTAGGCCACAGAGGGAGACTCCATCTCAAAAAATAAATAACTAAATAAACAAACAGCCATTCCTTGGGTGTTTGGGGAAAATATCCAATAAATAGTGGCTAGTAGTTTTTATATGATTAGTTGGAATAGTTAATAGTTACCCATGTGACAAGCAGTTCATTCAATGCATCTCATGTTATGTCTGGTTCTTAAACCTCGTCGGAGCAGGTTTTGCAGGTATTGAAGCGAGGCTCTGCATAATGGGGCTGCCCTGACTGCACAGCTGGTGCGAGGGCTGTGGGCGGGCAGCTTGCTCCTCCCCTGCACCATGCTGCCTGTTTTTACTGCTAGAAAACACGCCCCAGGCACTGTGCCAGGAGGTTTCTGCAGATCACCTTGCTCTGTGGACGATTGGGCCTGTTGACTGCAGAAGTCAGCCAGTGACTTCTTCTAACAGAGTCCTTTTGCCTACGTTGAGGTGATCATGCCATGGAATATGGCACCCATCACTCTAGCATGGCTGTGGGGAAACCATTTTCAGTTAAATAAGTGAAATACACGTGTGCCACTCTTGTGACCTTGCTTTAACTTTCCGAAACCCTTTCTTAGGCTTGACAATTTACTCAGCCTGCTTGGCCTTCATTGTCTGGATCTGGATTTGCAAATTATAGATGTTCAGGGAACCTGTGTTGAAGCCTGGGGTTGATTAGAAATGAACACAGCTGATTTAGAGTCTTTTGCTTAACCAAAGCTTCAAGATGTTAACATTTATAAACAAGAGAAGGGATACCATATTTTTTCAAATTTTTGCTATATGCCAGGTACCATCCACAATCTTTTCAAATCCTCATTTTAGTCCTGAGTGATGCTTCTCACCCTTTGGTGGTGGCTAGGCCCAGAGAAGTAAGTAAGTGATGTGTTAGTGTCATGTTGGAAAGGGTAGGGGAGGAGATTTAAACTCAGGGTTACAGACTCTCAGACCTGTGCTCCTTCCACTGTGCTATGGGGTATTAGCCGGTGACCTCTGCCTTTTCGTGGACAGCATAGTATTTATTGGGGGAAATTTGGGGCTGGGCAAGCATTTGGGCTTTCTGTTAGGTTGTTCTTGCATTGTGATAAAGAAATACCTGAGACTGGGTAGTTTGTAAAGAAAAGAGGTTTAATTGCCTCATGGTTCTGCACAGGCTGTACAGGAAGCATGGTGCCAGCATCTGCTTGGCTTCTGGTGGGGCCTCAGGAAGCTTACAATCATGGCAAAAGGTGAAGCCAGAGCCGACGTGTCACATGGCGAGAGTGGGAGCAAGAGAGAGATTGGGAGGTGCCACACACTTTGAAACAACTAGATCTCACGTGAACTCACTTGTCACCAAAGGGATGGCGCCGAGTCATTCAGGAGGGATTGGTCCCTCATGATCCAGACACCTCCCACTAGGACCTACCTCCAATACCGGGGATTACATGTCAACGTGAGATTTGGTGGGGACATAAATCCAAACCATATGAGGCTTTAAAGTCAGACCTGACTTCACCACTATTAGTATCCCCCACTGGCAAATTACTGAGTTTCTGTGAGCCTCAGTTTATTTGAAAAATAAGAATAATATGGATCTCAACCAGCTCTTGTGAGCATGGATGAAATGCGTATGAGAGCATCTGGCACGTTGTCGGCCCTCAATAAGAGTTAGCTTTGAGTTTGTTTCCTGTCTGTCTTAGTGATCAAAGCCTGAGCGAATGCACTTGTGCCTTGGTGGGGGCAGATGCTGAGCATTGTAGAGGCTATTGTAACCCCCACCCTCTCCTAATCTGGCCTCTCCGAGAGACTGCCCGTTCTTCTCATTTGAGAACAGGGATTAACAGCAGACGTGACTTTGGTCCTGGACACTGAACTTGAGAATCCGATTGTTGGAGAAGCCCTCAACCATGCAGCATCTGTTTGGTGGCAGCAAAAACACGCTGTAGTCCTCCAAAGGTTTGCTTTACCCTCTATTCGTCTCTGTTCTTATATATTTGACCTTCTTTCTTTGAAAGGCTGGGCAATGAAACTTGGCACGTTCTTGAATTTGCTAAGGGTTTAAAAAAAGAAATCTACTTCTCAAATAGCAACTTTCTAGAGTGAGGAAGGAGGGAAAGCCATGGCGGAGAAGAAGCTAGCAGTTTGTTCTTCCGCACAGCTTTTTGCCTCTTTCTCTTTGCAGCCTCCTTTTGTGTAACACAATGACCACCTTTTCTCAAGTAAGATCTGGTTCCTCCAGGCTCTGCCTCTGGGTGTACCTGGGCGGTTGGGCCCAGTCTCTCTGAACCAATTAATTCCTGCTTGTAATTCCACTGCTCTTCATCCCTTAATAGGGATTAGTCATTGTTTTGTTGTTGTTGTTGCTGCTCTTTTGAGATGGAGTCTGGCTCTGTCGCCCAAGTTGGAGTACAGTGGCACAATCTTGGCTCACTGCAACCTCCGGCTCCCGAGTTCAAGCACTTCTCCTGCCTCAGCCTCCCGAGTAGCTGGGATTACAGTCGCCTGCCATGACGCCTGGCTAATTTTTTTGTATTTTTAGTAGAGACAGGGTTTCACCATGTTGGTCAGGCTGGCCTCGAACTCCTGACCTCAAGTGATCCTCCAGCCTCAGCCTCCCAAAGTGCTGGGATTACAGACGTGAGCTACCGCGCCTGGCCGGATTAGTGGTGGTTGTTATTATAGCCGTTTTCTATAGAGTTTTAGTAACTTGTTCACTTCTGGTTTCCGACCAGAGCTCCTGGTATAGGACAGTGGTCAACAGGCGCTTGTTAGCTTTGATTTCTCTGTTTTCTCAGTTCGGTTGATCACATCTTTATGAGTATTTGTGCTTCAAAACTTACCAAGAATGTGGCAATGCCTAAGATAGATGAGAGAGCTATGGAGGCCGTGCGTCTGCCCTGTGGAACCTGGCTGTTATTCCCGGACTGGCATATGTGGCTGCTGCTGAGGAGGAGGAGTTTAGTTTGTGTGCATGAGGTGTGGAGAGGAGGGGAAGATAAGACCATAGAGAGAGCTGAAAACCAGATGGCTTGTGCTAAGAGCTGCAAATGCGAAGCAAAAGATTTGGGAGATTGTTTTTATTTGTGCTTATTTTTTTCCTATCACAAAGTAATGAATGATCCTTGTAAAAAAAAAAATCTGGAAACTTGGGAAGACTCTAAAGGAGAAGGGCAAAACATTCCCCAAAATCTCACTACCCAGAAATGGGTGCTACTCTCATTATGGCCTATTTCCTTCCAGTTTTTCTCCACGCATCTCTTTAGGTAGCTGAAATCAGACCTTAGGAGCCGTCTAGGCCTCTATTTTACTAAAATTATGTTATAAGCATTTTCTTATCCTATGCAAGCTTATTTTTAAGTTACTGCTTGGTAGAACTGTAACGTGATTTATAAAATGCCTCCCCTCTTGTTCGAGGCTTGGGTCGCTAGTTTTTCCCAGTGATAACACTTTGGCAAGAGGAGCTGGTCTTCTGAAATAGTGAGCTGGCAGAACTTCTAAGGCAAGGAGTTGTGTATCTGATCTTTTAGGGCGGTCACTTCTGTGGCCATGCGGAAACGAACCTGGCAGGAGGAATTCCTGGAGACAGCAGGGAAACTGTTCCTTGGTTCCAGCATTCTTTCAGCAAATATATGCCAGGCATGTGTTAGGCCACTTAGGAAGCTGTTGAAAGAGCACAGGCAGAGAAATGATTCAATTTTGCAGAAGGCAGTTTTAGTGAAGGTGGAAAGGAGGGAATTGATGTGAGAAGGATTTGGTTGAAAAACAATATTTGTGTATGGTATGGGTTCCATACACAGAAGCATTTGTAGTGTTATTTGGGCCATGTTGTGGATGGCAAAGCCATCCCCTGGGTTAGAAACAACGGGAGGAGGGCTGGTTTCAGAGGGTATTTGGGAAGTTACAGGGCTGCCTGTTGGCCATTCAGGTGGATGTGTGCTACTAACGAAGTCAATTTCAGCTGGAATTCTGGAGGGAGGTCCAGCCTGGTGGTATCAATTCGGGACCATCAGCTGTGGATAGTGGTCAAATTGTGTGTGGTTCCTTGGAATGAATCAAGAGAGAAGAGGAGCAAAGGTAGATCCCTGGGGAACATCGGTGTTGAAGGGGGCAGTCAGGAAAGTGAAGAGAGACTTGAAGGAGGAAGAGGTCAAGGACATTTCAGGTCTGGGTGCCAGCAAGTGTGAGGCAGAGGCTGGTAAAGGGGAATGCCATGTTTAAAGGCAGGGATAGGCCAGTGTGGTCGGGAGATCTGTGCCATCAAGGTCAGAGTTGGAGGGGTTTGGAGTTTTGCAGGGAGCAGAGATTCAGTAGGGATAAAGATATAAGCTGTGCATAGAAACAAGCTTGTAGCAGAATAGAGAGTTCCAACTTCCCAACAGCTGTGCTGAGAAGTAATGTGTTTTGGAGTTCAGAGGAGGGAGATGTTACTTAATCCGAGGGCCCATTAGGGCAGCAGTCAGAGGATCAGGAGAGATGCATTCATTCACGGGTTTTTATTCATGCTGTCATATATTTATTCAATTCTGTGTTTGTGCGTTGATTTTATTATCTGTATGTTTTGTGTATCTACTTATGGATACCAGGGATTGTTTAAAATTTAAATCCCTGAAGGCAGTGACACTGTCACTCATTCTTGCTGGGGAAATCTCCCCCACCCTCAACCTGCTGAAGAATATTCTATTCCTGCTCGCACATTTAGCTTCTCCTTCTCCCATGATCTCTGGGAGGCCAGGATGGGGAGCACTATTTTCTTGGCTGCTCCTGGATATTTTGTGGGGAGTAAACTGGAAAAATGAGAAGAGCCAGATGAGCCCAGAGGATGTACAGGTGTGGGAGGAGCCCAGTTCCTCTCCCGACCACACTGACCCATCACTGCTTTTAAGAACCTGTGGGATTTGGGAGGCCAAGGCAGGCAGATCACTTGAGCCCAGAAGTTGAGACCAGCCTGGGCAACATGGTGAAACCTCATCTCTACAAAAAATACAAAAATTAGCCAGACATGATGGTGTGTGCCTGTGGTCCTAGCTACTAGGGAGGCAGAGGTGGGAGGATCACTTGAGCCCAGGAGGTCGAGGCTGCAGTGAGCTGTGATCGAGCCACTGTACTCCAGCCTGGGTGACAGAGCGAGACCCTGTCTTAAAAAAAACCACCAACAGGGAAAGGCCAGGACGACGAGGAGAAGTTGGTATCTTTTTGTTAGCTCCAGAGTTTGTGCTGGTGAAAGAAGGTTAGGATGTAGAAAAGGGATTTAGAGACATACAGTGGCTGCTCTTCAGTATTCTTCAAGGGTCCAAGTGAAGAACTGGAATTTTTTCAATGACATGCAACAGTTGACCTGTGTTTCAGGAAGTATAGCCTTGAGCTGAGTCTCAGCCATGTGGGACCCTCGGAAGCAGCTACAGCTTCTTAGTATAGGTCGAGCGTCCCAACTCCGAAAACCCCAAATTTTGGAGCATTTCAGATTTTCCGAGTTGGGATGCTCAGCCAGTACGTATATTGCAAATACAGTTGTCCCTTGGTCTAGGTGGGGCATCGGCTCCAAGGCCCCCGCGTATACTCAAGTACTCTAGTTGGCCTTGCAGAACCTGTGTATATGACAAGTCAGCCCTCTGTTTATGTGAGTTTTGCATCCCACAAATACTGTATTTTCCACCCACGTCTGGCTGAGAAAACCCGCATATGAGTGGACCTGCACAGGTCAAACCTATGTAGTTCGAGGGGTGACTGTATTCAGAAATCTGAAGAAATCCCAAATCTTTTTAAAACACTTACGGTCCCAAGCACTTGGGAAAAGGGATACGCAATCTGTAGAGTACCGTGTAGAGACGAGTATCGAGTGGGTGTGGTTGACCTGATGCTCACTCCCACTGGAATAAAAATAACAGCATTTATCTCTGTTGTGTTTTTTAACTGGCTTTCATCCATAGATTTATTGATTTGCTTGATTCAAAAAAAAGGGAAAGATTTTGCAATGTTGGGTTTAATTTTTAGTGTTAAAAATAATTAAGAAGACCTGATGATTCTGCACCTGAGGGCAAGTGTTTCACCAGCTGTACATTCCCACTCACACTGTCAAGATCCCAGCATTTTAGGATTCCTGTTTTTCTACTTGCTTCAATTAATTAAGAGTAATGAAGAGATGCAGAAACCTCGTATTTGGTGAAGTATACAGTGAAGAAGAAAAGGATACTTATAAATTGTATTGCTTATATTACAAATATAATATTAAATATGAGTAGCCATTTAATAACTTTTTTTTTTTTGAGACAGACTCTCGCTCTGTCGCCTAGGCTGGAGTGCAGTGGCAACCTCTGCCTCCCGGGTTCAAGCAATTCTACTGCCTCAGCTACCCAAGTACCTGGGATTACAGGTGCCCGCCACCATGCCCAGCTAATTTTTTTGTATTTTTAGTAGAGATGGGGTTTCACCATGTTGGCCAGGCTGGTCTCAAACTCCTGACCTCAGGTAATCCACCTGCCTTGGCCTCCCAAAGTGCTGGGATTACAGGCATAAGCCACCATGCCCAGCCTAATAACTTTTAAAACAAGACAGAAGTAGTTCTATTGAGCAAGGAACAGTGATAAAAATGTATAGAAATTGTACAGTGACTATTTTGTAGCTATAGAAATTCTTTAATGGGGTTCTTTAAATTTGCTTTGTAAATTGGTCAAATTAAGTTTGAGAAAATGTTTTACTTTGAAGTTTGTTTAGTAATTTATAATTTTCACAGGGCTTTATTATCTTTTGCATTATTTGAGCTTCATAACAGACTTGTGACAATAGCTTTTGGGTAACAATACCCCAGCGTCACAGACAAGGAGCCTGAGGCATGGAAGGGTCCTCCTTGGCAGCCACCCCTTCTCCTTGACTTTTTTGTTGGCTAATTCCTACCCTCAGTGTCTGGGGCAGGCCTTGAGGGCCTCCTGGACTCCACAACAGCATCCTAATTGCACCCTGAGCCTGTAGTTCCTCTCTGCTATAAAGCTACTTAAGCACTTCCTAAAATATATATTTGTTTGCATCAGTTCTCACCTAAAACCCTTCCCCATCTCCCCATCAGCTGCGAAATAATGCCGGGTTCCCGAGCATGGCGCCCGCGACACTGCACCACGTGGCACTGCACCACACAGTCCCCGCCCCTCGCTGGTGGAGGCTTCCCCTGGTCCTGATGTGGGAATGCGGCTGAGCCCTGGGCAATGACATGTACAGGGTGGGCAGCATGACCAGAACTCCGTCTTCTCCGTCTGGTGGGACACGGCAGGAGTGATGGCCTACCTTGTACTCGCAGGATCAGACCACACCCTGGGGTAGGTAGAACAGCAAGGTGGACTCGGTCCTCAGCCCCCTAGAGCTGCCCTGTTAGGCCTGAATTGCCTGGGCGTGGCAGTTAAGGGAGAGAGAAACGCACTTCCACAGCCCTTAAGGCACTGGCATTTTGGTGATGGCGTAGCACCTGGATCTATGTCCTGACCAGGCCACCTGTCCAGCCTCCTCTGTGCAAGTGGGCCTGTCCAGCATTCCCTGCCGTGCCGAGTTCTCTGACTCCACGTGCGTGTGTCCTGCTGGACTCAGAGCCCCGGGAGGGCAGGGGTGCGTCCTGTCCTTATGTGTGCTGTGTGAGGAGTGCCTGTCACCAGTGTGCCTGTTGGATGCTTCCCATGTCTTCTACCGTACTCAGCGTACATGGTGGTCTCTGGCTATGAAAAATGATCAATTCTATAGCTGAATTGATGACTGAATCTGAGAACATAGTGGGATTATAGGTATTAGCCTGCCATTATTGGCAAGCTATCTCATGGAAAGAGTGCTCTCCTGTCTAGAACTGGTATCATGAACTTAAGAATAAAAAATTATTTTATTTTTGTTTATTGCTTCTTTGCAAATCTAAAATGTTGTGTTAGCAGTCAGGAGAGAGGGTGCTCTGGGGAGGGATGGGCTCGGTGACAGAGCAGACAGGAGAGGGTGGTGGGCGCAGGCATGTTCTTTTTCCAGCTGGGTGCTGGATTTAGATGTGTGCTTTGTAATAATTCATGGACCTTATTCATATTTTGTGTGATTTTCTGTATATGTGTTTTACTTCATTATAAAAATGGTATTTAGGATGCTTGTAATGCCAGCACTTTGGGAGGCCAAGGCAGGTGGATAACTGAGGTCAGGAGGTCGAGGCCAGCCTGGCTAACATGGTAAAACCCTGTATCTACTAAAAATAAAACAAAACAAAACAAAAATTAGTCAGGCATGGTGGCTTACTCCTGTAATCCCAGCTGTTCGGGAGGCTGAGGCAGGAGAATTGCTTGAACCCGGGAGGTGGAGGTTGCAGTGAGCCGAGGTTGTGGCACTGCACTCCAGCCTGGGCAACAGAGTGAGATTCTGTCTCAAAAAGAGAAAAAAATAATAAAGGTATTTAAGAGATAGCTAATTTTAATGATTCTAAAATATAAAGATGGTTTAAAAAATGAGCATTACTTCTACCAAATAGACAAACAGTGTCAACTTTTGGTGAACTTTCTTCCAATTCTTTTTTTTTCCTTGTGTGTTGCTTTTCAAAGAACAGTATAACACTTTTAAAATGGAAAAAGAGCCACCTGCCATATCTTCGGTAAATTAGACTAGTGTAGACTTAAAAAGAGGAATTATCTGAGATGTCACTGGGCCTCACGGATATGTCTGCCCTGTTTCTGTGCAGGTTCACTGCTGTCCTGCTTTCTTGTCAGCTGTGGCCCTGCCCCCACTCTCAGCCCACGACTGCTGACATTGGCAGTCAGTTCTCCAGGCCCGGTCACAGGGTAGAGAAGGCCAGTGCTCAGACCAATGGATCTTCTCTTCTCCCCTCCCTCCTCCCTCCTCCCTCCTCCCTCCTCCCTCCTCCCTCCCCTCCCCTCTCCTCTCCTCTCCTCTCCTCTCCTCTCCTCTCCTCTCCTCTCCTCTCCTCTCCTCTCCTCTTCTTCTTCTTCTTCTTCTTCTTCTTTTTTTTTTTTGACAAAGTCTCATTCTGTCACTCAGGCTGGTGTGCAGTGAGTTGATCTTGGCTCACTGCAAACTCCCCATCCTGGGTTCAAGCGATTCTCCTGCTTCAGTCTCCTGAGTAGCTGGGACTACAGGTGTGCACCACCATGCCCAGCTAATTTTTGTATTTTTAGTAGAGACGTTTCACCATTTGGCCAGGCTGGTCTCGAACCCCTGACCTCAGGTGATCTGCCCACCTTGGCCTCCCAAAGTGCTGGGATTATGGGATTACAGGCATGAGCCACCATGCCCAGCCAGGTCTCCATTTCTAATTGGCAGAAGCTCAGGACTGTTTACTAGCTAATGTTTTCTCAGACCCTTTCAATTCAGATGTGAACTCTCAGAGCTGCTGTGTGGAATACGTAATCGAGGTGGAATTCTGCACTTGGTAGTTTTTAATAGCATTCATCTCTTTCCTAAGTGGATTCCTTTGATTGTATCATTGGACTTGATGGTCTCTCCTCTTTCCTCCACCGTGTATTCAGTAAACTGTGTCAGGAGCTGGGGTTGTAGAGCTCAGAAGGACACGTTTTGTTCCAGTTTATCTGTACACAGGTCTTCCACCAACCATCCCCATCCCCAGCTACACTGTGAACACCTCCAAGCAGGGATTAATTTTTATTCCCTTCCAGTGCCCAACACAGTGCCTGGTACCTAGTAGACTCAGCAAATGTTTCTTGGATTAAAGAATGGGTGAAGACATCATTGTGTCCCTGAAGGAGATTATGGCTCAGTGGTAGAGAAAGCTAGAACTGGAGGAAGAATATGACAAATTCAAGCTTATCTTTTTTTTTTTTCCCCAATAATGCAGAGTTTTCTGTGAGAAATAAGGGAGGTGATGTATATGGAGGCTTCTAGTTTATTTTGGAAGGTAATAGGAAGCTGATTATAGTGATACAGACAAACTGCTCTGGGAGGGAGAGAGTGCTGGCTCCCGTGCATTGGAAAGGCTGCACTGGGAAGCTGGTGGTTGAGCCACAGTTTGGGGGACGCATAGACGGGCAGAGAAGGGGGAATGGCATGATGCAAGTTGTGGTGTGTGTGACGATGTGTTCAGCTGAGGGTAATAGGTCAAGGCCAGGTCAAGAGGGTCATGATTGCCAAGAGGCTGTATTTTTAGAATTTCTTAAAGTAAGCTCTCAAATGGCACAAAGATTTGTTCTGCCAGCTCCTAATATTCTTTATTGGAGAATGAAATGGAAAGACTCTGAGCAAGAGGTTGAGAGGACACTTGGCAAAATGACACTTTGCAGTGTGCTTCGATCAGTGAGCTTAGATCAGCGTGCACTAAATTGCCTTAAAATAGTATGAAGTTAGGGCTGTACAGTTTCAGAATTAGCAGACACTAATGTATCAGTAGTGAAGCTGTTTTCTGTCTATCGAATAACAGCTTTGGGAAGCGGCCATTCTCAAACATATTTGTGAAATCGAATTTAGAGTAGTGGGCAGTTACTTTTGGAAGCCAACATTCCCAAGCCGTATTTTTTTTTTTTTTTAGTTGAAATATGTAGAAAACAGTTGAATAGACCAAGGTCTTAGGGAAAGGCAGGCTTCGGAAACATTTGCCTGCTTCAACCCAGAGACTATAATGTAAAGAATTTTTGGATAAATGTATGCACTGGAAAGCAAGATTTCCGGGTACCTGAAGCAAAGAGGAAATTCAAAATCTGAGTGATTAACAGAAACTAAAGCCAAAGTGCCTCCTTGTGATAAACTTTGCCAACCAGCACTAGGCTTGTATGCTGATGTAAAGAAGGGAGTTCAGGCTGCAGCTCCCTGGTACTGAGTCATGAAGGGCTTCCCTCAGATTGGACCAGGAAAGTCTGGTCCCCAGACTGGGGAGAGGCAGGGAAGCATGCCATGGCCTAGCACCTGAGGATGCACAGATTTACCATAGGAAACCTGCAGGGAGCAGCCAACCCAGGTAGAAAACTGCTCCATAGAGATACTTCTCTGGCCACAGAGACATGGACTTCCCATAAGAAGTAATTTCTGTGGAGCACGAGTGTACAGCCACAGACAACAAACTACACAAGGAGGCAGACCACCATGAGGGGGAATCTACAGGGGCAGCAGATGGGAGAATTTATACCTCAGGAAAGACACTTTTAAAGAACCCTGTTTGATATGGTCAGAATGGTATTAGAAGAAATAAAACCACAAGTATGAGACAAAAGCAAGCTAATTTGAAAAAGAACCTCATGGAGATTCTAAAATAAAAAATATATAGTGACGGCTGGGTGCAGTGGCTCACACCTGTAATTCCAGCACTTTGGGAGGCCGAGGTGGGTGGATCACTTGAGGCCAGGAGTTTGAGACCAGCCTGGCCAACATGGTGAAACCCCATCTCTACTAAAAATACAAAAAACAAAACAAAACAAAACAAACCAACAAAACTTAACTGGACGTCTTGTCAGGTATCTGTAATCCCAGTTACTTGGGAGGATCAGGCAGGGGAATCATTTGGACCCTGGAGGTGGAAGTTGTAGTGAGCTGAGATCACACCACTGCAGTCCATCCTGGGTGACAGAGCAAGATTCTGTCTCCCCATGCCCCCCACCTCTCAAAATAGATATATGGTGGTTGAAGTAAACAAAAACTTAAAACACAGAGTTGAGGAGTTAAAGAAGAGACTAGATGCAATTGAAGACAGAGTAATTTGGAAGATAGAGCTTAGGGAACTTCACAAAATGGGTTACAGTGAGACAGGTAGAAAATGTGAAAGAATAGTTGAGAGCATAGAATAAGAGTCTAGTTGGAGATCCAGGAATAGAAAGCAGAAAAAATCCTGGAGAGAAAAATATTCAAAGAGATGGCAACTGAGAATTAGCCTGAGAAATGCATGCATGAGGTCTTAAATTGAACAAGTACATCAAGTTTTGAATTTTCAAGTTTAATGGGAATGATAAATCCTCAGATCCAAGAAGCTGAACAAACCCCAGTCAGGATGGACACACACACACAGTCACATAAGTTAATCAAATTACTGAAAACTGGTTGTATTGAGAAAAATCTTTAGCCAGAGGAAAAGCCACAAATTACATGGGAACAAAACTGATGATAATTGTAGACCTCTTGTTGGAAAAAATGCTCCTGGAAGACAGTGGAATTTGATCTTTCACTTGGTAAAAAAAAAAAAAAAAAATAGCTGTTAACTTGGAATTCTATATCCAGCAAAAATATCCATAAAAAAATACAAATAAAGACAAAAGCTGAGAGAATTCCTCTCCAGAAGACTTACTCTGCTAGAGTGCTTAAAGGAGGTTCTAAGGCAGAAAAAACAATGCCTCAGATCTTGAAATGTATTAGAAATGGTAGAAATATAGGTAAATATGAGAATAAATAGAAATTTATTTTTGAATTTTTACGTTTCCTTGAAGGAATATTGATCACATTTTAAGCAAAAACCTCCATATACTATTATGTCTTTAAAACATATATAAAGGAAAAAATATGACAAACATAGGATGGAAGGGAGAAATGGAAATATATGGTGGTAGATTCTTACATTATATGTAAGGTTATATGATATTATTTGAAAATAGATTGTGATGAGTTTAAGATGCACATTGAAATGACAGAAGAAACACAAAACAAAAGAATACAAAGTGTTATAGCTGATAAATCTATATAAAATAGAATCCTAAAAAATTCAATTATAAAATAAGGGAGGAAAAGAAGAGAAAAGGAACAAAAAAGAGACGGGAGAAATAGCAAGGTGGTAGAAGTAAGCTCAACAGCATCTATAACCACATTAAGTGTAAATGACCTAAGAGCTTCAATATAGTGGTAGAGACTATCATACTGGCCAAAAAAAAAAAAAAAAAAAAATCAAGATATAACTATAAATTGTTTATAGGAAATTCATTTAAATATAAAAACATAGATTAAGTAGAAATGGATTGGAGAAGATATATTTTGCAAACACTTGTCATAAGAAAGCAGGAACAACTTTATTAATATAAGACAAAGTTGACCAGTAGTATTATCAGGAATAAAGAGGGACGTTTTGTAATGATGAAAGGGTAAATTCTTCAAGAACATGTGACATTTCAAAATGTGTATACACCCAATAACAGAGCTTCAACATGCATGAAGCAAATAGCTGACAAAATTGAAATGAGAAGTGGACAAATCCATAATTATAGTTGGAGATATCACCACTCTTGGTAATTGATAGATCAAATAGAAAGAATGTCAGTGAAGATATAGAAGACTTTGACACTCACAACCAATTTGATCTAGTTCACATTTCTAGATTGCTTAACAACAACAAATATACACATTATTTTCAAATACACATTGAACATTTGGTAAGATAGACCATATTTGGGGTGATAAATCAAGTCTCAATAAATTTTAAAATATTTAAATCACATACAGAGTATACTATGTGACCACAACAGAATTAAATTAAAACTCAGTAACATTAAGATACATTGGTAAGCCCCAAATATTTGAAAATTAAGCAACACATTTCTAAATAACCCGTGGGCTCCAAGAAGAAATCACAGGGTAATTTGAAAACATTGTGAATTGGCTAAAAATAAAAACACGGCATTTCATAATTTCTGGATGCAACTAAAGCATTGCCTCAATGGAAATTTGTAGCCATAGATGCTTACACTGGGAAAGGAGACTTGTTTCAATTCATGAGCTATGTTCTGTCTCAAAAGAAGAAATCAAAGCCAAAGTAACTAGAAAGGAGAAGAAAATAAAGATCAGAAATTAATCAATTTTACAACAATGGAGAAAACCCAGTGAAACCAAGAGCTTGTTCTCTGAAGAGATCAATAAAATGCATGCACCTCTAGCCAGACTTACCAAGATAAGAAGACATAACATATCAATATCAGGAATGAAAAAGGAGACATCAGTCTTTCCTACAGACATTAGAAGGATAATAATTGTAATGGAAAACTTCATGTGAGTGAATTTGATAAGTTAGATGAAATAGAAAAATATTTTGAAAGATGCACATCACCAATATTTATTGAAGATGAAACGGAATGCCTAAATAGCCCTTTCTTTAATAAAAGTCAGTTCATTATTCAAAAATATTTCCCCAAATAAAATATTAGTCACAGAATTTCACTGGTAAATTTTATCACATTATAATAAAGAGGAAATACAATTTTTATAAAAATTCTTTCAGAAAGTAGAGGAGGGAACATTTCCCAATTTGTATTATCAGGCTAGCTTTATCCTGACACCAACATCAGAGACACTATAAGAAGATTACAGAACGATGTCCATCTTGAGCATGTATGCAAAACCCTTGAAAAATTAGCAAATGGAATCCAATGATATATTTATTAAAAGAAGAAAAAGAATGCAGCATTCTATGAAATGGGTGGTTCATTGTGATCTAGTGAGATTTATTCTGAGAATGCAAGGCTGGTTAAGTATTCAAATTTCAATCAGTGTCATTCACTATATTAATAGAATGAAGGAGAATAAAAACCATGATCATAGCAATAGATGTATAATGAGCCTCTGACAAAATGCATCACACATTTATGATACAAAACACTTAGGAGACTGGAAATAGAAGCCCACTTGCTAACAGGCCTCTGTGCTCAACAGTATGCTTAATGGTGAATGCTTTCCTCCTAAGGCCGGTAAGAAGGCAAGGATGTTCATATTCATTACTTCTATTTCATATTGTGCTGAATAGTCTAGTTAGTGCCATAAGGAACAAAAAATGTGCCCAGATTGGAAAGGAAGAAATAAAACTCGTTATTCACAGAAAACATTACTATGCATGTAGAAAATACTAAGGAATTTACAAAAAGTAGAGTAATTTAGCAAGGTAGTAGGATACATGATTAATATACAAAAGTCAAACCTATGTCTATATATTATCAATGGACATTTGGAAAATAAAGTTAAGAATACCATATCATTTATAAAAACAAAAATTATATACTTGGGGATAAATTTAAGAAAAGATGTGCAAGAATTGTACATTGAAAATTACAAGAAAATATACATTTTCTCAAGACAATTATAGGAGATTGTCTATTCCCAAGACAATTATAAAAGATTGTCTTGAGAAAATGATCCAAATAAATAGAAAGACACTGAAAGATATACATGGCTATGGGTAGTAATACCTCATATTAAAAATGACAGTTCTTCCCAAATTGATCTTTATATTCAATGCAGGTGTAATCGAAATTCCAGCAGGCTTGTTTTTTTTTCTTAGAAATTGATTGCTTTATTCTAAAGTTTGTATGACGTATGTAGGAACTAAAATATCCCAGACAACGAAGCTACAGTAATTAACACAGTGTGATATTGGCATAAGGATAAACATAGATTAATGGAAACAAAATAGGAAGTCCCCATTAATAGTAATAGACCCATCCATAAATAGTCAATTGATTTTGGACTAATGTGCCAAGGTAATTCAAAGGGGGAAGGATTGGCTTTTTCAACAGGTGATGCTGGAACAACTAATTATTTATATGCCAAAAATTAACTCCGACCCTTAACCCCACATGTATATAAAAATTAGATCAAAATGGATCATAGACTTAAATATAAGAGATATAAAGCAGTAAAGTTTCTAGAAGAAAACATTCAAGAAAATCTTCTCAGTCTTGAGATGGGTAGAGATTTCTTGGGACAAAAAGTCTAAAACACAAAGGACAAAATGGTAAATTAGACGTCATCAAAATTAAAAACTTCTCTTCAAAAGCCACTTTTAAAGCAATAAAAAAGCAAGCTCAGCCTTGGAGTAAGTATTTGCAAAACATGTATCTGTTAAAAAGACTTGTATCCAGAATAGACATAAAGCTCTTACAACCAATAGTAAGACAAATAACTAGATTTTAAAAATAGGCAAATGATTTGAATAGCTAATTCACCAAAGAAGATACGTGCATGGCAAATAACATGAAAAGATGCTCAGCATCACTTGTCAGTAAGGAAATGCAAACTAAAACCATGAGGAGATTTCATTATGCGATCCATTTGAATGACTAAAAAGAGTGATTATTGCAAGCATTGGTGAGGCTACAGAGTAACTGGAACTCTCCTATATTATGAATGAGAATGTAAAATAGTGTGACTACTTTGGGGAAATGTTTAGCTATTTATTGTTAAACATATACTTATGTGATGACCCAGCAATTCCTCTTCTCCCCTATGTACCTTAGGAAAATGAAAACACGGATTCACTCAAAGACATGACCGATGCCCATAGCAGCTTTATTCATAATAGCCCCAAACTGGAAACAAAATGTCCAGGAACAGATGAATGGATAAACACACTTTAACATACCCATGCAGTGCAATACCACGTGGCAGTGGAGAGAAACGAGCTACCGGTATGCCCAACACACAGATGAATCTCAGAAACGTTACTGTCTGTGGAAGCAAGACACGAAAGAATGCAGACTGTGTGATTCTGTTCATAAGGAATTCTGGAATGTGCAAAGTGAAACTGTCATAACAGGAGGCAGGTCACTCGTTGCTGGAGGCTTTGGGGTGGGACGTTAGATGGCCAGAGAGGAGGCAGGAAGGCACTTTTAGGGGTGATGGGAATACTCTACGTGTTAGTTGTGCAAGTGGATACACCAGTACGTTAATTTATTAGGGGTGGTTTTGCATACACTTGGAGTGGCAACATTTTGTTCATATTAATTATTTCTCAATAAAATAAAACAACTTTCATAGTTCAAGAGAGATCGTCTTTGACTGTCTTTCCTTACCTCTCAGCCTGTCGATGTGTTCAGTGGCCCTGTATTTTCCTTTGTCACATCACTTAGCACACACTGAGTTGCGACGGTTTCCTTCCCTGTCTCTTCCATCAGACTCTCAGTTTCTTAAGAACAAGGAATGTCTTTTACGTGTCTGTCCTCAGGGCATAGCCCGATGTCTGGCATGCACATTCACTGCCGAATAAGTGTATGTTCAGTAGGATGGCTTCAATTTATTGATTGCCTACAATGTGAGATAGTTGTAGATGTTTTGCATTTATTATTTCTGATCCTTAGTAAATGTTTGCTACACAAATAAAGAATCCTCACTGCATTCCAGAAGTCATGGTACACGGTTGCACACTGTCATGGAGTGTATAGCATTGGAGCACAGCACACAGAGAGGCTGGATGGTTTAAATATTCTGTTCAATGGCAGTGTCAGGATTAAACCCGTGGATGTCGTCAGATTTCGTTGTTTTACATCTAAATCTTCAGCTATTGTCTGCACATACTTAAGACTCAGTTACTTTTCTGTTTTTAGAATTGGTCTTGTCAGCAAGTAGAGTTTACTCTGGAGATGTGAGCCTTACATTTTCTAATCTCTTTGGCGTTCATTTCTTTTGTTTGAGGCTGTGATTCAAAGTAGGAAACATGCTGGAACCAACTCTTTTTCAGAACCTGGCCCGCATCTCAGGTGCTGCTTGCTTAATTGCGTAATAAAGGACCTCTGTGGTAGAAGCCTGGAAACTGCTGTGGCGTCTCTTATGCCAATGTCTGCTTGTTCCCTTTCCCTCAAAGAAATAATACATCTCTTGCTGACACTCAGTGTAATGGAGGTTCATAATTCAAAAACCAATTATTTGGGGCAACTATTGGATGAATTTTCTTTGGCATCCTTTTGTTGGCTGATTTTCCTGTTAGCTGTGTGTACTGTTTTCTAAAGAAACATGGTAAGTGGTTGTCTGTTGGAAATTGAATTGTAATTGAATAGATTCTGAGATTTGACGACTGAAACCAGGCAACACCATGTACTCCCCATTTTTGTTGTCTGTTAAATTCTAAAGAGGTTTTTAAGTATCTTTGACTTTCGGTTACAGTAAAAAAAAAAAAAAAAATCCCCAGGTGCATTGAAAAACAGTTTGGTAGTTCCACAAAAAACATAGTTATCATATGAGCCCACATTTCCACCCTGGGTCTATACTCAAGAGAACTGAAAACATGTTTGCAAAAACTTGAACACAATGTTCATAGCAGTATTATTTATGATAGTCAAACAGTGGAAACAACCGAAATGCCCGTCAGCTGGTGAATGGATAAACTGTTGTAGATTAATGCAATAGAATTATTATTTCAGCCCAGAAAAGGAGTGACGTACTGATCCATGCTTTGACATGATGCACCTTGAAAACATCGTTAAGCGGAAGAAGCCAGACACAAAAGGCCACACGTCATATGACGCCATTTATAGGAAGTGTCCAGAATAGGCAATTCCATGGAGACAGAAGGCAGATTGATGGTTGCCAGGGGCTTGGGGGAAAGCAGGAGGGGGAATCGGGAGTGACTGCTAATGGGTACATGATTTCTTTTTGGGATGATGGAAATACTCCGAAATTAGATAGTGATGATGATTGCACAATTCTGTGAATATACTAAAAGTCACTGAGTTGTATACCGTTTCCAAAGGGTGAATTTTATGGCGTGTGAATTATACCTCAATTTATTTTATTTTTTAACTTTTACGTTTGGGGGTACATGTGCAGGATGTGCAGGTTTGTTACACAGGTAAACATGTGTCATGGGGGTTGGTTGTGTAGATTATTTCATCAGCCAGGTATTAAGCCCAGTGTCCATTAGTCATATTTCCTGCTTCTCTCCCTCCTCCCACCCTCCATCCTCCAAGAGGCCTCAGTGTGTTGTTGTTTCCCTCTATGCGTCCATATATTCTCATTATTTAGCTCCCACTTATAAGTGAGAATATGTGTAAATCTCAATTAAAAAAAAATCCTCAAAGCTAAACATTTTTCCTTCTTCTCCACTTTTCTTCTTGCCCTTTACCCCCCAAACTCATGTCTTCTGAATAATGATTATAATGGCTACCATGGCTCAGGCTCCTGCCGTGTGTCATCTGCCATGCTAGGCACTTGGTATTTGCCATTTTATTAATTATTACAATAACCCCATTTTACAGATGCTGACATCATCAGAGGCTCAGAGAAGCTGAGCCACTTACCCAGTTTCACGTACTAGTGAGCAGGTGGAGCCAAGACTGAAGCACGTTCTAGTCTGACTACTGGACATATTTTGCTGTCTCTGATATTTCCGTACCACATTGATGAAATCTTCCTGATAAATATTTCCAATGCATGGATAGCTAAGTTTATGCCATAGTCTATAGACATATCTTAGACTGGGGTGAGCAAATGCTTGCATGGGGCAAGCGAGTCCCCTACTGGAGGTATGTGGGGACCAGAAGATCTGTACCCTGACTGAAGGCAATTCAATCACCAAGTTTCATGTGACACTGAGTGGGCTAACCAGAAGATTTTTTTTTTTTTTTTTTTTTGAGACAGAGTCTTGCTCTGTCGCCCAGGCTGGAGTGCAGTGGTGCGATCTCGGCTCACTGCACGCTCCACGTCCTGGGTTCACGCCATTCTCCTGCCTCAGCCTCCCGAGTAGCTGGAACTACAGGCACCCGCCACCAAGCCTGGCTAATTTCTTGTATTTTCAGTAGAGACGGGGTTTCACCTTGTTAGCCAGGATGGTCTCGATCTCCTGACCTCGTGATCCTCCTGCCTCGGCCTCCCAAAGTGTTGGGATTACAGGCATGAGCCACTGTGCCCGGCCACAGAAGATGTCTTTAATCCAAGGGTTCTAGTTTGTGATTCCACTGCCCCATCTGTTCCATCTTGGTTCTCTCCTTCCTGGTAATTCTTGTAGTAGTCTTGTAGACTATTAATTGAAAGCTGTTATCAGTTAATGGGTTGTGCATACGTCAGTATAAAACCTAGTACAAATGCAGACCCTATGGAACAGCAGTAGCATTATCTCTGCTTATCTTCTCAGTGTCTGTCTCCATAGCTACTGTCTCATGCTTAGGGCCCCATGATCTCAGGCTTTGACCACAGGTATTGTGCAGCTTTTTAACCAGCCACCAGCTTCAGTATCTTCCCTCCATTTCATTCTACACTGGACAGCCAACAAGTGTAGTGGCTCAGAGACAGTGTGTGCAGTCATGTAATTGGACCTGAGCACTTGGTAGCTGTTGACCATGGTCAAAGGAATCTCACCGAATCACAGTTTTCTCCCCTATAAATTTGGGAATGATAGTACTTTTCTTGTAGGTTGGTTAGGAGAATTATTTTTAATCATAGTAATAGGTAATGTTATTGCTGCTTCCTGTGTGCTGGAAACTTTCTAAACTCAAAGCATTTAGCACAGTGTGCGGCATTTCTGAGTGTCAGGAAGTGTCAGCTGCTGCTGCTGCTGCTGCGATCGTAGCTCTCATAAAACTCAAGTAGGCTGTTCCTTTCTTAAGTCTCCTCCATTGTAAACTCCAGAGGTAGTTTAACCCCCTGTCCACTGTCAGAGGTAGTTTAACTCCCCCTCCATTGTCCAGAGGTAGTTTAACCCCCCTCCATTGCCCAGAGGTAGTTTAACCCCCCTCCATTGCCCAGAGGTAGTTTAACCCCCCTCCATTGCCCACAGGTAGTTTAACCCCCCTCCATTGCCCACAGGTAGTTTAACTCCCCCTCCATTGTCCAGAGGTAGTTTAAACCTCCTCTGTTGTCCAGAACTAGTTGAAACTGACATCATGGTCCTTTTTCAATCCGATACCATCCTGGCTTTTAATTGTATCTCTTCCCGTCTCTGGGGAGTCCTCCCTGTGTGCTCAGAGTGCTCTGTTTCACGTTGCTGTGCTCCACAGGTGCTCATGCTTTCTGGTCCAGTGCAATGCCACAGCCTCTGCCTGCCCTTCCTCCTGAATAAAGAGACAGTTCTTCCTTTGTGTGGCCACAGCAGTTGGCACATACTTGAGTGGGAGCAATTACTGCACTGAATTTCTATTATGTATTTGCTTAGCCTTCAGATATGAACTCAGCCTTTCTCCGAGCCTGGCTCAGAGTACCTGCGGCACCCATAGCAGTTGTCATTTTCTGTTGCTTTTCTGCCCTCCTCACGCCGCCAGATACTCCTCAAGACAGAGCCCTTATGTTCCGAATGGTGACCCCTAGCACCCTCGGTGATTCCTGCACAGTGCCTTGGTTGGTGCGGCCATACTCCTACCCCAGAGTCCTGCTTTGAATGCACTAAAAAGTATAAATATTAGCATGGCACTGGAGTAGAGCATGGGGGCATCTCAGGAATATGGACTTGGAGTTCTCCCAATTTTTTCCTCCTACGGGTCCACGGGGTCCCTTTGTCCCCCTCAGATGCACTGCCAGGCAGTGCAGGTGCTGGGGGCTCGAGAGTGGAAGAAGCTGCATGGCAGAGGACCTCAGCTCTTGGTGCGCTTTGACTCGACAGGTACTTTTATCCCTTGCTGTTTGTGATTCTTGCTGTAAATAAGTCTTGTAAGATCTAACAGGACATAGCTGTAAGCATAGAGAATCACAAAGACCCTCAATGACTTAGAGGATATGTTTTACAGGTATGTTCTTCCTGAGAACTTAGTCTTCAGCAGTGGCCTAGATGATGTTCCATTTTATACATACAGTAAAATTTTAATATTTTCAATGGATGGGTGAATAAATAAAGTTGCAGCATTTATTTACTAATTGTTTCTTCTTTTAAAAGAGTATTTTTCTTTACCTATATATGCTGTCACCAATCTGTTTCTGTCTATAGTGAGATAGGTATTTTTTTGGTCTCTGTAATGTTTATGCATAAGAATATTAAGATTGAAGAGGATATTTTGGTTGTTTAGCCAGAGATCCAGAAATGCCCAACCCCAGCTCTAAGTGGTATATTCAGAAGAGGTCATTTATCAGCTCATTTAATGGGAAAGTGCAGATGGAGGTTTGTTTTCAGTTTCAGACATCATCTCTCAACTCTCTAACCTGTTTCTCGCAACTTGATGTCATTCTTAGGCTCCAGGTGGCAGGAATGTGGCTGGCCAGGTGTCAGGCTGGTGTTTTCCAGGTGGGATGATGAGAAAATAGTGTGCACTTCTCTGTCTTCATTGAAAAACCTCTGACCCACCTCTTCACGACCCAGTCACCTGCCCGAGGTTCTTGGAGGCTGGGGCTGGCTAGGCCTGAGTCTGAGATCTACCTGTGAGGCTGCAGGCCTGGCCATTCTCACCCCAGCACAGGAGTAGCGCTGGAGCTGGGTAGTTCTCTAGAGGGAAATGAGGGTGTTGTGACCAGAAGAGGAGTGAGCTCATGTTGGGCTATAAAACAACCACGTCGTCCTTGCTTTCCTTCAAAGAGTGCTCCTGAGACTGCTTTTCTAAGGCTCTTTCTGATCCTCATCAGTTTCCCAGTGAGCCTTCTTCATGCCTCCTTGAGTCTCTGTAGCTCATTCTGTTATAGACCAGAGTGGGATGTCTATATGTCCCCCTAATTGGGTTTCAAGTTCCTGAGAGGTAAAGACTATTTTTCTACCTTTCTCCCACAACCCTTGGCATGTGTCAGATTCTCAACAAGTGTTTCAGAGAGGCCACAGGCAAAGAGGATGTGGAATTTGGGATCAGACACACCTGGCTTCCTGTTGGGGCTCTTTTGCTTATTGGCTGAGCAGCCTTTGGAAGATCATTTTCCTTCTGTGAACTTAGTTTCTTAATCTAGAGAACAGACATGATACTGTCTCCTTTGGTAGAGTGATTTCAGGATTATGGAGGGTGCCTAGCATAGCATCCAACAGAAATTAGAGATCATGGCTCTCACATGTGTGACATAGAGGACATGGTCATACAGCAACTCCAGCTGTCCTCACCCCACTGCCACTTCCAGAAATCACAGATTATGAGCATCCTGATAGGGCTTCTGTTTGTTAAAACAGCAATAAAAGAACATTTATATAATAATTTTATTGCTTCCAATAAAATGCTTTTAAAAAGTCATGTAAAAGACTCATATATAGCAGGGCACAGTGGCTCACACCTGTAGTCCCAGCACTTCTGGAGGCCAAGGTAGGTGGAATTCTTGAGTCCAGGAGTTTGAGGTCACCCTAGGCAACATGGTGAAACCCCGTCTCTACAGAAAATGCAGAAACTAGCTGAGCATGGCGGTGCACACCTGTAGTCCCAGCTATTCAGGAGGCTGAGGTGGGAGGATCAGTTGAGCCCGGGAGGTTGAGGGTACAGCTTCAACCGAAAAGGAAACCCTATACCCATCTAGCAGCCGATCCTCCTCCTCCCGACCCCGGCTCTGAAAACCACCAATCTGCATTCTGTCTCTATAGATTTTCCTATTCTGAATGTTTCCTATAAACGGAATCATATACACTTTCACTTCCCTTCTCTCACTTAGCCTGTTCTCAAGGCTCGTAGATGCCGTGCTGAGCATCAGTGCTTCCTTCCTTCTCGTGGCTGGACAATATGTCATCGTACTGCCCTTCCACATCCGCATTCTGTTTGTCCAATCATCTGTCGATGGCCACCTGGGCTGTTTCCACCTTCGGGTTACTGTGAACATGTGTGTGCATGTATTTGCTTGGATGCCTGTTTTCCATCCTCTTGGGTCTGTACCTCTCCGTGGAATTGCTGGATCCTAGGCTGACTCTCTGTTGAACCGTTTGAGGAGCTGTATTCGACAGCAGCTGAAGCATTTTCCATTTCCGCCAGTCATGCGCGAGGGTTCTGAATTCTCCACACCCTTACCAACACTTGTTACCTCCCAGCTGTGTTATTGTAGCCATCCTAGTGGATGTGAAGTGGTGCTTCACTGTGGTTTTGATTTGCACTCAATAACTATTTTTTATTTCAAATATTATCTATGTTCACTGTAAAAAACTAATAGCAATTTTATTTTTATTTACTTAAAAATAAATGAATTTTTCCCAGCTTCCTCAGAGATGTACAGGCTCCTCTGGGCTCATATTTCCCCCTTGCTTACCTCATGCATGTTGGTTCATCTGCCTGTCCTTCCAGGGGACCGCGAGCCCCTCGAAAACAGTTTGTGTCAGAACCTCCAGCATCCAGTCACTCATTCAACAGGCATTTATTAAAAGCCTACTATGTCAAAATAGGAGCAGAGAGCAGTAAACAAATTCTGGTGCATCTCCCCATAGAACTTACCCTCTAGTGAAGGAGACACAATAACTATTCAATGCATAAAAGATCTGTGGGTTGTGGAGAAAAATCATTTTGGGGAGGGAAAGCATGAAGCTGGAGAGAGTGAAATGCACCCCACATCTGGATGGCCTGGCCCCAGGCCTGTTCCCCTGGACACTGGTCACTCAGGCAGCACCACCTCTCCTGGCCCTCAATCCGTCTGTCCTTGCCTTCGAGGGAGGACCAGACATGACAGCAAGAAATTCCAAAGGAAAACAGACTTCACTCTGAGGACAGCGAGGAATCATCAAAGAGCCCTCCTAACTCGTGCTAGCAGCAGTTACTCAGCATCCATGAGCCTTGAGAACAGGCTAAGTGAGAGAAGGGAAGTGAAAGTATGTATGATTCCGTTTATAGGAAACATTCAGAACAGGAAAATCCATAGAGACAGAATGCAGATTGGTGATTTTCAGGTCCTGGGTGGGGAGAAGGGGCATCAGCTGCTAAATGGGTATAGGGTTTCCTTTTTGGGTTAAAAAAATGTTTTAGAACTGGATAGAGGTGGTTGCATAACATTGTGAATGCACTGAAGGCTGCCGAACCATTCGTCACTGGAGAATGGTTAATCTTACATTATGCCAATGTCACCTTCGATATGTTATTGACAAATTTTAAAAATCATCCTGATCACTTTGAAATGATCAAAGTACGTGATGACAAAATGACAAAGTTGCCACACTAATAAGATACCTAGATACCTTTAACTACCTCATTGTCAGTGCATCTCGTTATTGAGCAAGTTACCTGATAGAGGAGAAAGCTGGGGTTTGGGGAGTGGGAGATGATGGCTTGGCATCTTTTTTAGTCTCGTCCATGTATCTGACATACAGCCATATGCCACATTTCATACAGTTGCTGCATAGATTTCTGCAAAACTTTAACTTCTCCTTTTATCCATAATGCATATTTTCTGGGTGCCGGAGTTACCGTTGCTCTTTGAGCAGGTTCATTCAGAGCAGAACCCTCCTGTGAGAGGGATGCTTTCCCTTCAGTTAATCATCGAGAAAATGGAGATGTTCCCATTTAATTACTGTCGTTTCTTTGTAGAAGTACTGGGTCAGCTTTCGTGTGGCCTTTTGCTTTAGAAATGAAAGAAAGAGAAATACATATTCATGCCTATGAAATAGCGGGAGCTTAAAACTCATCATCAGCCCCATCTTCGTACTTGAGCTTTCCTCTTACATTTCCAATTTTCTTTGAGATATTCCCATTCACATACCTTCATGTTCCTATAACTACCACATGTCTAAAGGTGAAGCTGTCTTTTTGCCAGTCAGACATAGGCTTGAGAGTCATTCCAGCTGCTGCCAGCTGTATGGCCTCAGTCAGCCCTCAGAACCTCCGTTTCCACCCTTGTCAGGTGAGGATGGTGATGGCTTTCCGAGGACTGTTGTGAGGATTCAAAGGGGTGCTGTGGTGTGCAAAGTACCTCATGTGCTTTTGGCGTGTGGTGTGTGTGCAGAGGTGTTTTTTCCCCTTCCTATCTCAGTCCTTAAACCACTTCACCCCTATTTTTGAAATCCTCTTATAAAAATCTGTGGCACAACCATTAATCCTTTACCTAATTGTCAGTGTCCTGCTTATGTCCCAAGAGCCTTAGCTCTTTCTTTATTCCTGTGCTCTGTGTCACATGGATATTGACATGAATCCTGCATACTCTGATCTCAAACTGATTGTTAACAAGTTTTTTTTTTTTTTGAAAGCTATGAACTGTCACTTAGATTCTTCTGTGTCCTGTGTGACCTGGTACCATTGTGAAAATACAGGCAGCTGCCAGTGAATACTCCTGTCTGATTGATTCAGCTACCTTTTTTGGTCTTCAGTACTATAATGGCGAGATCATGCGTTTTGCATTCGAACAAGCTAAGTAGCAATGATGCTCACTGGGAGGTGGAGGACAAGTTGCTTTCTCTCCCCAACTGTTGAGTGGAGGCAGCACCAGTTCTTGGCTCAGCTGGGAGGGAGTGGGGCAACATGTCAGGCCTAGGCCCAGTGCAGGGCTTCAGATGTGGCAACTGCCATTCTTTCATTGGATGAGGAGGCTGTATACACATTTGGAAGAAAAAGACGGATAGGCAAGTTGGCTAAGCTCTAGGTGCAGGTGTCTAGAAACCAGCACTCCCATTCCGCAGAGCTGCCTGCTTGCTTTCTTGCTGCGTGTGACCTTCCAGACCCCAGCTCAGTATCTGAAATTCCTCATGCTGGAGGAGTGGAGGATCTTCTCACACATGTTGCCAGACCCTGAGATGTCTGGGGAAAATATTTCCCTAGAAACACTACTCATGATACTCATGCCTTCCCTCCCTTCTTTAACCATATTCTGTCGGACTGCTTGCACACGCTCCTGTGTGTGTTCACAGTCCTGACTCCCTGTGGGAGCTTGAGCTCCCTGGAGGTGAGGACCATGTGTCCACTCCGGTCCCGACCCTGGGTGTGACTGAGAGCATGGCCTTCCAGGAGGAACGACTTTTCAATCATTGTTGCATTTGGCACCCTAGAGGGTTAGGGCTGGAGGGAGATCACCTTTTCTGGCTTCTCTTCTTTCCAGTTGAGTTTTGTTGGTCTAAGCTCACATCTGGATATTGGTGTGATGGCACTCACTGCTGATGCCCAGCCAGGCTGCTGGGAAGGGAACCATGGGACCTGATGGGCATGCGTTATTGCACAGGGGTTGATTTTGGGGAGCTTTCGGTCATGCCTTTTGGGCATCATGATGAGTGTTATCGCACTGAGGTTGCTATTCCAGCTGGACTCCACACCACCTGGTCGTAGGTGCACATATGCAGAGTGTGCTGCGGTGCATGCAGGCGGGGCTCCTGGAGGAGTTATGGGCAGCATGGACAGTCAGGGCACCCTGGCTGCTCCAGACATCGAGGGAGGCAGGATCATGGCGCTTAGCAGAGGCAGCAGCGTGAGCAGAGAAAAGTGCAGACGTAGGAAGCAGTTGGGTCTCACTGGGTCATATCAGGGGTGGGTACAGTGAGGGGTGAGGGATGATTCTGGGGAGGTAGGCAGAGGCACCAGGATAGAGTGGCTGATAACCTGGGCTCCGGGCAGGTTGCTTTGGTTTGAACTGTGGCTCTGCTCCTGCCTTGCAGATAATCTCAGGTAAGATACTTGAGCTCTATGGACTTCAGCTTCCTCATCAGTCAAATGAAGATAATGGTAGTTCTTCCCTTCCCTTCCCTCCTTCCCCGCATCCCCCCCTCCCCTTTGCTTCCCTTCCCTCCTTGCCCCCTTCCCCTCCCTCCTTCCCCCTTCCCTTCCCCTCCTCTTCCCTTCCCTTTCTTTCATTTCTTTTTCTTTTGACAGACACTCATTCTGTCACCCAGGCTGGCGTGCAGTGGCGTGATCTCAGCTCACTGCAACCTCCATCTCCCAGGTTCAAGTGATTCTCCTGCCTCAACCTCCCGAGTAGCTGGGCCTACAGGCATGCACCACCATGCCTGGCTAATTTTTTTGTATTTTTATTATTTTATTTTGTTTTTATTTTTATTTCTTTTGAGACGGAATCTCACTCTGTCATCCAGGCTGGAGTATAGTGGTGCGATCTTGGCTCACTGCAACCTCTGCCTCCCGGGTTCAAGCGATTCTCTTGCCTCAGCCTTCCCAGTAGCTGGGATTACAGACACACGCCACCACGCCTGGCTAATTTTTATATTTAGTAGAGACGGGGTTTCATTCAGGTGAACTGTCCACCTCGGCCTCCCAGAGTGCTGGGATTACAAGTGTGAGCCAGTGCGCCCAGCCTAGTACTCATTTTATAAAGGGAGTGTTGGCATTGAATCTGTTTATCCATTAAAACATTTGGCACATTTCCTAGTGCATAGTAAGTACTTACACATAAGGCATTACCTTATTACGAGCAAGGCCAGGTATTGTGGCCCCATCATCCCAGCAGCCTGCTCATGCTAGACTAGAGAGAGGCAGGGGCTGCTGCTGGTGGGGGTGAGAGATGATGCGGGCTTGAGCCAGGAGTTAGGTATGGGCAGGAGAGGCTGTATACGGGGGACATTCAGGTGATAAAATGGACACACATCAGGGATTGGCAGGACATGGCGGGGTGGATTTTGGTTCCTGACTTGTGTGGCTGTGGATGGAGGGAAGAGTGGCAGGCCCATGCGGAGTTCCACCTGGACTCGCTGAGGCTGTGGGCCTGTGCTGCACGGAGGCCCAGGAGACCATGCCTAGCTGTCCAGCCAAGTCTGAGCTAGAGACAGAGACATGGCTGTTAGTACCAGGCAGGGGAGAAGACAGCCACAGAATGTCAGCAGCCACTCAAGGCATGATCCTGTGGGAGAGGAAATTGGGCCATTGCTGAATTCTGCATCCCAGCGTCTGAGGGATGGGAAAATGCAGAGCTGTTCACAGAAGAGCCTGAAGAGGAAGAAGGAAGAAGGATGGGTGGCAGAAACCAAGGCATTGTCCAGAAAAGATATACACGATTAATAGCAGGGAGACCCAGCAGGAGAAATGTGAAAAATAGCCCCTGAATTTGGCAATGTGGATTTGTTGACGACTTAGGAAATTTTTAGGGGAAGTTTCTATAGAGTTTATGGGCAGAAGCCAAATTATGTGCTGAGGAGCCACTGGGGTACAGTGAGCAGCAGATGCAGTCCCTCTTTTGTGAAGTTTGGTTGTAAGCATTGGGAGAGAATGAGTCAAAGATGAGGTGTGGCTCTCGTGCATCTCCGTGTCCCCACTGCCTGGAGCCGCCCTGGCTTGTGGGGGTGGTCGCTGTGTTTGCTGAGTACATGTGGGTGCTGGGTGACTTCTCCCCATTTGTCTGCCACATATTTTAATAAAAGCTACACAGCATAGAGATTTTACTCCTTCTAAACTTTTTGTATCTTGTCTTCACGAACGAGTTAAATTAGCAATTCTTTTATTAGGTGAGATATTTTTAGTTTCTCTAAAAATTTCTCCTCCTTTCCATTTGTTAATTAATGCTAAACCTTCTTTTTAAAATATAGTTTGTAAGTCAGTTCTCTTTTTACAACTCTCTTCTTGCTCCTGGAGTTAATAGGCTTTTGCATTGACCTTATCCATGTTTGGAGACCTGAATGAATAATTCTATTCTGAGTCCCCTCCCCTCCCCCTTATCTCCCTTGAAAGGCAATTTATTGAAACAAAGGCTACAATAACTATTGGGAAATCTGGATGTATTCTGAAGGTATAGTCAGGCTGAACTGATTTCTGGACTCAGACGTTTCCCTAGATGCTGGCTGCCATGTGAGATGCACCGCACAGCGTTCCCCTGTCTGGTCCATCTGCCCGCCACCCTCTCCGTTTCCCACCAAAGTCATTCATTCAGCGCTTCATTCAGTTATTCATTATTTCATTCGGCACTCAGATAGCAGCAGACTTGGAATTGATTCGCTTTGGTGGAAAATGGCAATACCATCCAGAAAACTGGACACAGAATCTCTGCTCCATGTCCGGCAGCTACTGTTGTTTTCTGCTGAATGCTGACTAGGCCCAGGACTGCAGGCTAGGTTATGGGCATTGGGAGAGACTAGTCCCTCACTTCAAGGCACTCACAGCCCAAGTTAGAAACTCGAGGAATTTGGCTTTGAAAGTCACCGTGAGGCAGACCAAGCTGCTGTGCTTCTGGAGCTGAGGGTTGATGGCCCTGGAGTGGGGGCTGTGGAGTGGGTAGCAGCTCTGCACAGGGCTGGCGGGACTGGTGGTTGGCAAGCCCTCTGCGTGCATAGCTGCCACCTTCTTGCAGGAACTGGGCAGGTCTCCAGAGCTGAAAGAGTGTGGACTATGTTTTTAAAAAATTATTTTAAAAAATTGTGGTAGAATACAAATAATGTAAAATTTACCATTGTAATAATTTCTTTTTTTTTGAGACAGGGTCTTGCTCTGTTGCCCAGACTGGAGTATGGTGGTGCAATTATAGCTAACTACAGTCTTGAACTCCTGGGCTCAAGCAATCCTCCCACCTCAGTCTCCCAAGTATCTAGGACTACAAGTGTGTGCCACCATGCCTGGCTAATTAAAAAAATATTTTCTTGTAGAGATGAGGTCTTAGCCTATTGCCCAGGCTGGTCTCAAACTCCTGGACTGAAGCAATTCTTGTGCCTCAGCCTCCCAAAGTGCTGGGAACACAGCATGAGCCACTGTGCCGGCCCCTGTAACCATTTTTAAGTGAGGAGTTCAGCGGCAAGAAGCGCATTCACATTGCTGTGCAACCATGACCACCATCCACCTCACAGAGCTTCATGCTTTTGAGTCTGCCCTCTTCCCCTCAACTGAATTATTTTGCAGCGTGGACAGGCGATATAGTTTGTTGATCTTTCATTCATTTATTTAATACTTACTGAGCACCTATTATGTATTAAGCACTGGACTTAGTTCTGGAAATACAGATCAAATAAGATAGGTACTGTCCTTAAGGCACTCAGTGTAATCAGCAGATCAATAAAGGAAGCAGTACTGGCCTAGGTTAGAGTACGTAGAAAAGCCTTCCACGCAAGCAGCATGTGGAGAAGCAGGGGGCTGACACCACGTGCTGGTTTGGGGCAAACACGAGCAGTTCAGTAGGGCCGGAGCCTAGGCATGAGGCTGAGTGTGAGTTCAGGGAGTGGCAGGAGGGGAGGGAAGAAGCAGGGTGGCAGGCTGTGGCTGTCCCCTGAATCACTCATTCTTGAAAGAGAAACCTCAGTATTTCACTCATTCTCAGTTTCGCCTGGATTCTCTCGGTACAGCTCAGTATAATTTACAGAAATAGAGTGGTAAGCCGGAAACTCAAGGCAGACAGATAGCGTCACAGCTCAGGACTAGTGTCCTAACCGGTCTGCTGGGGCTGCTGCGGGCAGCTGTGTCCACAGAGGCACCTTCAGGGAAAGACAGCTCAGGGCTCCTCTCTGCCGGACACTCGGGCTTGGCTGCGGGAGGCTGCCCGTCTGCCTGCAACCAGGCCTCTTTGTGTGTGTCTCTGCACCATGCCGCTGCTCTGGGTATCCTGGTGGCCTGCTCTGCATCTGTAGCGCCCTGCCCCCTTGCCCTTTCTGCCTTTCTCTCCTTCCCTCCCATTCTCCCCTCTCATTGCCCAAATCTAGTTGCTGAGCCATTGCCGTGCCTCTCTTGTGGCCCTGTGATATGCTGGAATGAACAGTTGTGCAGATCGGGCATCCCTAACTTGAAATCCAAAATGCTGCCAAATCCGAAACTTTTTGAGCACTTGCATGACGCCACAAGTGGAAAATTCCACACCTGACTTCATGGGATGGGTCACAGTCAAAATGCAGTCAAGACTTTGTTTCAGACACCAGATTATCAAAAGTATCATATACAGTTACCTTCAGGCTATGTGGATAAGGTATATATGAAACATAAATGTATTTCATGTTTAGACTTGGGTCCCATCCCAAAGATAGCTCATTACGTATATGCAGATATTCCAAAATGCGAAAAAAAAAAATTGGAGATGTTTCTGGTCCTGAGCATTTCAGTTAGGGGATACCTGACCTGTATCTGAAGTGGAAGACCAGGGAGTGAATCTTGACTCGGCTGCACGCTAGCTGCGTCATCCGGGGCCAGCGACTTCATCTCTTTGAGCTGCAGCTTCTACCTCTGTAAAATTGGGGTGAGAGTTACCTCGAGTGTTGTGTGTATGCGAGGTACCTGGAACACAGTAAGCACCCAGCAAATGCCTGCAGGTGATGTGTTCTCCTCCCCTGCTGAAGGGTTGGGGGAGATGGGCATTCTTGCTTTAGATGGAAACACTGAGTCCCAGCAAACTCTAGGGTCTGTCAGTTCTTAGCCATGAGACGTTTTAGCAAGTCACTGACTCCTCCAAGCCTCAACTTCCTCATCTGTAAAACGGATAAAAATAGCCACTTCTGATGAAGTCAGGCGGTTAATTTAAGCACTGGAAACATTCTGCGATGCATAGCGAGTGCTTAGGAATCTCGCTCTTGTTTCAGAACTCATGATAATCTGGTTCACTGATATCTCCTCCCTTTCATTGACTATTAAATAGGGCAGAAACTTTTTTTTTTTCAGGAATCTTCAAGCTTCCTTTTTATTTTATTTATTTTTATTATACTTTAAGTTCTAGGGTACAAGTGCCCAACGTGCAGGTTTCTTACATAGGTATACATGTGCCATGTTGATGTGCTGCACCCATCAACTTATCATTTGCATTAGGCATTTCTCCTAATGCTATCCCTCCCCCAGCCCCCCACCCCCCGACAGGCCCTGGTGTGTGATGTTCCCCTTCCTGTGTCCATGTCTTCTCATTGTTCAATTCCCACCTATGAGTGAGAACATGCGGTGTTTGGTTTTCTTTCCTTGTGATAGTTTGCTGAGAATGATGGTTTCCAGCTTCATCCATGTCCCTACAAAGGACTTGAACTCATCATTTATATGGCTGCATAGTATTCCATGGTGTATATGTGCCACGTTTTCTTTATCTAGTCTCTTATTGATGGACGTTTGGGTTGGTTCCAAGTCTTTGCTGTTGTGAATAGTGCCGCAATAAACATACGTGTGCATGTGTCTTTACAGTAGCATGATTTATAATCCTTTGGGTATATACCCAGTAATGGGATCACTGGGTTAAATGGTATTTCTAGTTCTAGATCCTTGAGGGATCGCCACACTGTCTTCACCAATGGTTGAACTAATTTACACTCCCACCAACAGTGTAAAAGCGTTCCTATTTCTCCACATCCTCTCCAGCATCTGTTGTTTCCTGACTTTTTAATGATCACCATTCTAACTGGCGTGAGATGGTATCTCATTGTGGTTTTGATTTGCATTTCTCTAATGAGCAGTGATGATGAGCGTTTTTTCATGTGTCTGTTGGGTGCATAAATGTCTTTTGAGAAATGTCTGTTTATATCATTTGCCCACTTTTGGATGGGGTTGTTTTTTTCTTATAAATTTGTTTAAGTTCGTTGTAGATTCTGAATATTAGCCTAAATAGGGCAGGAACTTCTAAAACAGGGGCCGCAGACTATTTTCCCTGGCGGCGTGAGGAAGAGGAACGTGGTCGATGCGGTGGCAGGCGATGTGGAACATTGCAGTTCATCTGTTTGGCCACACAGGGCTGCCCTTTCTCATGAAACAGTGCTTTGCACCACTGTGGGCACCTTACACAAGGCCTGTTTCAGAAATAGGATTGAGAATTTGATTTGGGTTTTTTTTGCTCCTCTTTTACATGTAATGCTCGATTTTCTTTGGATTTGCAGAGAGACTTGACTTCCTTCCTTACTTTAGCTAAATGATTTGGATGAGATTCAGAAGACATTCTGGCATTATCTATGAAATATTGCTTTATTTAAAATGCAGTACTCTCTTTCTTCCTTGCCTAATGTGCTGTATTTGTGGACATGATTTGGAGGTAGGTAGGTGGCAGACCTTTGCAGAGGAGACATCGGCAGATGTCTAAGGAGTTGGAGAGCAGTGGGATACAGGGGAAATTGCATGGGCGATGGTCAATAATTCAACAATTACCTCCTGAGGGCCTGCTCTGTGCAAGGCACTATTCTCAGTGTGTGGGATAAATCCATGACTGGAAGAAAGAAAGATTCCTGATTCCGTAGAGCCTGCATTCTGGTAGGGGTGATAGTAAATGTGGTAATAGATTTAGGCATTTTAAATCTAAATTTTCTGAAGTGGAATTTTAGGTATTAGGTATTAAGAACAAAAGAAAAAGGCAGAGGAAGAGACTTGCAGGCTTGGCGGCGGCGGGCGGGGGAGGTTACTGTGTTGTGGGCAGCAGGACTTAGGCACCCAGCCTGGCTCTCCACTTCCCGGGTCCGTCCCTGGCAGGGAACTTCCGCCAAGGGCAGAGACTCTGTCTTACACATGCTGCAACTTCAGTGCCTACACTTCAGCGTCTGGATGTTCATAGGTGTTCTTCCAGTAGCTGATGGATGATGGATGAATACATACATGCATCTAAGGGAAGTCACTTGACATTCTTGAGCTCTCATTTGTTAAGTTGTAAAATCGTGTCAAATAAGTTCTTGTTTCCAACTTTAGGGGAAGAGATGATATGAATCCAGGGTAGTGTTTGGCATATAGTAGATGCTCAAGACAATGTTACTTCCATTCTGGGGACAGCCTGCCCACTGTCCACAGCAGGGGAGTCTGGGTGGCTCCGGAGCACAGATGCTGCTCAGCTTGCAGGACTAGAATGGGAAGGTTGTAGTTATTTATCAAATATCGTTTACTTTAGAAGTAACATAATTTTAAAATAAACATTTAAATTTATTAAACATATATGTAGTTCTTATTGCTGCTGTAAGAGATACTATAAACTCAGTGGCTTAAAACAACACAAATTTGTTATCTTGCAGTTTTGGAGGCCAGAGGCCTCAGTAGGTGAAACGCCTTCACTCCCAGCACTCTTGGGGAGAGTCTGTCTCCCTGCCCTCCTGGCTTCTGCAGGCTGCCTGCATCTCTTGGCTTGTGGCTCCTTCCTCTGCCTCCAGAGCTTGCAGTGTTGCACATTCAGTTTCCTCTGACATTCCTGCTTCCTTCTTTCCCTAATAAGGACCCTTGTGATTATATTGAGAGCCTACTAGGATAAGCCAGGATAATCCCCTCATCTCAGAATCTTCATCTTAACCACATCTGCAGTCCCTTCTGTATGTAAGGTCACATTTCACAGGTTCTTGGGATTGGGATGTGGTTATATTTGAGGGGGGGCTGTTACTTGGTCTACTATCATATACAAACCTTTTGACTAACAATTTCATGTCGAAGAAAAAAATGGATGAATGCACCAAGATGTATATATTAGGTTATCTGTTATAGCATTATTTATAATACCAGGGTTATCAGAAGCAACATAAATGTCCAACAACAGGGAATGAAATTATGACATATGACCATTAAAAATAAAGGTCTAGAAAGACTATTAACATAGAAAAATACCTATGACTTAAGAAATAAAAGGCAAGTTATAAAACAGTGTGAATGATATGATCCTGTTCTTATAAAAATATGCATTTATATATATGTGCACAGAAAAATGTCTAGAAGAATATACACCAAGATGTTAACAAGGGTTATTTCTGTGTTTTGGGATTATAGGCAATTTTTCTTCTTTTTGCTTTTCACTGTTTCCTAATGTTTTGACAGTGAAAATGCATTAGTCTTAGAAAAAGAACCCCCTCCTTTTTTTTTTTAAAGAAAGATTACTGAATTTAGTGAAAAAGAAAATGTATGATCGAACACAGAATTGGTATCTGAGAGTTTCACTCATTGAAAATGAGTTGGATTTTTATTTTAATTGCATTCTTAGCCCCAGATTGGACGACAGTCCCCTTGCTTAGCATCTCTCATGGTGTTACATGGAATCTCATTGTTCTGCTCCTGAATCTTCCCAGACCCCTGCACTCATTTCGTCATTCGTTGAGGGTGGATTGGTTCCTCCCTCCCTTCTCCTCCCTCCCCTCCACCTGGTCCACAGAAAGAAGAGAAGGAAGGCTTTTGAATGGAAAAGGGAGGCTTCTGAATGGAAAAGGGAGGCTTCTGAATGGAAAAGGGAGGCTTTTGAATGGAAAAGGGAGGCTTTTGAATGGAAAAGGGAGGCTTTTGAATGGAAAAGGGAGGCTTTTGAATGGAAAAGGGAGGCTTTTGAATGGAAAAGGGAGGCTTTTGAATGGAAAAGGGAGGCTTTTGAATGGAAAAGGGAGGCTTTTGAATGGAAAAGGGAGGCTTCTGAATGGAAAAGGGAGGCTTCTGAATGGAAAAGGGAGGCTTCTGAATGGAAAGGGAGGCTTCTGAATGGAAAAGGGAGGCTTTTGAATGGAAAGGGAGGCTTTTGAATGGAAAAGGGAGGCTTTTGAATGGAAAAGGGAGGCTTCTGAATGGAAAAGGGAGGCTTTTGAATGGAAAGGGAGGCTTTTGAATGGAAAAGGGAGGCTTTTGAATGGAAAGGGAGGCTTTTCCAATGTTTCCTGCAGCACAATAGCTTTCTGCTCATTTTATTTGGGCCTCTGCTTTTTTGAAGCTCTCCCCTTCTTGCATTAAATTTTTGTCATTCTGTCTGCTTTCACACCTTTTTATTTTAGCATCTTCTCTGCAATATCTCCATTCCACAGCTCCTCTGACAGCCCTCATATTGTATCAGTGGCGGTACTCTTTTCTTCATGGTTGTAACTTAGAAACAGACGATTTTTCTTCATCTCTCTGAGCCTGAGGCTGCATCTTCTGTTTCTGCAGAGGTCATGGAGGAAGCAGGGCTGGAGCTCCACTGCTTCAGCAGTTCCATTCGAATATTACAGAACTCCGAGGCTCCCGCTGCAGAGACAGGCTATGGCCAGATTTCTTTCAGGAATCATGTGGTCTTTCTCTTGTATGATAGAAGAAGGAAAATAAATATGTAATTAAAAAATAATTTGTTAGTATTTCTACTTGCAGTGATAATAACCCAAGTTTCACAGAGTACTTTTGTATCCATTTTTCATTTGAGCCTCGCAGGATCCCCGTGTGGGAGCATTATCATTATTTTCACTTTTCAGAGCAGAAACTGAGGCTTTAAGATGTTAAATGATTGCACTGAAGTTACATAACTAGTGAATGTCCAGGTTGCATTGAATGCTTCCGTCACCTTGCTCCCAGGTTGGTGCTGCCAGATGTCTGTGTGTTTATCATTTTCTTCAGGGGATCATAGGCTACACGAAGCAGGTGGTGGCGGGAGGTGTTGAGCATGCGGATGGTAGCCTGGTGTTGTGGTGGTTCTCTTCTGATTCACCCAGCTGTCTGCATCGAATGTTACCCCTTCATTTAGCAAGGAGTGAGCTGAGGCTCAGAGAGGTCAAGAAGACTGTCCTCAATTATACAGCTAACATGACTGGAGGGAGCTCGGGCCCCCCAGTTCCAAACCTCACCACTCCCTTCCCCTCCATGTGTTCCTTGTGGGCCATAAGCAAGTGTATTGACTGTTATGCCTCCCCAAGCAAGTTATACCCTTGATCGTCAGTAGTGGCTCTCAGATAAGTTATTTTAAAGGTTTGCAAGTGTCTTTGAAAAAGAGAGATGATATCTTTGTTTTGTTAGAACATAACCCCTTTCCCATGAGGCATTGCCAATCCATTTGGCAACTGTTGCAAAAATCAAATTATACATTCAATTGGTTTAGCTATCCTGCTTTTTTGGACATTGATGGACAGCCAGGGGGTCCCATGTCAATAGACCCAAAGAAATGTATCTTTTTTGGCTGAAGGGTTACGTATTAAAACAAACGAGATTGTCCTTTTAATTTATTAAAGAGATTTCTTAGAGCCCGAGGGTTGGAGGCAGCCTGCATGATCGCCTGTGTGATCATCTGCGAGCTCCCCTCCGTTGTAACATGGATCTTCTCTGCATCTCTTTCCCTTGTTCCCGGCTTTCATGTAACAGGTGTTCAACGAACACTCTTGAACATCAGGAATCTAGTTGAAGCTGTAGCAAAGGCAGGGCTGTGTGGTGGCTGTGGCGTCCTGCTTGGTAACAGCCAGTGGTGGGAGCACACGCTTTTTCCCGTAGCTACCACCCGCAGCTTCCACTCATGGGTCCTGGTCCCTGCCTTTGGAGCCTCACCAAGTCGGCCTTAGCAGCTCCTAATCCTGAGGCGAGGGAGTCTGGAGTCCTTCTCTCCTAAGCCTCTCTGTCTTTGAGTCAAATGGCCCCGGTGGAGAAACCCATTGTGATCTCCTCACCCCTTTTATGGTATTTACCAATGAAACCTTTTGTCGTTTTAACTTGTAGCCCCCAGAATCCACCCATCCCTTGAATACGCCTTCCAGTCGTGAGATATTTATTGAGCCTCGGCTGAGTGCCAGGGATGGCCACTAAGAAGCCTGTCCGGGTGAAACTCACAGTCCAGTAGGAGAAGATACTCAACAGAGGATTCTAACAGGATGCCCTACATGGTATGCTAGGATACTGACAAGGCACAGTGGAGCCCGCAGGAGGGAACTGGCCATTCCTACTCGAGAGTTACAGTGATAAAGATTTTGCTTAACAAATACTTTATTGAGTGCCTTCTCTGTGCCAGCCATGTGCTGGACAATAGGGACATGATGACATGGTGCCTTCTTCCATGGGTTTATAGTCTGTAGACATAGTAATTTAATTCAAATGAGGATATTACTTCAAACTGAGATAAAAGCTGTGAAGAAAAGGGATGTGATTTCATAGGCAGGCCTAGACAAGGGTGTAAGACCAGGTTTTTCTGGGGAGATGAAGTGCAAGCTGAGATCAGAAGGATGAGTAATCGTTAGTGAGTTGAAAGGAAGAGAGGGAGAATGCTCAAAGCAGAGGTGGCAGAGGGCTAGGAGGTGGGAGCAGTGGTGGGGGAAGAATTGAACACACAGTTTTAGAGGCCACAGTGGGGTTGGGTATTATTGATCATCAGAGCAACGGGAGCCTTTTCAGGACTGCGCTTGAGGAGGAGCAAGACAATGAGATTTGCACCCCAGCTGCTGGATGGGGAGGCCAGTGTGGAGGCGGAGGGGGTCAGTGAAGAGACTGTTGTACAAGATGAGGGAAAACATGGTGATAACTTGGAATAAAGTGGATGTGGAGCCAGAGAGAAATGGGTGGATTTCAGAGACACTTGGGAAGAAGAAAAGGACATGGAGAGAGGTGATGAAATCAGTAATGGCTCACAGATTTCTGGCCTGGGCGTTGGATGGGGAGTGGAATCGTGCTTGAGCTAGGGCACGTGGGAAAGGAAAGGTGTTCTCTTTTTATTGGCAGAGGTAAGGTAGAGGCGATCATGAGTTTAGTCCTAGATCTGGCGAGTTTAGGGTGCCTTTAAAACATCCAAGCAAAGTCGACAGCTGTATAAACAAATCTAGAGCTCAAAGGTGATGTTTGAGCTGACTCTTGAGAAAATGATTGGGTGGTTTCCAGGTAAATAGTAGGGAAGGGTGTTCAAGGCACTCTGAGGCAGACGGTGTCACATAAGCAAACGTAGAAGGCTTGAATGAGCTCTGGGTGCCAGTTAGAGCATGGGGTATGTTACAAAAGATGCGAATGGAGAGAGGTGGGCTCAGGGCAGATCCTGGAGAATCTTTGATACCCTGTGAAGAAATTTGGACTTGATCCTGAAATGTATCTGCGGCTATTGAAAGGTTTTTAGCAATTGAATGTTATAATCAAATTTGCACTTTAGAAAAATCACTGTGCTGGTCAAGTGAAGGATTGATTTGATGAGTCATTCATTTATTCATTCATTCATTCAACAATGCCATATGTAATATACTATACGCAGGTGCTGTGTTAAATGCTGTGAAACAAAGGTCAATAAGGCAGAGACAATGCCTTTAACGAATTGATTGTCTATGGAGAAAGACAGAGCCATAAACATAACATTAGAATATAGTATGGTAATTGTAATGATACACATGTGCACAGAGTGTTGATAGCATAGGAGAAAGGAAGCTTACCTACATTGCATTTAGGGAAGTTTTCTAAGATGAAATCATGCAATTTAAAAAGAATGATAGGGGCAAATGAATGGTCATAGCAATTGCATTCCAAGCAGAAGGGACAGAAAGAACAAATCATGGAGGGAAGAAGTAACAGCGTATGTTAGGAAATCTTAATCAATTTGTTGCCAGAAGTCAAAGGGCAAAGCAAAACTGGTGAGAAATGAGGAGGGGCCTGTGCTTGGACAGTGTCCTGTAGTCTGAGGAAAAAGCTGTGACATCATGAGCTTTGCATTTTAGGAAGATCACATTAGGAGCTGTGGGGAGAATGGATTTGCAGGCAAGAGACTGAGGGTATCCTTTCATGATACAAATCAGCAGGAAACAGAACCAAAGTCTCATTAGAAATAAAGGTGAAATTCCTTAAATGGATAAAGGATAACTTTGAAAAACCCTCAGCTAACATCACACTTAATGGTAAAAAACAAAGGGTTCCCTCTAAAATTAGGAATAAGATAGGAATGTCCACTCCTGCCACTTAGATTCAACATTGTGCAAAAAGGTAATAATTGTGTTAGAAAATGAAATAAACAGCATCCAGGTTGGAAAGGAGGAAGTCAAATCACCTCAAAAATAGCAAAATAATTAGGAATAAACCTAACAAAAAGAATTGCAAGACTTGTAAACTGACCACCATAAAAACATCACTGAAAGAAGTTAAACAAGACCTATTAATGTAAAGACATACCATGCTCATGGATCAGAAGACTTAATATTATTAAGATGGCAACATGGCCGGGCGCAGTGGCTCATGCCTGTAATCCCAGCACTTTGGGAGGCCGAGGCGGGTGGATCACGAGGTCAGGAGATCGAGACCATCCTGGCTAACATGGTGAAACCCCGTCTCTACTAAAAAAAAAAAAATACAAAAAATTAGCCAGGCGTGGTGGCAGGCACCTGTAGTCCCATCTACTTGGGAGGCTGAGGCAGGAGAATGGCGTGAACCTGGGAGGCGGAGCTTGCAGTGAGCTGAGATCGCACCACTGCACTCCAGCCTGGGTGACAGAGCAGGACTCCATCTCAAAAAAAAAAAAAAAAAAAAAAAGATGGCAATATTACCCAAACTGATTTACAGGTTCAATGCATTCTCTATCAAAAGCTCATTTTTTGGTAGAAATTGACAAGCTAATCCTAAGAGTCACTTTTTTTTTTTTTTTTTTTTTTTAAAGCTTAAGTTCCTGGGAGAATGGCTTCATGCACATAGTTAACTTAATGAATAGTCAACATGTATTAGACACTATGCTGTCCGAGGCTTTTTTCTAATCCTTTTATGTGTGTTAACTACTCTTTATAGGGAGCCTATCAGTCCACATAACTAGGCGAGGAAATGGGAAATAACCAGCCCAAGGTCATAGAGCTGGGAAGCAAGGAGAGCAGAATTGCAGCCATTCCGGCTCCCCAGTGCGTGGTCTTAGCCTCCATGGAATATGGCTCTTTTCCCAGGGCAAAAGTGAATGCCAGAGCAGTGTGGGGTGTGTCGAGGCTGAGGTGCTGAGCAGGCAGTTGACATCACATCTAGAAGTAGGAGAGAGAACTAGGGTTGTGGTAAAGATTTGAGTGTCATTGGCATGAAGACAGATATTGCTGTCATTGTGGGGTGGAGATCACTAGAATGTCAGGTGAGGAGAGCAGTTAGCTGATGACGGACCTTCTGGGTCACAGGAACTGAAAGAGTATTATGGGTTGAATGACATTCCCACCGCATTCCTGTGTTGAACTCTTAACCCTCAGCACCTCAGAATGTGATCTTACATGGAGAGTCTTTACAGAAGTCATCCAGGTAAAATGAGGTTACTAGGGTGGGCCCTAGTCCAATGTGCCTGGTGTCCTCATAGAAAGGGGACATTTGGAGGCAGGCTCACGTACAGGGAGGGCACATGGGAGCCTGAAGATGCCGTCTGCAAGCCAAGGAGAGAGGCCTCTGAGGAGCCAATCCTGCCGATGTCTTGATCTGAGCCTTCTGGTCCCCAAAGCTACAAGGCAAGGAATCTGTGTTGCTTCCACTGCTGGGTTTGCAGCCTTTATCACAGCAGCCCTCCCAGTCTAATACAGAGCGGGAGGAAGGATGTCCCATAGGGAAGCTCAGCAGGGTCAGAGTCACCATGGGACGGAACCCCAGGCCTGCTGTGAGTCTGAGCCCGGAGGCCTGAGATTACAGCTGCTGCCTAGGGGCAGCTTTGATGCTGATGCCACCTGAGGCTGTGCTCCCCACCAGCGCTGAGTTGTGCTCCTGGCCCCCCTTGAGGAGAAGTAGGGGTGTCAGATACCTTCCCTCGTTCTTTATCCCCTCCCCTGCTGTCAATCTCCACTTCCCCATTTCTGTTCCGGTGCAGCTGATTTTTTTGAACCTAAATGTGGGAGCTAGACGAGTCTCTGTTAGCTAAATGTCATCTTGCTGGTTTTGGTTCTGTGTATCAGCCAGTAGAAGTCGTTTATAATTTCAGCTCTGCTGTCTTTCAGGATAGCGTTCCCTACAGACCTGTGGTGTCCACAGCATTGAAACAAACATACTTCTTTTGTCCTTATTTGAAGTCACTGAGGAAAAACAAAAACAAGCTGCAAGACACGGTGACAGAGGGGTGGCCGAGCCTGGAGGCTGCGTTGAGGGTCTTCCTCCTCTTGCCTCTGGGTCCCCGGACCCTTGAAGCTGTGCTCATCCGATTTCTTCCTAGGTTCATCTTCTCCCCAGGCCCCTGGGATGTGGGTGCTGCCCAGGGTCTGGTTGTCACCCATGTGATCTTTACACCTTCCTTTCCCTGCGTGGATGATCTCATCTCCTCTCTGGTTCCAGCTCCTGCCTGCTACTATCAGTGCCCCTTTGGATGAATCCTTTAGTCTATTTAGTATCCATCCCAACCAACTCTTGGGCTTCAGTTTCCTCATCTACAAAATGAGGATAATAATACGTACACATGAGGTTCAATGATTAAATGAGATAATTTTGTTTTTTTGAGACAGTGTTTTGCTCGTGTTGCTCAGGCTGGAGTGCAGTGGCGTGATCTCGGCTCACTGCAGCCTCTACCTCCTGGGTTCAAGCGATTCTTCTGCCTCAGCTTCCTGAGTAGCTGGGATTACAGGTGCCTGCCACCACACCTGGCTAATGTTTTGTATTTTTAGTAGAGACAGGGTTTTGCCATGTTGGCCTGGCTGGTCTCGAGCTCCTGGCCTCAGGTAATCTGCCTGCCTCAGCCTCCCAAAGTGGTGGGATTACAGGTGTGAGCAACTGCATCTGGCCTAAATAAGATAATAGTAGAGAACTTGGCCACAGTGCCTGGTACATGCTAAGCCCTTAAGACCTGATCACCATCATTATAACCACTGCCACTGTCATCATGTGACACACATCTCTCATCAGAGATGGACTGCCTCTATGTCCTTGCTATTGGATGGAGGCTACAAATGTTTGAGCTCTGTTCTGGCTGAGTAGGTCTCCTGGTTCCTCCTCTTACCAAGTCTTGAATCTTATGGGATTTAAATAGTGTTTTACATAACACCTAGACATACGTACATGCATGTATGTATGCATGATATACAGAGAGCCACCTCATGTAGGCTCCACTGCTCGCACTCGTACTTCATGTGCTGCGTCAAGGCGAGCAGACCTTTCAAGGAGATGAGAAGGGGATTAGTAAATATTTGCCTGGAACCGTGGATGATGACTCACGTACATTCGAGTCAGACAGCAGCCCCATGTGGTAGAGATTTTATCCTCATTTCACAAATGAGGAATTGAAGCCGTCACTAATCGCAGGGAATAATATTCTTTTTTTTTTTTTTGAGATGGAGTCTTGCTCTGTCACTTAGGCTGGAGTGCAATGGCATGATCTCTCTCAGCTCACCACTACCTCCGCCTCCTGGGCTCAAGTGATTCTCCTGCCTCAGCCTCCTGAGTAGCTGAGATTACAGGCAGGTGCCACCACACCCGGCTAATTTCTGTATTTTTAGTAGAGACAGGGTTTCACTGTGTTGGCCAGGCTAGTCTCGAACTCCCGAGCTCAAGTGATCCACCCACCTTGGCCTCCCAAAGTGCTGGGATTACAGCTGTGAGCCACCACACCTGGCCCCGGGGAATAATATTCTCATTCCTATTTGAGAGCTCAAGGATCCTGCATTTGTTTTTGAACTTCCTGGTCCATTGGAAGTGGCTTGTCTTCTAGGCCCGTGCTGACCATGCTGCTGTTGGGACTCATTAGTCCTTGTCTGCAGGTAGACCAGAGCAATGGAACGAGATCAGAGGGTGACATCTCGGATGCCTGCAGGGGCACGCGGATGCTTGTCCTGCCACCTGGAAAGCTTTTTCTTATGTATTAGCGCCACAGGACAAACTGGTTTAGCCCAGCAAAGCACACACTGAAATGTAAAAGCCTTGTGCTCTTTTTTGTTTTAAAGACAGTGAACATAAGAAGAAACCCACCCCCAAATGCATTAGCTTCTTCAGGAAGCATCATCAATAGAACATGGCTATAAATAATGGCTGTAAATTAACAATTTGCAATCCCAATAAAGTATGAACAGATTACAACAACAAATAGAAAAACTGAACCCAAGAATGAGAATAACTCTATCCAAGTTGTTCATTATATCATTCTTGTTGTGCTGAAAACTATGAGCTTACTAGTCCCCAAAATGTTTTTTATGCCTTCTGTTTTAAGGTAGGATATGAGTCTCTAAATGAATTGCTTGGCATTTTCTCTCATCTGGAGCAAGGTAGCTGGAAGGCATACCGGAAAGGAAAGCTTTCTAGGGGGAAGCTCATAGGGTCAGGGTGAGTGGGGACATGAAGCTTTCACTGAGATGTGTTGGGACTGTGGGATGTTGGCATGTAGCCAAAGGGGTTCTTGGTGCCCTGAGCTTCAATGTGGACTATTTATGGCCTTGTGGCACATTAAAATGACTCTGGACAGTGAGGATGAGATGATAAATGGACAGCTCTGAAGTTTCTTTGCATATAGTGAGTCCATGAAGGACACTGGGAATTTTCTTTTCTCTGACAATGGAAAACTTGGCATGAAAAAGAGTTTAGTGTAACTAAGCTAACTAAGCCGAGTCTAGAATGTGGGTGTGAAAGTCAGGTGAAATGTGGTTTACTCCCGTGAATGAATGATGAATGGAAATTAGCTCTGAAAATGTGGAATAACGACCGAGAGCATCATTTTTTATTAAAATGATCTGGGTGTTTACATACAAAATGTTCAGGATACATCTGACTCCTTCTGGCTGTCTGAGGGCTGTCCCTCCTCCCTGCACACTTCCCTAGCCCTGGGCCTCATGTCCTACTCGGTGGGGGCTTCCCGTGTGCGTGACAAGGGAGCACGGAGCACAGGCTCCAGGAGGCTAGGGTGTGTCTGCTTCACTGCTGTGCCCCCGGGGCCAGAGCCAGTGCCTGGCACACAGTGGGATCTCAGGAAGTGTTTCTCGAGCAGGAGAATAAGTGCATGGCTGCCTTCCCCCACCACTGAGTTCCAGGGAGAAGCCCAGCACCTCCGTGTGCCTGGCACGAGGTGGCAACGCCTTAGACCTGCCGGGTCTGGTCACAGGCTCCATGTGCTTGTCCTGAGCCGCCGCCGTGTTGCTTTGCTGAGGTCTCTACTTCGGCTCCAGTGTCATCTGTAAATTAACTCTCTGTGGCTTATTTTGAGAATCAAGTAAAGTAATCCATACGAAAATGCTTTTAAAACCGTGAAGTGTTATTAATTGAACACTGATTAAGCTGTGTCTGTCTACCACTGTCTATCACTGTCATTATGCTCATTGAAGCCAGAGTGATGTTCACTGAAACATAACTGTAATCATGTTGCTAAGTTCTGATTTAGGCTTTGATTTCTCATCTTCTTGCGCTGAAGTTATCCATGTATAATAAATATTATGGCTACTTATGAGAAAGGCATTGAAACAGGACTTCTTGTCTGACACGGCCAGCTCACCTTTCCAGTGCCGGCCACCGCACCTGAGTCTTCATGCCGGGAACAAGGCCTCACCTGCGGAATTGAGACGTTCGTGAGTTGTGAAGTTCTGCCTGTGTGCTAGGAGCGTTTGTGCTGCCCTCACTCAACAAAGGAATTCACTTAAATCTATCTTAGAGATTCATGGCATTAGGGTTGACCCAGAGGAGAGATCCAGACATCGAAAGAGGTTCTTGCCAATGGCAGCACTTAGGCTTTCCTGGATTTCCTGCATTGGTTCACGCTAACGTGTGCGTTCTAAGAAGGCAGAAATAGTCTAAGAAAACCAGGAAAAGGCAGGAACAACAAAGTGGGTATTTGGCTGTTCAATGTTGTAGGGTAGAGTAAAATATGAAACTGGAAAATGAGAGGAGGCAATAATGTAGAAAGAAAAGAAGATGCTGCTACTTTTAGTGGCAAAAACTGCAGTTACTTTTGCACCAAGCCAATAGTTTGAATAGAAATGTTGACAGAAGGAAATGAATCTTTATTGAGTGCGTGGGTAACAGGTACTTTCACATACTTTTTCACATTTAGTTATTAAAATCATATTGGAAAATAAGTGCTCTTTTCCCTGCCTTTTTTTTTTTTTTTGGTTAGAAAACTGAGGCTCATAGATATTAAGTAACTTGCCCAAGGTTATAGAGTTTATAAAATGACAGAGCAAGTAGTTTCACAGCCTGGCCCATGGGACACTGTAAGAAGCTTATGAGTTACATTCATTATGAAATATTAGAGGCATAGGAAGATGAGAGACTCAGGCAAGAGCCATCTCATTAAGGTGGAGGTCACAGTTTTAAAGGAAAATTTAAAATTCAAATTAATTACAAAATGTCATAGTTAAGAAAAGTCTTTTAAAGTAGATGTGGTTTCCAAGGTTCATGCTGTTTTTTTTAAAAAATGGAGATACATAAAGTGGCTGAAATAGAAGTTGAATTAGAAAAAATGTGTATATGCACACAATCACATGCATATACCACCCTCCCCACACCCAGCACGCATGGTTCCCACTGACAAATTCTCCTCAAGGTTGAGTGTGGGATTTAGTTCCTGGCCAAATGCGACTTGGAACCTATTCTGAGTGGGCAGATAGGTGTCTGCTGTGGCCACTGGCATCCATGCCGGGGTGGCCCCCACAGCTGCCTCCTGCATGTGCAGTGGCATGTAATGCATTTCTGAACCAGGCAGAGAAGATATTTAGAAAGTCCAGCATGTAGAAGAATTGAGTATCTGGTGAAGAATTTATTAGATATAGCCTCATAAATTCCTTAGATATATAACATTTCCAAATTCTTTGTCCTTGAAAAAAGTTGATTTTGAAAATTTGACTAGTTTATTGAACATATATCAGTTTGTTAATTGGATTGAATCACTATTATATTCCAGGTATTTTACTAGGACCTTTAATATACACTGTCCCATGTAAGGTAATAAGTACTGAGTTTAGGTGAAAGTATGAAAACAGGAGAGATGTTGAGGATGGAATTATTGAAAAGGAATTGGCCTTGAATTCTAACCAAGATAGCTAAGTAAGGTCAGGCTTTGATTTGTCCTTGCCAGCAAAAAGACTTAGGCAGTAACAGAAAACATGTGAAGGAAGAAAATAAAAAATACCTCTGAGTTAAAAAGTGAGGTAAACGTTTCATGAAATGGAAATAAAATCCAGTATGAAACAGTTAGCTAGGTTCTTGGTCCAAAAAGTTCACCAGTGACTAGGATTTTAGCATACTAAAAAAAAACAAAAACAAAAACAAAAACCCCCCAAAAAAACTAAGTGAAATATTAGCAAATCGAAATCTGCCCGAGATAAAATAAACTATGTCAGAAACAAGTAGAGTTTATCTCAGAGGTGCAAAGATGGTTCTACAGCAGAACATTTCCCAGTGTTACATATATAGTAGCAGATTGATTGAGGAAAAAATAATTTAAATTGTTACAGAATAATTCAGTAAAGTTCACCATTTATTTATAATAACAGCTCTTTTAAAACAGACTGCAAGAGAGCATTATTGGCTTAATAAAGGATGTCTGTCAAAAATCTCTAGGAAACATACTTAATGTTGAAACTCTAGGCACATTGCTTTTAAAGTCTTGAACAAGACAAGGACGTCTGCCATCAATGCTTCTGCTTGGAATTTCTCAGTTCTAGCTACTGCAATAGGGAAAAAGAGGTATATTAATTAGAATGGAAGAAACAATACTGTCCTTATTTGTAGATGAGAGGATTGTCAGTATGGAAAATTCAAGACAATCTATGGATAAACTGTTAGAATTAGAGAAAGAGGCTGGGCGCAGTGGCTTATGCCTGTAATCCCAGCACTTTGGGAGGCTGAGGTGGGCGGATCACCTGAGGTCAGGAGTTTGAGACCAGCCTGGCCAAAATGGTGAAACCCTGTCTCTACTAAAATACAAAAATTAGCTGGGTGTGACGGCACACGCCTGTAATCTCAGGTACTTGGGAGGCCCCTGAGGCAGGAGAATCACATGAACCCGTGAGGCAGAGGTTGCAGTGAGCAGAGATCGCGCCACTGCATTCCTGCCTGGGAGACAGAATGAGACTCCATCTCAGAAAAAAAAAAGACAGAGAAAGAGTTCAACAGGTTTCCTCTATTCAACATAAATTAGTAACATTCATCTAGATCCATAAAAACCAGTTAGAAAAATACAATTAAAGCTGGGTGCGGTGGCTCACACCTGTAATCCCAGCACTTTGGGAGGCTGAAGCAGGTGGATCACCTGAGGTCAGGAGTTTGAGACCAGCCTGACCAACATGGTGAAACCCCGTCTCTACTTAAAATACAAGTTAGCTGGGTGTGGTGGCAGGTGCCTGTAATCCCAGCTACTCAGGAGGCTGAGGCAGGAGAATCGCTTGAACCTGAGAGATGGAGGTTGCAGTGAGCTGAGATTGCACTGCTGCACTCCAGCCTGGGCAAAAGAGTGAGACTCCATCTAAATGAATGAATGAATGAATGAATGAATGAATGAATGAATGAAAAGAAAAATAGTCTCATTCATTAGCCAACAGTACCCTGAGGTACCTTGAAAAGAACCTCATGACGTGTACAAGACTTTATGAAGAATATTAAGAAACAATAAACATACAAAATGTAAATGTAGACCTGATGAAATAGCAAAATATACCATATTCATGGATTAGAAGACTCAATATTTTGAAGATGTCAACTTACTCTCTATTGATGAATTGCACATAACTCCTGGCAAAATTCCAACAGGAATTTAAAAATCAACTTGAGAAGTAAATGTTAGAATTCATATACTAGAAGAAGGAGCCAAGAATAGCCAAGATAAACTGAAGGATGTGGCCAAGTTAAGGGGTCTTGGCCTATTAGATATTAAGGCTTATAAAGCAATAGTAATTAAAATAGTCTTATACAGATTATTTATTTGACAAATAGACAAATGAAAGAGAATAGAAAGCCCCAAATCAGATTTATAGGTATAGAGAAGTTTGATATGCACTATGTCAGTAATTCTAGGAAGCATCTTTGTTTTATTCTTGAAGTACAGATTCATCTTACAATCTCTGGAGTTTTATAATTGTTGTCAGCCAGATGGCAGACCATACATAGTTTTATGAAAACCTTCTGATAAGAATTTTAGAATTGATGGAATATGGAATGGCATGGGGGCATTATAAATCAGTGGAAGAAAATCAGAACTTTTCATAAAAGATGCTGGGACATTTGGTTATGCATATGAAAAAATTTGAAATGCCACTAACAAAATCAGCACCCGGTAGGATAAATACACAGGTATGAATGACAAACATGTTTAAAATTTTAGAAGATAATGTAGGAGCCTGTCTTAAAGACCATGGGGTAGGAAAGAGTTTCTTAAGCTTGGCAGATAAAGCACAAACCAGGAAGGAAAAGATTGATCAGTTTGATTCTATTAAATGTTTACAAACTTCTAAGAAGGACATTATGAGCAAAATTTACATGCAAGTTACATGTGTTACGCATTTTTCTGTATATATGAAATATCCCAAACGAAGAAAAGTTAGAGAATTTCCAAAAGGGGAGGAGACGTGACTGACATATAGCCATCAGAGGACTGGTATGTAGACTATAAGAGTGAGTCCCACTGATAGATCAGTGAAAGGGAGTCAGGGAAGTGGGCAGTGCAGCTGAAGCCTGAATGAGCAGGGCACAGATCATGCTGCCAGGGCCCCTGGCATGACCATGCCCAGACTTCTGCCCAGCTGTGCTTTGATTGATGGATGCCTGTACACCACCTGGAGATGAACTATTTTTGATAATGTTCTTACAAATACTAATCAGGGAAACGCATGCTAACCAGCACACTGTCTCAGCTGCCTTTATTCTCTGTCCTGTTCCTTTCTATATTTGTGTCCCAGAGCTCACTGTGGAGCTCCAGCCACTCATTCACTCACTCCACTAACAGCTGCTTTTATCCTGGGTGCTGTGCTACTTGGATATGTAGTTTGGGTGATATGGTCCCTGCTTTCCAGAGGGTTTTAATGTATCTGAGTAGAAGAGTGAGTGAGAAGAGGAAGAAAACTCACAAGTTGGACACTACCAGGTGCGAGGCATTTTTCTTTTACTCTGTGATTTATTCCTTATAGCAGCTCTCTACATTTGGCATTTCATTATGCCTCTTTACAAATGAAGAAATGAAGGTTTGGAGAGGCTAATTTATTTAGGCCAGTAAACTAATAACGTGGCTAAGCTGAAATTAAAACCTGCAACTGTCTAGCTTCAAGCACCCTGATCCTATGTGGAAAATAACCCATCTTTTATGAGAAATGTGGGTAAGATGTCCCTGGAGTGTAAAAGTGGGGGAAATAGGAGAAGACTGCATGGAAGAAGTGGGCTGTCAACCTGGCAGGGCTGTGAGGGTGGGAATCAGCCACCTCCTTGCTGGGAGCAGCTATTCAGTCCAGCCTGTTGTCTCCAATGTGAGGCCACTGCAGGAGCAGCCTTCCCAGTGAGCAGGGCACATGGAGCCTGCCAGGGCCACACTGCCATGTGGACACCGGGGCTGCTGCGGTGCCGGCCCACACCAGCCTACTGTTGCATCTGGACCAGCACATGGCTGCCCTTTCTGTTTTGGAGGTGCTTTTTGGAATCTGGCAATGAAAGAGGAAGGTCATCAGATGTCACATTGTCTATTGTGTGCCTCTAATGTTCAATTCTTGGCACTTGGAGAAAAAAGAAAATGAAAAATCTTTCTGTGCGTGTGCGAATGTGTGCACGAGATGCCGTGTGTCTGAGGACATGTCTTCAAATGCAAGCGTGGGGAGCTATTTTTAGGCACCTTTCCTCCCAACAGTGCTGTTTAAAGATTCAGCTCAGGCTGCTAATAGGTATATTTATAACCATTCTGTCGACTGCCCCAGCATGAATGCTGCTGCAGATGATGCTATTCTTGGAGGCAGTTGCCATGGTTACCATTAACCCTTTTGCCTTGGAAGAGTCTATCAGCCCTGTGCTTTGTTCCCCCAGGGTGCTCAGCAGCATTTGAATGCATAAATGTACTCTGAAACGGAAACCAAAATGGAGTGCATTTTATGTTTCAACAGTGAATAAACTGGACAAATGAGTGGGCAGCACTACTAATTAATATTGGTCAAGGTTCCCCCTGCCCTTAACATATATAACAGTAAAGGTAGCTAGGTAGCCACTGCCGCCCGCCGGGGTGCTGAAGTCATCTTTTGATTTTGAATATGGACTAACCAGTCCCTTAAGATCTGTTGTTCCTGCTTCACTGCATATGATTTCTCTCATTTAGCAACTTATTGATTTTAAAAATCAAAGTATCTCTTTATGAATATTCATTTGTTAACTAGAGCACCACTACAACAAGCTGTGAAACTGGCATCCTTTAGGGCATGGTGCAGTCCTGATTTATCTAGAAGGACTCATGGGTCAGTGGGTTCAAAACAAACAGAACAGAGACATACAGTCGTCCCCTCTTATCCTTGGGGGTGTGTGTTCCAAGACCCCCAGCAGATGCCTGAAACTGTGGATAGTACTGAACCTTATGTGTACTGGGTTTTAAAAAAATCTGATAACCAAGGCAGCTCCTAAGTGACTGATGGGTCGAGAGTGTCTACAGTGTGGATGCGCCAGATAAGGGCGGATGCTGGTCCCAGGAGGGAGAGAGCAGGGCGGTGAGAGATTCATCATGCTACTCAGAAGGCACTCAATCCAAAACTTACAAATTGTTTATTTCCGCTATTCTCCACTTAATATTTTTGAACCACGGTTGACCACGGGCAGCTGAAACCATGGGAAGTGAACAGGGGAAAAGGGAGGACAACTATAGTCTAATAAGTAGACTTACGAATTCCCCATGCTTTTAATGAACTCTCCCATGAGGAATGCCATGTTAGAAATGTGGTTGGTTCTCCTGCCCACAAGTTGCTTATAGTTAAGTATGTTAGCATGAAGAACAAAATAATTATTATAAAAAGACAGTAGAAGTGCTCTGTAGAAATGTTGAAAAGCTGCCATTTGGACATCTCCTCGGGATTAACTATGATTAGTATTGCGAGGGAAAGTAGTAGAGAAGTGACTGGCTGAGGGGAAAACTGACCGTGCAGCCCATTGGGGTGGTGATTGTAGCAGAAATAAATCTCTGGAGGGATCTAGTGGAAGTTGAGCCTGGAAAGATAACATGGCGCTTGACCACTGAAGGCCAAGAGCACCTTACTGAGGAATGACTACTTACTGAGGAGTCACTGCAGGTTTCGGAGGGAAGAACTGACTTGGTCCAACTTTGCTTTACGAAGATAGCTATGTGGGTAATGTGGCAAGATCTGGGAGGCAGAAAGGCAGTGGGACATGAGGGATTTATGGGTGGAATTCTGAAGTGCATACAATTGTTCTCTCTAAATCACTGTATGGGAGGATGCTTTGTTGAATTGTTTCATTCGCTGATTGATGTATAGAAGAGACACTTCGATGCTCTTGTTCAATGCCAGATAACACCAAGCATACTGGGGAAAGCAAGGTATTAAATATCCAGGCCAAAACAAAAACAAAAAAACCCACCGAAAAACCCACCACCACACAACACCAGTAGGAAAACAGAAGTTTCTTGCTCTTTAGAACTTCTCACTTAATCGGAGGACATGCATCTCTGGAATGAATAGCCTATCTGAACAAGTTAAATGTAATTTATAAACATGCGAAGGAGTGGTTTAAGGAAGCCAAAGGGCTGCCACTGGGAGCTGGGATGTCTGAATTCTAAGACAAAGGAGAGAGCCGCTCCTGATTCAATGAGTGGTTCATCAAAGACTATGGGATGAGTAAGGGCTACTTCCAAGAAGCCCTTGACTGGTTCCCTGCCCCTGCGTGTGCTCACCCCTGCACTTGCCCTCGTGGGACACACAGCTGTTTGCCACTCACTGCACACAAGCACCCCGTTGTGGTCCTGCCTTCACTGGGTGTGGTCGTTGTTATTCATAATGAACATATTCCACTCCCTCAGTAAATGGTAGCTGTTTGTTTAAGAATGAACTTTTTATTGAATTAAAGCATAAACTCAGAAAAATGCACACATCATAAGGTGACATACAGCATAACGAAATACTGACTACCCTGGCAAAACTGCGGGCTTTTGAACGCTGTTAGATAACCACCTCTCAGAATGAGAAATGCGACATCAGCAGCTCTCGGAGGGCCTCCTGCGGTGCCCCTGCCCATTCACTGTCCGTTCCTCCCCAGGGTAGCAGCTGTCCCAAACCTAATACCATAGGTTATTTTGCCTGTTTTGAACTTCACATAAATGGCTTTGTACGATGAGTACTTTTTTTTTGTATCTGGCTTTTCCTCAATGTTATGTTTTTGTATGTGGCAGTAGTTTACACATTTTTCACTGGACTACCGTATTCCCCTGTATAATACACCACAGTGGATTCATTCTGCTGTTGATGGGCCTTTGGGTTATTTCCCATTTGGCGCTGTTATATAAGGATGCTGGATGGATGTTTTCGTCTGTGTCTTTTTGGTGCACGTATTCACATCGTTCTGTTGGGTATAACCCCCGTGTGAAATGCTGGATCGGAAATTCTGTGTCTCTCTTTATGAGAACATTCCTGTGAGCACCGTGTAGTCAAGGTGAAAGGGATACAAGGTGGGAGGAGGACCTAACTCTCCCAGGGAGGGTTTTGAGGAGGGTTTCACAAAATCTGAGCAGGCCGTAAAGTAGGGATAGGAATGTGCCAGGCCAGGGATGGGACAGGCTCCCGGCAGTGGGAACAGGAGTGGCAGGAACCCACCATTCCCTGACTTGCTGTCCCCCTCAGCCTTCTGTGCCCATTGGACTCTTGACTTCAAGGATCCCTTACCTGTGCCATCCTTCACTTCTAAATCCTTAGTTGGCTGTTCTTTCTAGAATGGGTGTGATGTGGACTTCTGTGCCTAAACCTCAGAGCTTCCAGGTATCGTGCGTGGCCTACTCCCAATTCGCTGAGCATTAGGATGTCATTGAGTCTCTGACTCTGACCGAGCACAGCCGGTTTTCTGTGATGGTTCAGCCCTCTGCACCCTCAGACTGCACACCTGGGTCACTGCCCCAGGCTGCAGACATTGGCCACTCCCTAGATCAGGGTTGACCATGCTGCCGTGTATCTGACACCAATCCCCCCATTTTGTTTATCTTTTTAAGAGAAAAAATACCGGCACCAACCTGTTTGTTTGCTTACCACTTGTTTCCCTCTTCTGAAGGCCGAGCACAGCAGATGCATTCCTGCTATTGTGTATCTCTGCTGGTTTATACTGCGAGTGGACAAGGCAGAATGCGCTTACTGTTCTGAGCTCCTGTCCCCATACAGGGAAGCATCAACCCAGAGACAGAAGCTGGTCTCACCTTCTGGGATCAGTCAGGCCAGAACTGAAAATTACCATAAATTCCAGCAAGCACATAGAGGGACCGGGGGATGCAGTGAGAGCACATCACACTGAGAGAGAACAGAACTGGCAAAGACGCTACTTTAGAAAGGGCCTTTAGGACGTGGGGCATCCTTTTTACCTCTCCCGAGCCCCTTCTTAACAAACCCGGAGCCCAGAGAGAGATTGTGTGTTAAACATACACACAGTGCCTAACACATAGTTTAGTACACTCCAGGATTAGTTGCTATTTTATTTTTACATTTATTTATTTATTTATGAGATTGGGGTCTCACTCTGTCGCCCAGGCTGGAGTGCAGTGGTGCAATCTTGGCTCACTGCAACCTCCGCCTCCCAGATTCAAGTGATTCTTCTGCTTTAGCCTCCTGAGTAGCTGAGATTACAGGTGTTTGCCCACCGTGCCTGGCTAATTTTTGTATTTTTAGCAGAGATGGGGTTTCACCATGTTGGTCAGGCTGATCTCAAACTCCTGACCTTAAGTGATTCACCCATCTCTGCCTCCCCAAGTGTTGGGATTACAGGCGTGAGCCAGTGCACCCGGTCAGCTGCTATTTTAATTATTGCTTTAATAAGATGACAGTAATATTGGCACGTATTATGCCAATATCTCATGGAGATTTGCTAATAACACATGATATGCTTATGTGCACAAATTTCAGAATCAAACATACCTGGATTTGGTTTTACTTATTGAAAAATTATAATCGTATATGGTTATGGTTTACAAAGTAAACATACATGGATTTAAATGCTAACCTCGTTACTTGGACAAAATTCATGATATCCCCAAACCTCAGTGTTTCATATATAAGATAGAGCTGTGAATATCTACTACGTAGGATTGTAAACGAAATACTGAAGCGTGAATCAGATGCATCTCAGATTTTAAAGAAAATGTAAACCATTGGTGGAACGTCTAGTTAAAATGTAAAACCTGATTCAGCAGGTGCGGGGTGGGGCTGGTGTGGGAGATCCTGCCGCAGTGGCTTGACCCCGACCGTCACAGTGAGTGGGCAGCGTGGGGTGAGGCCGCCCAGGGCCGGTCTGCGGTAGGCACCCAGGACGTGCTCGCCACCATGTTATCTGCCGTGGAAAGCTCACTACCCGCTCCAGAGTGATCTGGACTTTGGACAGCACTTTGGACACTCATCTCTATGATGAGTGATCTTGGACAGTCATCTCTATGATGAGATCCAGCACTTACTAATTACGCAGACCTCCTTGAGTGCCAGGTGTGGGGCCAAGGTGGTCACTGGAGCATGTGGTCTCTGCTTTGGAGTCGCTGGCAGCCCAGTGAGGAGCACCGACTCCCAGGAAGACTTGAGTGAGGGGATGCGGTGAGCCCTCCTGGCATACTGCATGGCTTTGTCTATTTGCCAATTGTGGCCCTGTTTCAAGTTAAAATTGTCAGGCCATGGTGGGTGTGCATTGCCCGAGCCCTGTGGGTGCTGGCCCTTCCTTTCCCCTCTCCCCGCTTTTTCCTGAGAGGCTTTTGCCCTCTCCTGCTCCACCATGCTTTGGGTATCTTGTCATTTCTGTCCTGTCCAGTCCTGCAGCTTAGTTGGGCATTTTTGTCCCTCCTCCTTCAACCTTGGGTTTAAATTCTCTTAATTAGGTGGGAAGTCTGCAAAGCACATGCTTCCTGCTTTGGAATCAGGCCTTCCTCAGCACCCTTGGTCAGCTCATGTCTCTGGTCCTGTCCCTCTGACTTGGGCACCCTGTCCGCTCGGGCTGTACCCAGGGTGTGGCACAGCCTGGATCTCCCACTGTCCCATCAGCCTAGGCAACTTTTGCCTCCCTGGTTCAAGTGATTCTCCTGCGTCAGCCTCCCCTGTTGCTGGGATTACAGGCACTCACGATCACGCCCAGCTACTTTTTGTATTTTTAGTAGAGATAAGGTTTCACCGTATTGGCCAGGCTGGTCTTGAACTCCTGACCTCAGGTGATCCACCAGCCTCGGCCTCCCAAAGTGCTGGGATTACAGGTGTGAGCCACCGTGCCCAGCCAGACTGCCCTAGGTTTTAAGTTCCTGGAGGACAAGATTAGAGTTTGTGACTCATTTCTGTACTTCTAGTGTCACACTGTTCCTTGCCCATGGGTAGGTACCGAGAAGTAAATGCATGTATGTGCTCAGTAAGGCCCCATGAAGATGGCACTCAGACAACAGGCTCTGAGCGGGGAGTTTGTCCTGCTTGTGCCTGCCAGGCAGCCGGGCCTCGTGCCCCTGTCCTCCTGTGTGGGCTCCTGCTGCTTCAGGGAGGTCACACCCGGATCCCCTGATGGTCACCTGGTTTTGTGTGGCTTTGCTTTTTCCAGTGGAACCTGAAATATCCATACCAGGTCCTTCCCACAGCCCTCTCCTCTGCCCACTGGTCCCTAAGCCACCACTGCCCTTGTCTATTTTTTTTTTAAGCCTTTGCAGGGCGTGGGGAATGTACCTACCTCCCTCTCCAAATCACTGGAAACATAACAGATGTGAAAATGGAGAGAGAAATCCATTTCCTTTTTTTCTCCCCATGCCCCACTGTGATGTGGTAATTTGTAATTTCATCTTTTCCTGATTGGAGTTTAGTAATTTGTCACTTTTGTTTTATCATCATGATGCATCTTTCTAAAACACAGAGCTGACTCTGTTACGCTTTTCTATATAGAAGGAAAGCCAGGCTCCCACCACCTTATAGCAGCAATCCCTGAACCAACCACTGCTTCTTAACTCAGAGCACAGCGACTGCTACCTGGTTTTGTTCTCTCTTTTAAAAAATTGTATTGCGACATTTGTATGTAATTTCAACCATTTTCACATGTGCAAGCCAGTGGCATTAACTGCATTCACCATGTTATGCAACTCTTGCCACCACTTCCAGAAGTTTTCCATCACCCCAAATAGAAGCTCTGTATCCACGAAGCAATAATTCCTCGTTCTTCCATACTCCTAGCACCTGGTAACCTCTAATCTACTTTCTGTCTCTATGGATTTGCCTATTCTAGATGATTCAGTATGTGGAATTATACAGTATTTGTCCTTTTGTGCCTGGCTTATTTCACCTGGTATAATGTTGTTAAAGTTCATTCATGTTGTGGCATATGTCAAAATTTCCTTCCCTTTATGGCTGAATAATATTCCATTGTGTATATATAGCACATTTTGTTTATCCGTTTATGCTTGGTTTGCTTTTGCCTTTTGGCTATTGTGACTAATGCTGCTATGAGTATTGGGATAAATTATATGTTTGAATCCCTGAGGTATACATCTGGGAGTGGAGTTTCTATGACTTACGAGGATTCTATGCTTAGTTTTTGGAGGAACTACCAAAAGTTTCCACATTGGTTGCACCATTTTCACTCCCACTAGCAATGCACAAGGGTTTCAATTTCTCGACATCCCCCCAGCACTTGTTATTTTCTGTTTCTCTAATTACTGCCATGCTACTAGGTGGGAAGTGTTATCTCATCGTGCTTTTGATTTGCATTTCCTTGATGACTAGTAATGTTCAGTATTTTTTCATGTGCTTATTGGCCATTTTTATATCTTCTTTGAAGAAAAATCTATCTAAGGCCTTTGCCCATTTTTAATATGGGTTATTTTTTGTCATTGAGTTGTGGGAGTTCTTTAGACATTCTGAATATTAAACCCTTATCAGATACATGATTTGCAAATATTTTCTCCCGTTCTGTAGACTATCTTTTTATTTTCTTGATAATATCCTTTGATTCACCAAAGTTTGAAATTTTGATCAAGTCCAATATATCTGTTTTGTTTCTTCATTTGCTTGTGTTATTGACAAGTCTAGGTCATGAAGATTTATTTGTTTTTCTTCTGAAAGTTTTATGGTTTTACCCCTTACATTTAGGAAACTGATACTGTTTGAGTTAATTTATATATATGGGGTGAGGTAGGGGTCAACTTCATTCCTTTGCATGTGGAACTCCAGTTGTACCAGTAATATTTGGTGAAGAGACTATTATTTCCTCATTGCATAAACTTGACACCTTTGTTGAAAATCGATTGGCTGGCCAACCATGTAATCCCAGCACTTTGGGAGGCTGAGATGGGTGGATCACAAGGTCAGGAGTTCGAGACCAGCCTGGCTGACATGGTGAAACCCCGTCTCTACTAAAAACACAAAAATTAGCTGGGCACGGTGACAAGCACCTGTAATCCCACTACTCGGGAGGCTGAGGCAGGAGAATCGCTTGAACTCAGGAGGCGGAGGTTGCAGTGAGTCAAGATCACACCACAGCATTCTAGCCTGGGTGACAGAGCAAGACTCTGCCCCGGAAAAGAAAAAAAAAAGAAGACAATCAATTGGCTATAGAAGTATGAGTTTATTTCTTGACTCTCAATCTTATTCTCTTGGTCTGTGTGTCTATTATTATGTCAGAACCACAATGTTTGTATTACCGTGGCTTTGTAGATACTTTTGAAATCAGGACATGTGAGTCCTCTAACTTTGTTCTTTTTTTCAATATTGTTTTTGCTATTTGGGGTCCTTTTGCAATTCTGTGAGAAATTGAGGGTCATTTTTTCCATTTCTGAAAAAATAAGCTGTTGGAATTTTGAAAGGGATTGAGTTGAATCTTTGTTTTGGGTAGTATTGGCATCTTAACAATAATAAATCTAGTATCCATGAACGTGGGATGTCTGCCATTTATTTAGGTCATCCTTTTTTTTTTCAAGCAATGTTTTGTAATTTGTAGTGTACAAGTCTTTTACCTCTTTGGTTAAATTTATTCCTAGGTATTATTCCATATACTATTTTAAATGGAATTGCTTTCTAAATTTTCTTTTCAGATTATTCATTGCTGGTGTGTAGAAATACAACAGATTTTTGTGTGCTGAATTTGTATCTTGCAACTTACCTGAATTTATTAGCTCTAGTAGCTTTCTTGTGTGTTCTTTGAGATTTTCTAATGTAGGCTCATGTCACCTGTGAATACAGAGAGTTTTACTTCTTCCTTTCTAATTTGGATGCCTTTTATTTCTTTTTGTTGTTTAATTGCTCTGAGGAAGACTCTGATTCGGGATTGAATAGCAGTGGGGAAAGCAGGCATGCTGTCCTGTTCCTGATCTTAGGGGAAGCTTTCAGTCTTTCTCTGTTGAGTATGATGTTAGCTGTGGGTTTTTCATAGATACCCTTTATCATGTTGAGGAGTTCCCTTCTGTTTCTGTTTTGCTGGTTGGATTTTTATGTTTTATCGTGAAAGGATGTTGAATTTTGTCAATATTTTTCCTGCATCAGGAGAGATGATCATGTGGATCTTTTCCATTATATTAATATGGTACATCACATTGATTTTTAAAAAATGTTGAACTATCCTTACGTTCTAGGAATAAATCCCCCTTGGTCATGGTACATAGTCCTTTTAGTTTACTGTTCAGTTTGGCTTCCTAGTATTTTATTGAGGGTTTTGCATCGGTATCCATCAGGAAGACTGGTAGCTTTCCTCTTTTCTTCTGATGTCTTTGGCTTGATCTTGTTTCAGGGTGATGCTGCTGGCCTTACAGAATGTGTTTAGAAGCATTCCTTCCTCTTATATTTTTTGAGAGTTTAACAAGGTTTGGTTTTAATTCTTTAAATGTTGGGTCAGATTTTCTAGTGAAGCCATCTAGTCCTTGACTTCCTGGTAGGGAGGTTTCAGATGACCCATCCCACTTGTAGTTCCTTGGGTGCCCATGGCCTCTCTTGCGTGCTGCCAAGCCTTAGCACTTGCTGCTGTGTCCACCATCAAGGATTTCTCCCCTTTCCTGTTTCCTCCTCCTCCTCCTCCGACTTGGCCTCCTCTTGGAAGGTTATTCTGAGCCTCCCACTTGCACCTTTCCCAGGCATTCTGCATGACCCTGTCCTCATCAGCGTCTTGTCATTGTCTTGTGTCCTATCTCTCTTGCCCACTAGACCGAGGTCTCCAGGGCTAAGGTCTTTTCGGTTCACTTGGTGAGTGCTTGTTGGAGGGATTAGGAGGCCCCGCCGTCTGCGTGGGGACTGCTGTTTGTTCTGTGTTTGTGTCAAGCTCTGCGTTGGTGGGCTTGATGGAGTGAAGCTGCAGTGGTGAAAGTAAAGCCCTAATCTCATTTCTCAGTGACTCACAGTGGAAACAGGGAAGATGATGGCAATCTACTGAGGCTGAGGTTTGGGTGATAATAAAATAATATGAGAGAAAATCATGCTGTTTTACAAACGCCTCTGGCAAATAAAAAGACCCGTGGGTGTCAAGATTAGAAATGAAGTCTTACGTGGTTTCGGCCCCTTTTTAATGGCCTTTTCCTCTTCTGAGTATAAACACTTCTTACAAAGGGAAAGTCCAAGGAGCACGTTGTTTTGGAGGCACCAACTTCTGCAGCCTTTGGACGGAGGACTGTGCTGTGCTGGACCCTGGGTGCAGAGATGAGAAAGTCCCCATCAGTCACTACCCCTATTTAGTTTCCAGGCAACAGGGTCTTGATTGGGGATGGCTGTCTTGGCATAGCATGGAAGGTGACAGCAGAGGTGTGACCAGGGAGGATCCGGAGAGCAGGGACTACGTGGCCTTCAGGGCAAGCTGGAATTCTGTGGCTGAAGGGGTGAGAGATGTCCTCATTGGGGGGCCGACTGTGAAAGTTCATGCTGCATCCAGTAAGGTGCAGGGACAGCGGTCCCCTCGGTCCCCTGGGAAGAGGGCTGACTCCAAACCCTTCTAGGATGTGAGGCTGGAGCCAACTGTAAGCTTTAGGCCAGATTAGGAAGAGCTTTGGTGGACTTTTTGCTAAACCTTGAAGTCGGTGAGATGTTACTGAATGTGTGTGAGTGAGGAGTTGTCTGGGAGCCCTGGATTGTCTGGATGGAGAGGACCACCAGGCGACTCGCCCTCAAGCCTTTGTTCCCTCAAGGTTCTTTGTGAAAGAACAGGTCTTGGGTTTGAACCCTGAGGGGAGAAAAAGTCAGTGCTTCATTTTTCGGTGGCAGGGTTGTCTAGGACGGGGCCGTCTAGGAGAAGCGGTGTGCAGTTTCCACCACAGAGCCGCACCCCTTGGCAGCCAGGAGGCCTGGCGCATCACTGAGCCTCTGAGCCTGGCATTCTCTGGATGTAGTTGGAGGTTCGTGCTCATCTCTTTTCTTCCTCAGGGGGCTGTTGCAGGGGCCAGATGAACTATGTCTATGAGAAAGCCTTATAAGCAGCTAACACTGGACAGATGGTGATCGTGTTAAAATTCAAAGCACTTTTTAGCAGATACTCTCAATACAGTTGTGTAGTATAGTTTAGTGTAATGTTTCTGCAGGGAAATGTGGCAGTCCTTTATGTATCAAGAACCTTGAAGAAGTCTGTACCCTATTACCCAGTGATTCCACTTTTACTGATATACCCTAAAGAACAAAACCTGACGTGCATACTGATGTGTATTGCAGTGTTCTTTATCACAAAGGAGAAATTGGAAACAATCTAAATTTGAAATAATAGAGGATTGGTTAATTGAATAATTGAACACCTTTACAATGGAATAAAATGTAGCCACTGAGAAAGTTTTAAAAGTACCCTTTTAAAATATCTTTACAGTATAATTTCAGCTTATTAAAAATCTATTCATCGCAAAAGCATTGGAAGTCTGCGTATGGAATTAATGACAGTTACCTCAGTGATGAGAATAATAGATTATTTTAATTTTCTGTCCTATTTCCTAAATGTTTTACACTGAACATTTATTGTGCTTGGCAATTTTTCTGTGTGATTTTTAAAAATTTTGACGCAATCCCATACTTACAGAAGATTGAAGCATAGTACAAAGAACCCCCTCAGTCCGCTGAGCTGTTAACCCGATGCCCTGTCACCCCCAAGCACTTTCCTGTGTGTTTCCAAACAACACACAGCATTCTCTGTACCCCACAGCATAACCATCAAAATAAGGAGATGGCCATCCGGTCCTCAGACCCTGTTCACATTTGCCAGCTGTCCCAGGAGTGGCTTTTAGATGAAGGGGTCCCACTTAGAATCATCTGATTCTTTTAGCCTCAGTCTGTGATCTGGAGCATTCCTCAGGCTTTCTTTAATGTTCATGACCTTGATATTTTTCAAGATTATAATTCAGTTATTTCGGAGGATGCCCCTCAAGTTGGCTTTGATGCTACCTCATGACAAGAGTCAGGTTCTGTAATTTGGACAGGAATACTACAGAATGATGCCATGTTCCCATCGTACCTATCAGGTGGTTCATCCCAGTTCTGACAGTGTCACAATGATCACTTGAGTAAGGTGGTGTCTGCCCGGCCTCTCCACTGTGAAGTTACTCTGAAATTTGGAAGCATTTCTACGAAGGTGCTGTAAAGTGATGTAAAGATCCTGTTCTTTATCAGCCTTCCGGTCTGTGCATCCCTTTCTTCACAGCACTATGAATTCACAGTCTCATTCTGTTTAATGGTGATGATCCACTCCAGTTCTTTATTTTGATACCCAGATTGCCTCAGACTTGACCAGTGGGCGCCCCTCAAGCTGCCTGTGTCCTTCTGACACGTGGGCATCACTCTTTGAGTTCTTCCTTGCTTTCTGGCGTGAGATGCTCCAGGCTAACGTTGTCCTTTCCCTGCTCCAGCCCTGCAATCAGTCATCTCTCCAGGGGCCCTGATTCCTCCGAAGCCACAGTTGGGGCCTGAAGTGTGCATGTAGCTGATTCGGATGCCACTGCTTTCAGGCCCTCTCAGTGAATAGGTCATGTATGTATGTGCGTGTGCATGCGTACACGTGCATTTACATTTCTATTCGTCTATCCATCTCTATACATCGCAAAACATGAGTTCTCAGAGATCCCTCCAATTCCGATCCGGTATCACTGGCTTTATTTTAATTTTCTCTCTCTGTGTTTGTAACTCCCTTTTCTCTTGGGGAGAAAGCTGGCTCTCACCATAACTTCCTTTTCTCTCGGGGAGAAAGCTGGCTCTCACCATCCTTCCATTGCTGACTTAGGTGTTCAATCCTCCTGTGTGTACCCAGTCTCCCATCGCCTCTACTGCCCCCTGCCCCCTGTGTGGACATCCTGCCCACGCAGCTCGGGTTCCATCCCCCGTGCCGGCTCACCCCGTGTGTAGACACCCTTTAGACCCCTCCTTGGCTCCGATGCCCTGGGCCAGCTTGCCCCTCCCTGGGATCGCTTCTTCTCCCTACTTGGGCTCTTCACATGGCCTGTTTGGGCTCCACCTCTAGGACCCCGTACCCTGCTCAGGCCCTGAGGTCTCACACACGGATGTCCACTTCATCCTCTTGGGGCTTCGACTCTCCCCTGGGCATCCTCCTCAGTCGGTGCCGCCTCACCTTGCAAGGGGCCAGACACACCCGAGCCAGCCTCCCCTCCTCACGGATACCTGCCTGCCCTGCCTCACCCAGGAACCTCAGGCCTGCCTTGTTCAGAAAGGAGATGGACACCAATCTGTTGTTAAAGAAACAGATTTAAGTAGGGAATTAGCATATGCTTTAGAGGTGACTGGACGCTTAGAAAGAAGGACTTTGCTTCTGCTAACTGAAAATCCCCATGAAAATCAACCTCATTGGCAGAGCAGCAGATCTGTAGGAGAGGAGTCTTCTTTTTTTTTTTAATATATATATATATATGTATATATATATATATTTTATTATAGTTTAAGTTCTCGGGTACATGTGCACAACGTGCAGGTTTGTTAAATATGTGAGAGGAGTCTTAATGGGGAGCTTGAATGACTGTGAAGTTGTCTGCTTTCGAAAGGAAGCAGCTTTAAGATCTCCCATGTGCAGGCCTTTTCCTAGGACTGACCCATCGCCAGGAGGGTGTAACTGAGGCAGAATGGCTAGGTGGAAAGAGCAGTGGTTTTGCAGCTGGACAGAGCTGGCTCCCCATCTCGGCTCCGCCATTTACTGGCGAAATCATGCCGACCCCTTGGGAGTCCCAGTTTTCTCTTGAAAAGTGTAGCACTGATAATCCCCACCCCACGGGATCATTTTGAGGATCTGCCGTACAAGGAGCACAGTGGGTATTCAATTAGTGCCAGTTTCCTGCCTTCACTTCTCTCAAAGAGAATGAATTTGCCTCACCCAGACTTTTTTGGAAAAATTGGACACAGTTTATACCCTAGCCTTTGTCCCCACCCTTGGCCTTTAGCCGCTCATTAACCTCAGACCATTAGTCACTGCTTCTTGTATGCAGCCTCCATTCTGGCTGGGCACAGGGTGACCCACTGTGGTCTCTCTGTGAGCACCAGCCATCTCCCATGGATGGCTTGCTTACGCCAGAGCTGGAGCTGGTTTCCATGAAAACTTGTGTGTGTGTGTTTGTGTATTTTTCTTTTTTTCTTTGCTCCAAAGTAAATGAAACCACACTTGGGCTGTCTCACCACCGAGCATAATTGTGATGGAACTGTTCTATGGTGATCTGAATTAGGCTGCAACTAAAGAGCCACAGGAAAGTAAGATAAACATTTGTTGCCTTTGGTATTGATAAAAACAAATTAACACAATTGTAAATTCTAACTTTTGTATATGCCATTGTCTGTGCTGTCTTTGTTTTTGGCTGAAAAGCCAATTTAGCTCTTCACCATGAATCATTTTAGTAAGGCAAGTAGATGCTATCTCTGTTGGTTTATAACTCACCCTGCAAAAGCCACCACACTGCTTACACTTTCTTAATACAGGTGAATTTATGCTTTAGAATTTATGACTTCAGGTTAATCTAGTAAACTCACTTTAGCTCTTATATTCTTGGGGACTCATTTTTGGCAAGAAAGAAGCTGGTAGAGCAACACAAATTTGTAAACTGAGACTTTTAGTGTCATGGTTTTAGTCTCATGCTAGTTTCTGTATAGGAGCAATGCTTTTGGATATGGTAGCTATTTCCTGTGATGGGAATGCCTTTGCAATCAAGAACGTATCTCCTTTAATGTTTGTTGATAAAATGAAATTATTTCTGGAATATGTATTTTTGTTATCAGTGAAATCTGTGGTTTATAAAAAACCCTGCATCCTTAACATGATTCTAAATCAAGGAGGCCAAGAGATACTTGTTTCTTTAGCTCCGTGGATATTTCCTGAGGGCCTGCTCCATGCCAGGTACCAACCTTACTGCTGGGATAGGGTCATGGATGAAGCATGGCCACTGTCCTCAAGATGCTTAGCATCTGATTGAAGAGAGCTGTATGATAATGCGTTTTATAGGGTATGATGTATGATTAAAATCACCAAAAATAAATTTAATTCTGTTTCTTCCTACTCTAACATAGTTGGTTGTGTATGTTCATGATTCTGTTCATTCATCCATTCATTTGTTCAGTCAGTGGATAAATATGTCCTGAGCCCCTGTCCATCACGCAGGTAGGCTTGGTGCATGCCTCACAGAGCTTCTATCCAGATCCTTGTTTGTTCCAAACCTGCATGTTTGAGAGAAACAACGATTAGACATCTCCTTTGAGCCAAGTGCCATGCTAAATGCCTTTTTGCACTTGACCATCTTAATTTCCAGAGCCCATTGAGAGGAGGGTTTCTGTCTCTTGGTTTGAAAGTGAAGAAGCGGTGTCTCCAGATACATACGTTAGAGATGCCCAGACATGGCTGCTGGAGAAAGGTAGACTCCAGTTCCAGACCCAGCTCTTCTCTGCCTCGTCTATCACCCAGCCCCATCTGGGAAAGGATCGGGTGAGGATGAGAGCTCATGGCTGTCAGTGGTGTGCCATGAAGCTGCGAACGCACAATTAGTGATGTGTTCAGTGTCGTCCAAATACTGAGGGTCACAGCGCCCGTGAGTCCACTCCCTGCCCCCACACCTGCCACGCTAGGCCCACCCTGCAGGATTTCAAGGCTTCCCTTCCACATCTCTGCCTTTGTGGGGCCTGGAGATGAGATTTGGTAAAGTTAGCCAGACTGAGCTACTTCTCGCTACTTATGCTCTGGCTAAATACACTGTCCTAATTAAATGTTTCTTTTTCATTTAAAATTCCACAGTGCTGTAATTCAAATTAGAAAGCTGCTGTTGTGACAGATGATGTCATTTAATTTCAGGATCATTGTGCTGCTTGTATTCAACTGCAGACGAAATTGGACCCTATCTCAGAGCTTTTATCGCTATCAAATATGATGTTCTTACGAGTGTCTGATGAACTTCTCGTGACGGGGTGTTCGAATTCCCTTCCACCGACGTTCCTTGAGAGAACTCCTTGACATGGGACTGGGGGGCTGATTCGTTAACGTCTTTGTTTGGAACCTGGTGCCTGAGAGTCTGGTTCTGAAATGGACCTGTCGTTTTCCTCTGTCTAGTGTCTCACGGTTAAGATGCTCCAGATGGGGCCCACCGTGTCTCCTCTTCCAGCCTGGTCCTCTCCCTCCCTGGCCATCTCAGTGGATACCCCGCATTGGAGAGCCAGGAGAAGAGCTAAGAGCAGCTTTGCCCCTCATCTGGTTTCCTCCGAGTCTGCTTGACAATCTCTTTCAAATCAACTTTACTAAGGAAGAAGTTACGTACCGCAAAATGCCCTCATTTGAATTGTGTAAAGAATGAGATTTGACAGGCTTGGTGCTGTGGCTCATGCCTGTAATCCCAGCACTTTGGGAGGCCGAGGCTGGCGGATCACAAAGTCAAGAGATCGAGACTATCCTGGCTAACACGGTGAAATTAACACCACTTCTTCACTTTCAAACCAAGAGAGAGAAACCCTCCTCTCAATGGGCTCTGGAAATTAAAGATGGTCAAGTGCAAAAAGGCATTTAGCGTGGCACTTGGCTCAAAGGAGATGTCTAATCGTTGTTTCTCTCAAACATGCAGGTTTGGAACAAACAAGGATCTGGACATGAACCCGTCTCACTAAAGTACAAAAAAATTAGCTGGGTGTGGTGGCACGCACCTGTAATCCCAGCTACTCAGGAGGCTGAGGCAGGAGAATGGCATGAACCCGGGAGGTGGAGCTTGTGGTGAGCCGAGATCGCGCCACTGCACTCCAGCCTGGGTGACAGAGCGAGGCTCCATCTCAAAAAAAAAAAAAAAAAAAAAAAAAGAATGAGATTCGATAAATGAACATGCCTAAGACCTAGAATGTTCCCGTCACCCACAGGTCCCCTGCACACCTTCCCCTTGCTGCCATTCCCGGACAGACACTGCCATGCTTTCTGAAATGACAGATGACGCGCTTTCCAGAGTTCCATGCCAGTTAGCAATGACCTCATAAACCTGAGTTGACCCCGTGGTCTGCGTGCCCCTGCTCTGTGTCAGTGACTAGGTTCTCGTCGATGCTTCCTGGGTCACCGCAGCCGTCTGCTGAGCAGCACTCCTTTCGGTGCCTCCCCTATTTCCAGAGTGATCTTTCCCAGAAACAACCCAGCTTGGTGGTTCCCTCCGAGTGCCCCTGGGCCAGTTACCTTTGAGGCCCTTAGGGAGGCCGTGTCCCGCCCCCGAGCTCTGGGTGGGCCTCTGCCTGCTGACCTCGGCTGCTGCATCACCATCGGCCCAGCTCCTGCTACTGTCCCTTGCCTCACTTCCCCTCGCAGCCCCGTGAGGAGGTGGGCAGGGGATGTTGCCATCTCTCTTTGAAGAATGTGAAGAGCAGTGTCCGGGTTTTATCTGAGGCCACCTGGTTGGGGGACAGTGACACCCTGCAATTTTTATCAAGAACTTGCCTTCAGGGTATGGGGCTTTCTTTCCAGAAATGGCAACATTGAAACCCAAAGGTCTTCTTTTTAAGCTCTACAAAATATGAAACTACGTATTAATATTTCCTAGAGCCAAATAAGTCTCTTTTCTCCCATTGATCACCCCTACTATGGCAGATTCTCTGATTACTGCCAGGTATATGCTGCCCTCCCTGTGGGAGATTATACCCCCACCTCACTGCCTTCAGACTTCGAGAGTGATTTTGGTCCTCCCCTCGGAGGGTCCTCCCCCGCGAGGGTCTTCCCCTCTGAGGGTCTTCCTGTGAGGGGCTGTGCTTCCCTGCCTGCGTGGTGTCAGGCTTGGGTTTGTGATTTGCTTTGGCCCCTGTGAATGGCCGGGGCACATGGTAGATGCAGTAATGCCCCCCCGCCCAAAGATGTCCACGTCCCGATGCTCAGACCTTGTGTGTCAGACCTTGTGTACATGTGACCTGACGTAGCCAAAGGGACTTTGCTGATGTGATGAAGTTAAGGACCTTGAGAAGGGGAGGCGATCCTGGATCATCCAGATGGGCCCAGTGTCATCACCAGGGTCCTTCCAAGAGGGAGGTAGGGCTGGGCAGAGAGAGGGGTAGGGGCTGTGACTATGGAAGCCAGAGGCTGGGGCAATGCAGCAAGGGGCCACAGCCAGGGAGAGCAGGCAGCCTCCAGAAACTGGAAGGGGCTCAGGCAGAGCCCCCCCTGCACCCTACCCCAGGAACGCAGCCCTGGAGACATGCTGGTGTGCAGGCTTCTGACCTCTAGAACTGGGAGATTATCAGTTTGTGTTGTTTTAAGCCACTAAATATGTGATCATTTGTCATAACAGCAATAGGAACCTAATACAGGGGCACATGTAAACTGCTGAGCAGAAGTTTAAATAACCAGCTGGGGGCTATGGCCATCTTTCTTTTGCCTCCAGCATAAGGTGAGCAAAGTCCTGGTGGGGACACTTGCTGCTTCAGCCAGGGTCCAGAGTGAGACAGACATGGACCAGAGCCTGTCCAGTGAAGAAATGAACCTTGGTTGTAAGCCACTGAGATTTGGAGGCTGCTTGTTACCACAGCATAACCTAGCCTCTCCTGATGGACCCATTTCACCTGCACTCCTCACAAAGAACTCAAGACTTCCATTCATTCATCAGATACTTTGCAGTGTCCTTTGATGGCCAGGCACTGTTTGGCCCCTAGTATACTATCAGTAACAAACAGACACCGATTGTTCTTACTCTTGTGGAGCTTATAGTTTTCCTGGGAAGACAGAAAATAAATAAGCAACAGAAGACTATGCAACTATAATTTTTGATGAGTGATGTGCGAGAAGTACATGGGGCATGATGGAATAAATAAGGTGCAGTGGGGTGAGAAGAACCCAGCTGTGCAGTTGGGGTGGGGCTCGTGGCTGGAGAGGAAGCAGTATGTCAGTACCCCAGATGCCCATGGCAGAGTGGGTGTGGCCGGGCTGTGAGGGCAGGGCAGGGAGAGCAGATGTGACCAGTCCAGAGCTGGCAAGTCTGGGTTCTGCAAGGCCATGCACGTGCAGGGGTCTGAGGTCTGCATTTGAGCAAGAGGCAGCAGGTGCCAGGGAAGGGTTTTTCAGCAGGAAAGTGAAATGTGCAATTTCACTTAAAAACAGATCCACTTGGGAGAATGTGTGCAAGATGCAAGCGTGGCAGTGGGAGGTCCGGCTGGAGCACTTGTGAGCTTGGGTGAGAGTGGGGTGTCATGGCGGACGTGACTGTGGGAAGGGCTCTGAAGAGGGGTCGGGGACAGTGACCAGCAACAAGGTGGATGGTGTGGCCGGTTACTGAGATGGGGAAGCCTGGAAGAGGATCAGATTTAAAGGGGTAAGTAAGAAATGTGGTTGCAGAGGCAGTAATTTGAGGTATCTGTGTGACATCCAAACAGAGATGTCAGATTGGCAGCTGTGTGGGTGCATCTTGCTCAACACATTAAATAAAAATAAAAATGTATAGGACCCAGTAGCACTTTTCGATGTGCACATCCAGCAAACATTAAGTCTATGCAAACTGTGAATAACCTCGTGCTCGGGATGGCTGTGGATCCCATGTTTCTGACCCCAGCCTCACAAAATCATCGGGGCCCTTCAAGATGGGCTCAGGTGCCCCTTCTCGAGAGAGGCTTCCTGAGCCTCATGGCTGAGTCACCTGCCTCCCATCTGTGCTGCACACTTGCCTTGCAGCATGGATCCCCTCCTCAGACACCTGAGGCAGCTTTGTTCCTCTCTGCCGCTCCCTACTCATTACCCAGTCTTTGAGGTACAGAAGAGGCATTGAGTTCTTTGTGTTGGACTTAGATATACACTTAAAAAAATTTAATTCTCACAGAAACATCAGGATGTAGGCATTATTTCTCTTAGAAAGGGAAAACTAAGGCTTAGAAAGCTTTTGTCTCTTAACCCAAGTCACAGAGGTAATAAATAGCAGATATAGGCACTGAACTGGATCTAAGACTTTTGTTCACTCCTACTATATGCAATAGTTATCTATTGCTTTCTAACAACTTGTCACAAATGTAGTGGCCTAGAACAACATATATTAATTAGCACACAGTTTCTATGGGTCAGGAGTCCAGGCATGGCTCAGCTGGGTCAGACAAGCTGCTTAGAGTCTGACAAGGCTGAAGTCAAGGTGTTGGCCAGAGCTGCAGTCTCATCTGAGGCCCAACTGGGGTTGGATCTGTTTCTAAGCTCCCTTCAGTTGTTGGTGGAATTCAGTTATTTGTAGTCATAGGAGTGAGAGCTTTGGTTTCTAGCTGGCTGTTGGCTGAAGAATGCACCTCAGCATCTAGAGGCCACCTGCAGATCCTTGACTCATTGAAGTTTCCCAGCATGACTGTTTGCATCCTCAAAGACAGTGTAGGAGGGAGAGAGGGAGGGAGAAAGGGAGAGAGAGAGAGAGAGAGAGAGAGAGAAAGAAAGAAAGAAAGAGATGGACTCCAGCAACATGAGCCTACAGTCTCATGTAATGTAATCATAGATGAGTAATCACATAGGTCCTACCACCTCTGCTTTAAGCAAGTCACAGGACCCACCCACACCCTCAAGGGGAGAGGATCACATAGTAGTATGAACACCAGAGGGTAGGGATCATGGGACCCCTTTAAGAGCCTGCCCTACAGACACACGACTCTGCTGTATTTATCACTTTCACCCCTACTGGAAGGAGCACAGAGCTCTCCAGAGGAGCCCTTTAATAAGTGATGGTGAAGTGGAAGCCACTGATTTTTCATCAAAGGGCCTATAGTTGAGTTTACAATAGGATAGACATGCAATTTTGCCTTTGGTAATGACTTCACAGTGTGCCTATAATTATAACATTGGCAGGAAAATCTAGGTCATCTCTCTGAATCCACTCTGTCCTCTCTGGGGCTTCTGTTGCTGCTGCTGCCTGGGCCCTGCCACAGGCCTGCACCACTTCTCCCCTGGGTCACTGCAGCACTTTCTGCCCTGGCCTTCCTGCCTCTTCCTTACTGCCAGAGTATCTTAAGTGACAATCTGACTGTGATTTCCCCATGGCTCTGAAATAAAACTCAAACTCCTTAGATAAACCAAGTTCTCCATCGTCTTTTCCTTTCTTGCTTCTCCAACCCTGACCCTTAACACTGTCCCTCTTGCATCTCAAGGTCCAACAACACCCAGGCCCATGGATGTTCTGATCACACTGTTCTGTCTCAGGCCTTTGCACCCACTGTGTTCTCTCCCTAAAAATCTCCTTTCATCCCCTTCCTCACTTAAATTTCCCACATAAATATGTGGCTTAGTGAATTCCTACTTTTCTTTCAGGGTTACTCCTCAGTGGAGGCATCCCTGATATCCTGAGGGAAAGTTGATAGAGAGCTCTTAGAGAACCCAACATCTTGCCTAGTGATTGGGTTTTGTTCCTTGACCCTTAAAAAATTTCACCTCTGTATTCTCAGAAACTTCCACAGTATTTGTTGATGGCATATGCCCCTCACATCTTGATTGAAAGGGTGGATGGATGGTTGAATGGATGATGTTGGATGGATGGCTGTTGAATGGATGGATGGATGAATGAATGAATGTATAGATGTTGGATGAATGGATGGATGAATGTTGGATGGATGGATGGATGGATGATGGATGGATGGATGGATGTTAGATGGATGAATGGATGGATGGATGTTGGATGGATGAATGAATGGATGGATGTTGGATGGATGAATGAATGGATGGATGGATGTTGGATGGATGGATGGACGGTTGTTGGATGGATGTTGGATGGATGGATGGATGGATGTTGGATGGATGGGTGGATGGATGAATGGATGGATGGATGGATGTTGGATGTTGGACGGATGGATGGATGTTGGATGATGGATGGATGGATGAATGGATGGATGGATGTTGGATGGATGGATGGATGTTGGATAGATGGATGAATGGTTGTTGGATGGATAGATGGAGGCTAGATGGATGAGAGTATTGCAGAAAAGCTGTATGGAAGTGAAAATCTTAAAAACAAAATCTATTTAAAATTCCTTCCTGGGAGAAGCACTCTATATTGTATTAATTAACTCAGCTTGCTAATCAGGGAAATGCTAACGATCTCTCCTTCCAGTTGCTGAGGAGAGGTGCTGGAAGAGCACCCGCCTCATTCATCATTTCAGCTTGGTGCTGGCTCTGTTTATTTTTCTGGTAAATAAGGAAAAGAAATTACACCATACTTTGAGCTGAAGGTATTTTCTGTTGGAGTTCAAAGCTGCCTTAATTTCTATCTTGTGGATGCATGGTATACGTTATCTAACTCAAGGCTGGGGCTGTGTCACCTCTTATCTGTCACAGTGCCTAGACCAGTGCTGAACACATACATGCCAAACACCCAGGGGTTCACCTTAAGAAATAAATCCTAAAGGATGTGCTATGTCAGTTTATCTTCATTCACTTTCTCAACATCTACTGACCACCCATTATGTGAAACTGTGGCATCCTGGAATCTGAATGGGACTAGGAAGCAAGGAATTCAGTCTTGCCAAGGGTACTGAGATGTGTATAGAAGGAAGTAGGTTAGAGGGAGATGGAGGGAAATACTTTGAGAAGCCCACAAACAGTTCTACAGGAGCCCAGGTGAGAGGAAGGGGGGTTCCTTTCTGGTTTAGAGGAACTTTGAAGGTTTTAATAGAGAAGGTGACATTTGAGAGACCCCATGGTATGAGGTAGAATAATTTGGAGTTAAAGACCTGGTTAAATTCCCTGGTTTATTTCTCAGCTGAGCCACTCTGAAAATATTGCGTGACCTCTTCTTACCTCAGTTTTTAACCCCAAAGATGGGAATGTTACTATGTACTCAAGTGTGTATATGTGACGGTCTAATTACTTAATAGGTTATGGAAATGCCTTAAGGGATTACATTCATCTTCATTAGGTTGTGGAAGCCCTTAGAGGGTGGCTGGGAGTTGTACATGAAGAAGAAAGCACTTTACAGCCAGAAACTTGCGGGGTGAGTTTCTCCAAAACTCACGGGGTGAGGCGTGGAGTGAGGATGCCCCTGGTCAGTGGTGCTGGCGGCGTGGTGGGGACTTGCGGGAAAGGGGGTTGGGAGGAACTGCTTGAGGGGCCATCCTGAAAGGACTTCTGTTTTGCCTTATCATGCATAACATTTTTGTTTAGCCAATTCATCATCCTGATCACAGTTTTCTTAGGCTATGGCTAAAATTAGCCTGAGTTTCCTGAACTCATTCCAGATGACAGCCCCGTGTGCTTGCTGGCTGCAGGACGCCACGCCTGGCGTGGTTTGGCTGGCTGCCTTTTTGTCCTCTTCTCCTGCTGTGCACTCCGGCTTTCTGCTCCTCTTTTCTCCTTGCCTTATCTTGCTGTGACACTGTTGTGCCTACCTGGGTCTCCTGCAGATGCTTACATTTCAGATGGCCTTGGCCTGACATTAGACTGCATTTGGAAGGGGCCTGTTTAAATGAAGACCCTTGACGGTAGTTAACAAAATCACCTTCACACTGTCTTAAGCCAAAGAGGGACTGTCCTAGGGGAAGCTTGGTGACTCACAGGAAGCCAGGACACACTGCAGGGCCAGGCCGCAGGTGGGACCCGGGCTGGAGAGTCCTCAGAACCAGCCTGCCAGGCTTTCTGCACCAGTGTGTACTGTCGCTCAAGTGCTGTCACTTGCTCTGTGGCTTCTTGTCCTTCCTTTGTCTTTTTCTACTCACTGGCTCCTCTGCTGCTTCAAACCCATTCCCCTCACCCATAGCTGTCTCAGCCCCCAGTTCACATCATGACAGGTGAAACCTACAGCCCTGATAGGATTCTCTCAGCACCAACTCCAGACCCGCAGGTGGAGGCATCTTCTTGGCCCAGCTTCTATTACGTGTCCTTCTCTGCTCCTGCCACCTGGGGCCAGTGGGCCCTGAGCCCCTTAGTGACAGACATGGCTATCAGAGGCCTTTCCTGTGCACAGATGACAGTTCCCAAAGAAGGAGACCATTGTGGGCTAGAAAGAGACTTCACAGGGTGTCCACTAAGATACTCAGACATTACAGAATCCTTTGACTACTAACGGAATCTCTGGAGCCTCTTGAAGGCCATAACAGTTGAAATGGTAGACGTTCATTCATTAAACATTTGCTAATCACCTGTAATGGCAGGCGCTACCTATATTCTGGGGGTAAAGTGTGTGTTGCAGTAGTTGCTTTGTTCTAGCTGGACTTACTTGAACTTCCTGTCTGGTTCCCATTCCAGGCGGCTGGTCTGTTCTGTGGGTGCTGTACCCACTGGGGTCTTGCTCCTCGGTATCAAAGCGCCACCCACGTGCATCTCATGGAGCTTTGCCTGGAGCAAATCTTGGTTTCTGATTTAAATGGGATTAATAGTGACCATCTCATAGAGTTTATGAGGTGTAAATGAGAAAATATATTTGTATGGACTTTGTAAGCTCTAAATTAGTTACACAGTTATGACTTCAAATTCCTAGTGGTTGCAGGTAAATGGTATAGTTCAGTCATGAGAGGTAAATTACAAATGCACTGTTGGTCTTTGAAGCTCTTTAGCTTGAGATAAATCTATTTTTTATTTTCTAGACAATGTGCATTTGATGTTGTATCTTGTAACTGTAGTGATGAATCAGAATTTATTTTCCAAATTCTCTTTAAGAGAAAAAAACATCAAGCTTACTTTTGCTGCTCAGTGAGTTCTGTTACGCAGCATGTTAGAGGCTCACTCACTTCCTATGTTTATTTTTTTCACTGCTCAGCACTAAATAAAAGCTGCCATCATATGTCTTGCTATGGTTTGAATGTTTGTTCTCTCCAAAACTCACGTTGAGATTTAATTGCCAGTATAATAATGTTAAGAGATGGGACCTTTAAGAGGTGATTAGGGCATGAGGGCTCCGCTCTTGTGAGTGGGCATAATGCTTTCATAAAAGAGCTTTGGGGAGTGGGCTCTCTTGGCCCTTCTGTCTTACTGTCATGTGAGGAACCAGCGTGTCCTTCTCCAGAGGATGTAGTATGCAAGGTACTATCTTGCAAGCAGAGAAACCAGGCTCTCATCACCTGCTAAAGCCTTGATCTTGGACTTCCCAGCCTCCAGAACTGTGAGCCAGTTGCTCCTTATAAATTACCTTATTGTTGTTTCCTTATAAATTACCCAGTCTTAGGTATTCTATTACACCAGCACAAAATAGACTAAGACATGACTACTGTGTGGTGAGCACTTTGCATGTATCATCTCATTTTTATCCTTACACCAGTCTACAAAGAACATATTATCTCCACTTTACAGATGGAGAAACTGAGTCTTAGTGTGTCAAAATGGTGTGCACAGTTAAGTCAGTAAGACTCTCAGACTCCAGAGACCCTTCTCTTCCCACAGTACCCCACTGGCTCAAGGGTCAGAATGGGGCGGTGTTAGAACTTCAGGTGAGAGGACATCTCCTCCTCCTGTTCGTGTGGATCCAGCCTGTGGCCGGATGCTCTGGCTGTATCTGGGTGGTTGGTGTGGGAGAGCCTGAACTCCGCCTACTCACTGAACTCCGCCTACTCACTGAACTCCGCCTACTTACTGAACTCCGCCTACTCACTGAACTCCGCCTACTCACTGAACTCCGCCTACTTACTGAACTCCGCCTACTCACTGAACTCCGCCTATTCAGCCCCACCGTCGCTGCTGCCCCACCTGTAGGGAACCTCTACGGTACCTTTGGACTGAGAAACCATAGATCTCTTCTCTCTAGCTTGTCCGCTGCTGCCAGAAGTGTGTACCCCAGACGTGGGCAGCGCCTGGGGTTACTTCTCAAAACCACAGCAAGCATTTATTGTCTTTAAAACACAATAGCATCATGAATCAATTTTAGTGCTAGAGAGATATATGTGACTCTTTAAAATGGTCCCCTAAAATTTGTAAATTACAGGCATCAGCATCAATAAAATAACGGCAATGCCAAACAAATGACTCATCATCTTCCCTCAGGTTCTGTACAAGTCTTACCTTCTCTCAAAGGAAGAAAATGAGTGCTTAGTTGGCTGCTTAACTGGATTCCTCTGAAATTTCACAAGGAGAGAACATGTCACATGTAGAATTGGTGCCTCTAGGGGAGTGATAATCGTTACTTTTAGGTATGAATTTCCTGCCTCCGAAAGTTGGCCATGGACTCTTTTAACAGGTGCAAAATAAACCCTGTCCAGCTTCCAGATAGCTGCCAGCATGATCTTTCTATAATGCTGGTACGATCACATCTCACCCTACTTTAAACCTTTTCGTTATTCCTCATTGCCTTAAGAATAAAAAATTTACCCCCTTCGCCCATCAGACAGACACACACCCTGCCCCTGCCTCTCCCCTGACCCCTCATATCCTGCGTGCAGTTGCTGGGCTCACTGTTCTTTGTCACACCTCTTTGCCAGGTGCCTGCTGCCCCCTCTGCTGGGAACAGCCTTCCTCACCTTTTATGCTCGTGAGCTCCTTCTGATTTGTGCTCAGGCACTGCCTTCTATGCAGTCTTTCCTTCCCCCAGTAATAATCATAATCCGCACCTGTTGTGCGCCAGGTGGTCTTATAGGTGTTCACGAGCACTGTCACATTCGCTCATCACACCGTCCCTTGGAGGGTGACTATTACTGGCCCTTGGAAGGAGAACAAGGGCCCCGGGCACAGCATCCTCAGTGACCCGTAGCCCGTAAGTGTGGAACAAGCCTTTAAGCCCAAATCTGGTTCCAAAGGCTGTATGCTCTCCCCTTCGCCAGGCTGCTTGTCCCAGGTGATTATCCAGCCCCTGCTCTGTGCATTCACTCTACAGCTGGGCCTTACTGCATCTGCCGGTTCCACATCCTTAGATTCAGGCAACCATAGATTGAAAATATTTGGAGAAAAAAAAATAATACAACCAAAAAAATAGAGTATAATGGCCAGGTGCGGTGGCTCATGCCTGTAATCCCAGCACTTTGGGAGGCCAAGGCTGGTGGATCATGAGGTCAGGAGTTCAAGACCAGCCTGGTCAAGACGGTGAAACCCCGTCTCTACTAAAAATACAAAAAAATTCGCCAGGTGTGGTGTCAGGAACCTGTAATCCCAGCTCCTCTGGAGGCTGAGGCAGAGAGTTGCTTGAACCTGGGAGGCAGAGGTTGCAGTGAGCCTAGATCACGCCACTGCACTCCAGCCTGGGCGACAGAGCAAGACTCCATCTAAAAAAAAAAAAAAAACCATTATAACAACTGTTTACAAAGCACTTACATTGTATTAGGTTGTAAGTAACCTAGACCTGATTTAAATTACATGGGAGGATGTGGGTAAGTAGACATGCAAATACTGTGCCATTTTATACCAGAATTCGAGAATCAAGGATTTCGGTGTCTGTGGGGTTCCTGGAGCCAATTCCCCATGGCTGCACTTTTTATTGCTTCAATTAGCACACTCTGTTGTCATTTATTACCTGCAGTTTTACTTTGCTTACATTGTGGGCTTCCTTCAGTCAGGAAGTGTCCTGCTTTATTCTTCTCTCTCCTTCCATGGTCTAGCACAGACCCAGCTCTCAGGAGGTAGTCAGACTCCTGACTGAACTTAATTGAATGTATTATTCCGTGGATATTGCATCTTTTTCATTGAGTCCTATGTTATTACTCACATATTCCGGATCATCGACAGTTCCCTCCCTCCTCTTGTCTCTTGGCTCCTTTCACTTCCTTCCTCTCACAGAAACTTTTTCTGTTTCCGAGGAGGCTTTGCGGTTCTCCCTCCCGCTCCCATATGCTTCCTCCTCACGTGCCACATATTTGCTCTCCTAATCACAGGCACTTCACCTCTTTCCTCCTTCTTTGTCTTTAAGTCTTGGATGTAAGGACCCAGGGCCTAAAAGCAATTATCAAATGATTGCATCGGTGACGGATGGTCCTATTATGATACCTTCCTGTGCTGGGATTAAAGATTTTACCATCAGGTGCCAAGGATGGCTACATTAATGTCATCTTTCTGATCAAGCTTAATTCAAATTTTTGTCGAAGAGAACAGTCAAATTAATGACATTATGATATCAGATTTCTACTTTGGACTACATGGGCCTAAAGTACCATGTGTCTTTTGCAACGTCAGCAGTTGCTGTTAGGAATATTTTCTTTTGTGAGGTTTTTTTTTTTTTTTTTTTCTTCAGTCCTTTTCGTCCTTATGAACCCATCACTAGGCACATAGAGACATTCATTGTTGACTGACTCGCTGGATATATGGCCTGGGGGTGGTGTTCCATTTACTCCTCAAATGTAAGGACAGCCTTCTGACCTGGAGGTGTTAGTTTAGGTGAGGGGATTGGAAACAGGAATAACAGTCCCCGCTCGGAAGCAGAGTGAGTTTTGTGAGGAACTCAGACCAGCTACCAGCTATGCTACTGGAGGTGCATACTGGGTGCTGTTGAAGTATGCAAGAGGCCACCTCACTCAAAGGAAGGGCTTAGGGAGGGATTATGGAAGCAGTCAATTCTGATCAGAGACTTCGAGGCAGCTCTTACATAAATGAGCCAGAAGTTCCGCAGATGAGCAGGCCTGACTTTCCGATCGAGTGGGAAGCGTGGGTGCAGCTTCACAGGCTTTGATTGTGTCAGGGACTCTAATGTGGACATGTAGAGGGTCTTTTGAGTTGAGGGCCAATTAAAGGTTGGGAGGTGAAAACTGTATGTGCACCAGTCATCAAGTTGGCAGTGAAGAATTCGGTGGATCAGTTCTACTCACATGGGCTTGCGGAGACTCCCTGGACTTGAACTTATCCCCCAAAACTTGAGGAACCTGCCTCTTTGTGACTTGGGGCGTAGGAAGTGGAAGTTGCTTCCTACGGACAGGCAGAGCCCAGGTTCACAGTGGAGGGTCCCCGCTGAGTCTGCCTGGCGTCTCCTCCCTGACTTCTCCACGCCCAGGACTCCCTCTGAGCAGTGAGTGGCCAGGCAGGTGCCTGCTCCTGCAACCCTGAAGCCGGGAAAGGGTGGTCTCTCTCCCCATCCTTGACATAGAAATCACCACCCGACATTTTTGCTGTTTTAAAACAGTTCATCCTGCCATGGTAAGTGATGGCAAACATCTGTGTCATTTCATTCTCAAAGGCCCACCTTCTGTGTGCTGCCTGCTTCTGGACACTTTCCTGATGGTCCTGCTGGAAATACCGTCCCTGCCGCTATGAGTTTGAGAGCGGGCTTCAGCCTCCCCATGATGCAGCACATGCTGCCTGGGATGGCGCTGCTTGTGTCAATCTCCCTGAAATGAAGCACCCTCTGTCCAGGGGACTATGTTCTATTTGTCGAAACTTCACAGGACATAAGTCACTGCTGGGCCTGTGCTCTTTACTTTCTTCACCAATCTCTCTGCTCCCCACATAATACTAGACATATTTCCAACCCCTGAAATTCCCAACTGCTCTCTCATATATAAGTAAGCAAAGGAAAAATTATGTGGAAGAATTTTTTTTTGATGTCAAGAAAAGAGGAATTTAGGCTGGCTGCAGTGGCTCATGCCTGTAGTCCCAGCTACTCAGGAGGCTGAGGTAGGAGAATCCCTTGAACCAGGAGGCGGAGGTTGCAGTGACCTGAGTTTGCGCCACTGCACTTCAGACTGGGTGACAGAGCGAGACTCCATTTCAAAAAAAAAAAAAAAAAGGAAATTAAAAAATAGTGATATGTCTAGGATATAGCATGATGCAAACCCAAACCAGACAGACCTGGGTTTGAATTGCAGCTCATGATCTGCAAGGCCACCTATTAAAAGGGGCCTCTAAGCAGAATGTCTCCACCTGTGAATGTGGCCATTCTATCTGACAGGATGTTATGAGACTAGGAGATAATGACGAACCCACCGGCTCTGACCTGCAGTTTCTTCTGTAAAGATGGGGACAGTTCATAGATCTCTTGAGAGGATGAAAAATCATGCATCTCCAGCGTCCAGCCTGGTGCCTGACATGAAATGGAGGCTTACTGGTCGGGAGCTCTGACATTATCTGGAATTCTCCATTACTCTTCTCACACCTGTCCACCATCGTCTGGAATTCTCCATTACTCTCCTCGCACCTGTCCCACCATCGTCTGGAATTCTCCATTACTCTCCTCACACCTGTCCCACCATCGTCTGGAATTCTCCATTCCTCTCCTCGCACCTGTCCCACCATCGTCTGGAATTCTTCATTACTCTCCTCGCACCTGTCCCACCATCATCTGGAATTCTCCATTACTCTCCTCGCACCTGTCCCACCATCGTCTGGAATTCTCCATTACTCTCCTCCCACCTGTCCCACCATCGTCTGGAATTCTCCATTACTCTCCTTGCACCTGTCGCACCATCGTCTGGAATTCTCCATTACTCTCCTCGTGCCCAAGGCAAGGCGAGCCAAAGCTTCCCGTTGACATGTCAGTATTATTATTCCTCCTCTGTTTATGAAAGTGGCCAAGTTGATGAAGGAGAAGGGCTACCCAAAGATGTTCTTTTCTGGAGAAAGCTGTGAATATTTTATGAAACATACCACCAAGTCCTGCCATGGCGCCTGCGCCTGAGCCTCCTGCAGGAGTCACCTTATTAAAATGTCCCTGTTGATGGAGTGTGCTGGCGCATACAGGGAGAGCTTGCCTCTTTTCAGAATCACTCAAAAGCCATAAATATTTTAAGGAGTTTTATCTGCCCACTGTTTTCTGTATGTTAATCTATCACACCGATCACTTTTTCAGGACAAAGTATCTTGCCTTGTTCTTAACAGCGAGTCGCAAATCCTGCTGTCAGTGTCTTTCCTTTCTGCTTTACCTCCATTTTGAAGGAAAGTTCTATGTTGTCCTCATACACACATTGGGACTCTTTTAATGAATGCATGACTCTCATCCCTGAGAAATGTGAGCATATGCACTCAGGTTTGTATCTTAGGGAGACCTGCTCTGGGCGTCTTGCTCTGCTCACGGGCATCAGTGCAGCTGTCGCTGAGTGCCCACCTCGTTCCAGGTGCTGTTAGGGAAGGGGCTGGGAGTGGGGGATGTACATTGTTCTCTGTGCTCCTGCTTCCCCCCACCATGTTCCAGAGGCAGCAACAGTAAGTGACCAAGGAGCACAGCATGGGGTTAGGGTGCTCATGGAGCTGGCGGCCAAGGTGTTGAGGCCAGCCTGGGCAGAGGCAGGTGGAGAAGAGTCTGGATGGGTGTCTTGAAGGTAATGACCTCTGAGTTTGCCTGGTAGGAGGAGCTGACCTCACCTGAGCCTCAGGGAATCTGGTCAGCATGTGCCAGGTTTAAGGCCCAAACTGAGGAGTAACTGAAAAAGAAAGGGGCTTTTAATGGATGTATCAGTCAGGGTCCCCACAGGAAACAGGCAGCACACTCAGAGGGGTAACTGGGGACAGTTGAATAAAGGGGACTTTCCAAGGACCTGGGTGGTGAAGGGAAACCCAGGAGGCATGGGAAGCAGCCTGGGGCTATCAGCAGCTGGGGACTTTGGACCCTCCAGGTAGAAGGACAAGAGGAAGCAGTTACCCAAACAAGTGGGGAGCTGCTGCAGGGGCTGCAGGGGGGAGCTACTGCAGGGGGAGCTTTGGGGGAGCTGCTGCAGGGGGTGCAGGGGGGAGCTGCTGCAGGGGGAGTATGGGGGGAGCTGCTACAGGGGGTGCGGGGGGAGCTGCTACAGGGGTTGCAGGGGGAGCTGCTGCAGGGGGGGGCTGCTACAGGGGGAGCTGCTACCGGGGGTGCAGGGGGAGCTGCTTCAGGGGGAGCTACTGTAGGGGGAGCATAAGGGGAGCTGCTACAGGGGGTTCAGGGGGAGCTGCTGCAGGGGGTGCAGGGGGAGCTGCTGCAGGGGGAGCATGGGGGGAGCTGCTGTAGGGGGAGGTACCACGGGGGATGCAGGGGGTGCAGCAGGGAGCTGCTGCAGGAGGGAGCTGCTGCAGGAGGGAGCTGCTGCAGGAGGGAGCTGCTGTAGGGGGAGCATGTGGGGAGCTGCTGTAGGGGGAGGTACCACGGGGGATGCAGGGGGTGCAGCAGGGAGCTGCTGCAGGAGGGAGCTGCTGCAGGAGGGAGCTGCTGCAGGAGGGAGCTGCTGTAGGGGGAGCATGGGGGGAGCTGCTGTAGGGGGAGGTACCACGGGGGATGCAGGGGGTGCAGCAGGGAGCTGCTGCAGGAGGGAGCTGCTGCAGGAGGGAGCTGCTGCAGGAGGGAGCTGCTGTAGGGGGAGCTGCTGCAGGGGGAGCATGTGGGGAGCTGCTGCAGGGGGTGCAGGGGGGAGCTGCTACAGGGGGAGCTGCTGTAGGGGGAGCTACCACAGGGGGTGCATGGGGGAGCTGCTGCCAGAGGGCAGCTGGGCTCTTTGGGAAGAGCAGAGCAGAGCAGAGCAGAGCCTGGCAGTCTAGGGTCAGGGGAGCAACCACTGCGGCCCTACTCTCCACTGTCTCATCTGGGGCCTCCCGTGGGCTGAGCCTGGCCAGAAGCTCAGGGGCATGCGGAGCCTGTTGATGCTGTCACCTGAGTCTGTCTCTTGGAACACAGCAGAGGGTATAAGCAAATCAGGAGGAGCATACAGAGCATGTTCAGCATGAAGGATTTAAGTGTAATTAATTTTTACAAGGCTTCAAAGCCCAGTCTCCCCAGCCTCTGTTGACCTTCCTCAGTGTTCATCAGACCAGGAAACAGGCAGGCTGGCCTGCGTGGCCCAGGGTAAAACACTGGGCTGTGTCTGCCTTCTGTTTTGATGCTTTCAGGTGGGAGAGGTTATTGGTTGGCAAATGAGGAAAGGAATTTTTTGAGAGGTTCAATAACTTGCCCCATATTCCCCAGTTTTTGACAGGGTGGAATGGGAAGGCACCATTGACCCTTAGCTGCTTCTCACTATACCCACAACCCCTGAATACAGTAAGGTGCAGTAGATTACACTCATATATATTTTTTTCTTATTTAATCCTTAACCCTGAGGGGTAAATTGTATAGTATTTTTTTCAAGGTCATGCAGCTAGTAAATGGCAGGCCTGGAATTTAGACCCAGATATGTTAGTTTCACTGTACCACATGGTCTGTTTTCTCTTCGTATTTTTGAGTGGCAATCATATTTTGCTAGGACTTGACCCTCCTAGATGATAATCATCCATTTTGACCAGTGGTGACCTTGCATTTAATGACCTCCTGCTGGTTATTACCAGAGTGCCCTATGCCCCAGTTTGTCTGAGACAGGCCCTGTTCATACTGCCCTGGAGTAATTATTATTAGTGCCCCCTCCCCATCTCAGAATGTCCTGGAATCACTTGGGTTGTCCTGGTGCTCAGCAGGTAGGGGGGCCTCCATTTGTCTCTGTGCTCGGCCCACGGATGGCGAGAGGCTTGTGTCGACCTCGCCTTCCCTTTGCTTGTGAGGCATCACTTTCATTATATAATTTTTATAAAATCCAAACATGTACCTAGAGGCATTTTGGAATCACATTTGTTTCAGAATCGGAAAGGAAAAGTAAAGTATTTTGGGTAGTTATAAATTACCTCTGTTTTGGTTTTTGGAAACTCCATTTATATTGCACTGTTTTTCAGTAAGTAAAAAGGCTTCTCGAAACTAAGGAAAAGAAAAAATATCTCCCCTCTGGATAGTGGTTTTCAATCTATTCTTAGTCATAGGATGTTGCTTCAAGTGAAACCTTCACAGATCCCCCAAATACATAACAGATAAATGTCACGCTGCTCTGACTGAAGCCAAATATTAACTACACGGGTCATGAGGAACATCTGGCCAGTTAATTCCCTGCATACTTGCTGAGGGCCTTCTGCATACCACGTGTGCTTCTAGGCACTGGGACACAACAGAGAACAAACCCAACAAAAAACACCATCAGAAAGATGCTCTTCTAAGGTCGGGGAGTCTGACAACCACCCTTCAAACAGGCTTCATCCTTTCAACTTATCTTCCTGGTCATACACACCTGGGAGGCCTGTGAGGGTAGGCGTAGATGTCGGGGCCAGGTGCGCCCTGGGCAAGGGGGGCGAGCGGGAGCTTTGTGCTACCAAAATGCTGTAAAGTCAAATGGACACTTGGCTTTAAACGCCTTCTCTGTGTCAGGGACTATGCTGGGAATTGTGCAGAGCTTCTGTGTGACTAGGTTAGGGATGAAAGACCAAACTAGCTCATCAGAATTGAGCAAGTGTTGCCCATCCACTCTGAGAGGCTGCCAGGTATCTAAGATACGTGATGAAGGGCTGTGCCCCTAGTGGCTGTGGGTGCAGGGCTGGGCATCTGCAGTTTGGCTTCTGATTCTGGTTTTCCAAATAACTAAGAGACTTGTTTGATAATTATGTAGTTGGCTATTTACCTTCTCTAGGACTCAGTCTCCTTATTTGGAAACAGAGGACTGTACTGGGAAATTCTTAACTCCCCGCCCCCACCCCTTCTCCATTCATCCTCCACAGATTATGAATCAGTGAATTGTGAGTTCGGATATCACCCAGAGGATAACCTGTCTATGTATAAACACACGTATCCTCATATCTACATGCATATATGTGTGCGTGTCTGTCTGTCTCATCCCCCTACACCCCACCCCCACCACACACATTTTGAAAACCTGGAGCCTCATACTTGCTCTTCCTAGCCTAAATTGTGGGCAAGATGGAAACTGCCAGACTTAAATGTTTCACTCCTCTCTGCCCTGCACAGATTGAGTCTCTGTGCTGCCTCCGTGACCCCCAGTCAGAGTGCGCCATGCATGCCTTCCCATCTCCCTTACAATAAAGCCCATACCCTTGGCCAGTCTTGCCTCAGCTCTTCTCATGGCTGTCTTGTGGCCTGGCCACAAGGAAATGATTTCCATGCCTTCGCCTGTAAGCCTTGGCCATGCTTACCTACTGCCTGAGGCACCATTCCTCTTCTCCCTTGCACTGGCTTTCTCCTCCTCCATTCTCAGGTGTCACTTCTGAGAGGCATTGCTGGAACTGAGGGCCACTCCCACGGTACCATTTGCCTCCAATTCTGGACGGCTTGGCTACATGCCCCTTTCATAGCATCCTTCGGTTCTCTTACAATGACAGTTCTCCAGTTACTTAGTTTTATCTTTGTTGCAGTTGTCTTGAGGGTGGGGACTGTTCCATTTTACTTGATGTTCTGGTCTTAGCATAAAGCACCATGCCTGGTGCACTGGAGGAGCTGAACTGAATACTTAGTAAGCGAATAAACAAAGGAATGACCGTAAAAAGCCTTCCATTTCTACCTTCCTGTGGATCTGAGATTTCATAATTACTAAGACCTTGTACAGACAGTAAGTGCTCTGAGACTTCAGAGGAGGGGATTTGAATTGAACCAGGACTTGAAAGCAGAGTAGAAGGGAGGAGAAGAAGGATATGCTCCTGGTGGTGGTTTCAATGCCTGTAGTATGGTGGTCCTTGCTGTATTTTTGGCCAAGGACTTCTTTGAATCTCCAATTTAAAGCCATGGATCATTCCCTCAAAAGAAAGGACACACACGCAAAATCTCCTCTCTATGTCTGGAGGTTCTTAGACTTCTGGCGCTCATGGAGCTCAGGATCCGAACTCCTATCTTGAACAGAGGCACCACTGAAATGTAAACGTTTGCAAATGTTTATTAAGACTGTATTATGTGCCAGGCACTTTGCTAATTGCCAGGGATGTAAAGATCAGTACTACTCAAGGAGAAAAACAGGAAAGGGATCTGTGTTTCTGAGTATCTCTGTGGAGCTTGGCACTGTTCAAGCCCTTTATATAGGCTATCTTGCTTCGTTCTTGTAACAATACGTTTGAGGTCGGCATTATCCTCTTTTTTTCGTGGGAAGAATTTGAGTCTCAGAGGTGAAATGGCCTTTTCAAGGTCACCCAGCTGGTCAGTAAAAGACTTGCAGTCTGTTTCTCTTGCTCCAAAGCTTGTGTTTCCCTGTCCTACCTCACTGCCCCCTCGCTCCCCCACGACCAAGAACACAGCTGGTGTTCACAGTCTGCTCCCTCCATGTGTAGTTGCTTTGAATGACCATCCCAGCAGCCCCATAGGCCGTGACATCCACTCACCCTGCGGGCATCTTGGCAAGGCCTGGCTTGACCTGCATTCCTCAGTGACTGATGTTGTGTGAACTTGCCTAGGAACTGGCAATCCCCTCTCAGGCATCTTGTCTAGTTTTGGGATAACTGACAGTTGGGAAATTCTTTTTGATCTTCAGTCGAAATCAGTTACCTAGGTACCTGTCAGCAACTTTTCTGGCTTTTCTGTGAACGACTGTCTGACACAAAAATGCGAACCTGGTGTTGATTCTTTGGGACCCGGGGCCTCTGCTCTGATGGCACGATCTGATGGCTGTTGTTCAGGTGCTGAATGAGGAAGCAGGCGGAGAGGCTTTCGTCCTGGCAACACTGACCTTGCCTTTGTTCTGAAGGTTGAGCTGAGCCCTGTGTGATTCATCATCCCGCACTTTGTCATTGGTGTTGCTTTTTGATCTGAGCACCAGACTTTTTTTTTTTTTTTTTAGTTCATCATTACAAAATCCACATTTGACTTGGTGATTTAGCTCTTTGGATAGGCTTGGACCTTTGATTGCTCGTTCTCGTCCTTTCTGCTTTTAAGGAAAGATGAGAGACAGACCCTTCTGCCACACAAGGTCTCCTATGAAGGAGTGGCCAGCCTGGTAGTGCTGCCCGCTGGCCCTCTGTCACTGAGGACAGACCCTCTGGTGTTCTGAGATTCAGACTGCATGCAGTCTCTCTCCTTCCTGGAGCCTCCCCCCACAGGGTGAGTTAGGTAATGAAGATGCGATTAAAGACAAAAAGAAAGTGTCCCAGAGGAGACATAAAGAGGGCAGGGAGAAGGAGCTGAGGAAAGGCTTCACAGAGGAGGTACTGCTAGATCTAGGAGGAGACGAGGTGTTTACCAGGTGGGTAAGAGAAGCATAGATGGAGCTCATTCCAGAAAGGTCCACAGGGTGCTCAAAGGGAGGGAAGCGTGAAAAGATAGGGCACGTCAGGAGGGTTTATACACATGGCGCTCTGCTTTCTCTCCTAAGCAGGTGTCTTTATGAAGTATAGTTATTTTTTTCTCTCTTGACAATAAGGAGGCCCAGTAGTTCCAGGAAGAAAGGCACTGTACTGTGGCCAGGAAGGAACCATCCGACCAGCCCAGGGAATCAAACTGGATAACCAGGGGGAGACAGATTCAACAGTGTTAGCCGAAGTCTCAAGAGAAGTGCTGACTGTTCAGAATAAATTACCAATTCATCCATCAATTTGCCATATATTTATAGACCATTTATTATGCGTCAACCACTATTTGAGCACAGTCGCCATTTCCCTTGACATGAGGCCTCTGGGTGAGGCCACTAATGACAATGATATGCTGCTAATCACAGTAAGAAACAGGAACCTAGGACTTTATGAGCTGGGGTTGGAAAGGGGAGACCTGGGGGAGGGTAGAAGAGGATGGACCAGGTCTGTGTATCTGCATAACCTTCAGTCCTGGGGGCAGGTGGCTGGAGCCGGCCAAGTGGTGGCTGAGTACGTTTGGGCTGTCCCAGGAGCCACGCAGTCAGGGCTGCTGCTGAGTGGGACCCTGCCACGATGCAGCATGGATGACAGGCCCAGGGGGCAAGCGGAGGCAGAGTCAACTCAGGGAGCTCCATGTCGTTAAATGTCGCCATTAACACTGTTTCTAAAAGGGTTAGAAAGAGGAAGTAAGGCTTCAGTTCGAGGCAACTCTGGGAAATGTCCTAATCACAAGAAGGATGTTTAAGAAGTACCTTGTCGGTGTGAACCGTTCTTCTGTTAGCTGGGTAACTACAGCTGGTCCGGGCCTGGTGCCTGGGCTGGGGGAATGGCACCCCCAGGAGGGTGTGTGTCGTAGCTTTTTACAGCACCTGTGTGTGACGCAGCATTCCTGCCGCCTGCGTTGTCATCTCCCTGCCTCAGAGCTGCTGCATTTCAGACTGTGGCTGAAAATATCGGGAGAAACTTGGCCTCTTTCATCTGTTTCCCTAGCTAGTTCACAGCTCCCCCCATCGTGCCATCATACTACTTGCATATTATTTGTCTAAGATCATGAGTGCCCACTTAGATATCCAACTATCGCACGGGCCTGTGAGTATCTCAGAGATCGCAGGGTCTCAGTCATCTTTATTCCTGATGATATTCCATGTTGCCTCATATTTCTCCCTCCCGAGAACATCTTTCTTCATTGATCTTCCTAGAAAATGCCTCGTTCTTCAAGACCCATTGCAGAGCGGGGAGCCCTCCTGGTTCCGTTCAGGCTGTTGCAGAGGTCTTTCATCTGGCTCCATAGCTCTATGCTTACAGCCGACAGCCCTGGCATACAGTGTAGCACATGTATTCTACTGTCATTCTTTGTTTACAGATCTGCCCTCCCAGGAGACAGTTTCATCCCTGCATCTCCAGCCTGGCATATGGTACAATGCTTGGTACCCAGGATAAGTGCTAAGTAACTGCTGAGTGAATGAATAAACATAGGAAGCAAAGGGATGGTCCAGCGTCTGGATTTAGAGATGCATGCCAATAAATTATTCAGATATCTTCATTGATATGCTCAAAAACGCGTATTTCTGTTGCTCAGGAATCAGCTGGTGGTATACACTGTCTCTCTCTCCCAGGTGGGAGGGTGGAGTGATGGAAAGAACACAGGAGTTGGGCTGCCCAGGTTCAAGACCTGATCCTGTTTCTTCTTAGCTGGGTAACTCTTGGCAAGTCACATTTTGTCTTAGAACCTCTTAGTACCTTCATCTGTAAAAAGAATAGTCGTGTGTATCTCAGAGGGTCATTGTGAAGACCAGCTGAGATAGCGTCATGGCTAAGGAGAGTGCTTTGTAGTCATGAAGGTATCATTAGTAATATGGTATCAACTATTCTTCATTGCTACTTATTAGATTCTAGGCACTATTCTAAGATTTCACATCAGGACTTTTCAACAGCAGCACTATGACATTTTTTCTAGATAATTCTTTGCGGTTGGAGGGGGCTACAGGATATAGGATGTTTAGGAGCATCCCTCACTTCAACCCACTGGAGGCCAGTAGGGTCCCTTCCTGCCCCAATCGCTTGTACCAACCAGGATGTCAACCAGATATTGCCAAAGCTCCCCTGTGGGTGGGGTTGGGGACAGAATTGCCCCTGATGAGAGGCGCTGCCTCACGTGAGCTCTGTCATTTAATCTTCACAATTCTCCGAGGTGGGTCCTATTACTAGTCCTGGTTTACAGATGAGGAAACTGAGGCACAGGGAGGTAAATATTTGCCCCGATAATGCTGCACTAAAAATGCTTCTGAAAAAGGGAAGCTCGTAAACAATTGTCATCGAGGGTCTGGAAGAGAGCGCTGATGTAATTAAGGAGGGTGTCTCAGGCTGAGTATGAGGAAACCCTACTGCTAACCCTCTGTTGTTACCTCCCATCCCTCGGTCCTCTCGTCTGTGCTGTGGGAGTGGGGAGCGGCAGGTCTTTCATGCTCCTTCTGCTAGTGGAATTCCTGCTTTCTAGCATCCCTTCATTTCATCACTGGGTGCTTGTTTGCTCAGGATTATGCCTCATCTTCGTAAGTCAGACATGATCCTGGCGCTTCAGACACTCAGCTTTGCAACTCCCTCAAAATGGGAGCCACAGGCATGTGGGGGGTTGAGCTTTATCCTGCCCAGCCCCTCGCTCAGTGGGGGTGAACAGAGTGAGAGGCAGGACTTGAAAGTATTTGCCCAGAATCATACAGCAAGATAGCATCATGTGCAAGAGGCAGCCATGTGTACTCCGAGTCCACACTGCCATTCTTGTTGGCCTTTGCAGGCCGGCCTCCTGAAAAACTTGTCTCTGCTCACTTCTTCAGTCTCTTCTCCTTCTGTCTTCCCTTCAACCTACTCTAATCAGAAGATAGAGACAGAAGTAAGCAGTGAACTAGGCAGGACCAAACCAAACCAAGAGTTGTGTGTTGACCAGCCAATGAGGAAGTTATGTGTGGGAGAGAACATGGTAAACTATGTCTTCTTCTCCCCCATGTCTATGTCTGTGTGTGTGCGTGCATGCGTGTGTGTGTGTGTGTGTGTGGTGGGGGGAGGCTGGTATTTTATTTATTGGACAAATATTTATTGTCTAGCACTATGTGCCAAATACCAACTTAAGACATCTATAAGAATTTCAATTTCTCTGAGACCCAGGCTAAGATTTTCCATTAAATTCACATGAGTCTATTACATCTCTTTCTTTCATTTCCACCTGGGTAGTCAGGAAAACACATTAGACATATTTTTAAAAATTAAAGTTAACACAGAGTGTTACAAACTTTGAGAGAAGCAATAATTTTGAGTTGCACTAGTAATCACAGCAACAACCCCAAATACCACATTTATTGTCTCTTACAAAGCATCATAAGTTACATTAATCACTGGTTTTAACTACATTCTGTTACAGTTTGGACTCTAGTAACTAGGCAAATACAAACCAACAAAACAGCATATAAAACCACATGGAACAAAAAGCACACTACTCTCCAATATGCATTTTCTGGAGCCAATCTGATATTTAACTGGGATAAGACATTCTAAATAGCAACTGAAATATTGATATACCAGAACATCATGAAATAAATATTTTTCCCAACTCTGAAGACATTCCTTTCCTCATGCAAAATTTACCAAAAAGAAAAAAAAAAAGGAAAAAACAAAAAATAAACAAAAAACCAGGCTGGGCATGGTGGCTCACACCTGTAATCCCAGCTTGGGAGGCCGAGGTGGGTGGATCACCCGAGGTCAGGAGTTTGAGACCAGCCTGGCCAACATGGTGAAACCTTATTTCTACTAAAAATACAAAAATTTGCTGGATGTGGTGGTGCATGCCTGTAATCCCAGCTACTTGGGTGGCTGAGGCAGGAGAATCGCTTGAACCCAGGAGGCGGAGGTTGCACTGAGCCGAGATTGCACCATTGCACTCCAGCCTGGGTGACAAGACCAAAACTACGTCTCAAAAAAAAAAAAAAAAAACAAAAAAAAGAAAACCCTACAAAACCAACCCAAGTTCATAGTAACCAGAATTTTCAAATATTTCTCTGTGATCAGCACCTAAAAATGTATTTTAAAATGCTTATTTTAATGGCCAGGCACAGTGGCTCAGGCCTGTAATTCTAGCTGGGAGGCAGAGGCGGGTGGATCACCTGAGGTCAAGAGTTCAAGACCAGCCTGGCCAACATAGTGAAATCCCATTTCTAGTAAAAATACAAAAATTAGGCATCGTAGTGTGGACCTGTAGTTTCAGCTACTTGGGAGGCTGAGGCAGGAGAATCGCTTGAATCTGGGAGGCAGAGGCTGGAGTTAGCCAAGATGGCACCATTGCACTCCAGCCTGGGTGACAGAGCGAGACTCCGTCTCAAAGAAAAAGATATGCTCATTTTGATTTGGAATAAAGCTGCCTGGCCAAAAGATGGCTTGTGGCTAGAAGAGGAAGGACAAATAAGAAAACATAAATGGTTCAAATAGCACTCTATGTACAAAAACATGAAAAGGTGAAAATTTCTTAATTTCAACTTTTTGTTAGAAATTAGTACGTCACATATAGTCCTCCAGGGAGCGCTCTGAGGCTGTTACTAGTCCTTTAGTTAATAAAGCGAGAAGGCCCTGTAACTTAGCCTATAGGATTTTAGCGCTGACGCCTCCGAACCCACCCAGGCTTTCGCCTCGGAAAGGCACGGAAGAGGCCCCATGTTAATACCCGCAGTCTAGGACACGGAGTCATCCTCAGGGCCCTGTCACCCGTGAGTGAGATTACAGTCACAAACACAGGCTTCACAGCTCGCAGACGCACGGCCACCCTCATCTCCAGCGCCCTTCCCTTCCAGAGCGCGTGAGCCTGAATGCAGAGTCCGCTTCGGATCCGGTGCGAGCACAGCCCTGCCAACAAGGAGGCCCCAATGGTGCCCAGGAAGGGAGGGGCTGAGGGCGGGGCCGAACGTACGACCAGGGGTGTTTACGCTGCAGTCTGCGCCAGAGCCGCAGCGGTACATGGAAGACCTGGGCGGGCAGGCGTCCTTACTACGCGGATCATGTTGCGGCTGAAGTCGCGAACCGAGACGTAGCTGGGTGTCCCGACCCTGCATACAGCAGTAGAAGACCTGGGTGACCGTCAGTACCCTGTGAATTGAGGCACTCCTGAAGCCATGCGCTGAGACCTGGCTGGGTGTCGCTACCCTGCTGACGGCTGCGGAGGACCTTGGTGGGCATCAGTACCCTGCGGATTGTAGGGATGCTGAAGCTGCGCACTGAGACCTAGCTGCGTATCTCCCCTGCGGAAGGCTGCGGAGGACTTGGGTGGGCGTCAATACCCTGAGGATTGTGGCACTCTTTCCGCAGTTCCCTGCTCTAGGCTGCGGAGGACCCGGGTGGGCGTCAATACCCTGAAGATTGCGGCACTCCTTCCGCAGTCCCTTGCTCTTGGCTGCGGAGGACCCGGGTGGGCGTCAATACCCTGAAGATTGCGGCACTCGTTCCGCAGTCCCTTGCTCTAGGCTGCGGAGGACCCGGGTGGGCGTCAATACTCTGCGGATCGCGGGGATGCTGAAGCTGCGCGCTGAGACCTAGCTGGGTATCTCCCCTGCGGAAGGCTGCGGAGGACCTGGGTGAGCGTCAGTACCCTGAGGATTGTGGCACTCCTGCAGCTGCGCAGAGACCTAGCTGGGTGTCCTCCCCTGGAGAAGGCTGCGGAGGACCAGCGTGGGCATCAGTACCCTGCGCGTCACGGGGATGCTGAAGCCGCGCACTGAGACCTAGCTGGGTGTTCCTACCCTGTGGAAGGCTGCAGAGACCCGGGCGGGTGTCAGTACCCTGTGGATTGCGGCACTCCTGCAGCTGTGCAGAGACCTAGCTGGGTGTCTCCCTTGCAGAAGGCTGTGGGGGACCCGGGCGGGGGTCAGTACCCTGTAGACTGCGGCACTCCTGCAGCTGCGCACTGAGACCTAGCTGAGTGTCTTCCCTGCGGACGGCTGCGGAGGATCTGGGCGAACGTCATTACTTTGTGGATCCCGGGATACTGAAGCAGCTGAGACCTAGCTGTGCGTCGTCCCCTGTGGAAGGCTGTGGAGAACCCGGGTGGGCTTCAGTACCCTGAGGATTGCGGCACTCCTGCAGCTGCTCGCTGAGACCTGTCTCCCCTGCGGAAGGCTGCGGAGAACTCTGGAGGGCGTCAGTAGCCTGCGGATTGCGGCACTACTGCAGTTGCGCAGAGACCTCGCTGGGTGTCTCCCTTGCAGAACGCTGCGGAAGATTCAGGAGAGCGTCAGTACCCTGCGGACTGCGGCACTCCTGCAGCTGCGCAGAGACCTAGCTGGGTGTCTCCCCTGCGGAAGGCTGCGCAGGATCACGGAGGGCGTCAGTACCCTGCGGACTGCGGCACTCCTGCAGCTGCGCACTGAGACCTAGCTGAGTGTCTTACCCTGCGGTGGCGACGGAGAACCCCGGTGGGCGTGTTTACCCTGTGAATGGCCTAGCGCTGCTAAAGCCCCGCACTGAGACGTAGCTGGGTGTCCTCCCCTGTGCACGGCTGTGGAGGATCTGGGCGGACGTTGTTACTTTGTGGATCGCGGGAATGCTGTAGCTGCGCACTGAGACCTACCTGGGTGTCCTCCCCTGTGCACGGCTGCGGAGGATCTGGGCGGGCGTCATTACTTTGTGGATCGCGGGATTGCTGCAGCTGCGCACTTACATCTAGCTGGTGTCTTCCCCTGCGGACAGCTGCGGAGGACCTGGGTGGGCGTCATTACTTTGTGCATAGCAGGAATGCCGCAGCTGCGCACTGAGACCTAGCTGGTGTCGTCCTCTGCGGACGGCTGCAGAGGATGAGAGGAGGGAGGAGGCGTCGTTACTTTGTGCATCGCGGGGATGCTGAAGCCATGCACTGAGACCTAACTGGGTGTCCCCACCCAGTGGACGGCTGCGGAGAACCCGGGCGGGCGTCATTATACTGCGGGGGCGGGCGTCATTATACTGTGGAAGGTGGTGCTGCGGGAACTGTACAGAGACCTAGCCGGGTGTTCCTGCCCTGCGGATGGCAGCGGAGAACCCTGGGGGGCGTTTTTAGCCTGCGGATCGCCTGGTGCTGCTGAAGCCGCGCTTGAAGACCTAGCTGAGTGTCCTCCCCTGCGGAAGCCTGCGGAGGACCTGGGCGGACTCTTTACCCTGTGGATTGCGCCGCTGCTGAAGCCGCGCACGGAGACCTAGCTGGGTGTCTTCCCCTGTGGTAGGCTGCGGAGGATCTGGGTGGCTCTGGAGATCGCAGGAATGCTGAAGCCTCGCGCTGAGATCTAGGCTGAGTGTTCTCCGCTGTGGATGGCTGCGGATGACCCGGGCGAGCTCTTTACCCCGCTGATCTCAGCGCTGCTGAATCCCCTGCACTGAGACCTAGCTGAGCGTTCCCTACCCTGCAGATAGCTGTGGAGGACCCCGGCAGGCGTCCTTACCCTGCGGATTGCCTGGTGCTGCTGAAGCCGGCACTGAGAGCTACCTGGGTGACACTACCCTGCGGTTGGCTGCGGAGGACCTGGTGAGCGTCTTTACTGTGCGGACTGCGGCAAGGGTGCGACTGCGTATGTTGGTGGGCATCCTTATCCTTCAGACGGCGGCAATTCTGCAGCTGCTCATTGAGGACATGAGCTGGCATCTTTCCCGGTAGGACTGCGGCACGTCTGTAGCCACGCACTAAGGACCTGGGTAGGCGTCATGACCCTGGGAGCAGCGGCACAGCTGCGACTGCGTATGGAGGACCCAGGCAGGCTCCTCACTCTGCCGACTGCAGCGCGCCTGTGGTTGTGCACCAAGGACCCACCCAGACAGGCGTTCTTACCCTGTGGACAGCGGCACAGCTGGGGCTGTGCACCCCAAGATCCAGCTGGGCATTCTTATCCTGCCGACTGTGGCACGTCTGTGGCCAGGAGTTTTTATGGTGTGGACAGCAGCACAGCTGCGGCTGCACACTACGGACCCAGACGGGCGTTCTTGCCTTGTAGACTGTGGCAGGGCGGTGGCGGGGCACCCACGATGCAGGCGAGTGTATTACCCTGCGACTGGCAACACAGGCTGCGCAGCCAGGACTCAGGCGGGAGTCCTTACTCTGGGGGAGTCCTTACCCTACGGACTGTGGCACAACTGTGGCTGGCACAAGAACCCAGGTGGGCGTCCTTACCCTGCAGACAGTGGCAGGGCTGCGCATGGCGGACTCGGGTGAGCCGTCTCATCCTGTGGACCGTGTTACTGTTGCGGCTGTGCACTCAGGACCTGGTGGGGATGGGGTGTGTGTGTTCCTCTTCTGCTGACTGTGACTCCGTGCCAGCTGCACGGAGGACCAGGGCAGGTGTCTTTGCTTTGTCAACGACAGCACTGCTGCAGCAGTGCACGAGAACCAGACCTGGAGCCGGGTAGAGGAGGTCCCTCCCCTTCTGACTGCAACACAGCTCCACCTGCAACCTGAGACCTGGGTGAGCATCTTTGCCCTGCCCCGTGCCATTGTTCTGGCTATACACCAGCGACCTGGACAGGTTTTCACATCTCTATGCTGGATGGGCTGGCCCAGCCGGTTGTGCACTGTGAGGTGCTGCAGGAGGAGCTGCGAGGACACATTCTTCTTGACTTCTCAGCATAGGAATGTCTCACGTCCAGTCCACGTCCCTGTCCTAGTCCTCCTCTCTGCTCCTTCCACACTTCCTCACGGTGGTCTCCTGCACGCTCGTGGCTGTCAGTATCAGACGAGGGCAGCTTCTGCATTTTCTCAATTCCAACCACTCCTCTCCACTTACCTACCCAGTATCTCTACTGGGTGTCTTCCAGTCATCCTGCACTCAACGCGACTGACAATTTACTTCCAACCGGCTTTACAATTTCCCTGACTTTGTTGATGGCAACTTTTTCCTTCCAGTTGCTTAAGCCAGATACGTTGGAGTCATTCTTTACCATTCTGTTCAACTTCATACCTATTCCTCAAGAATTCTGGTTTCTCTATCTCTAAAATGTATTTGGAAGCAGCTACTTCTTACCTTCTTTTCACGGATTCAGGTCACCATTCACACTCACTTGGATTATTGCAATAATTTCCTAACTGGGTTCCATGTTTCCAGCTTTTCTGTCTGCAGTCTGTTTTGTTTTCAACATGTGGCCAGAGGGATCCTGTTAACATCTAAGTGAAATATATCATTTCTCTGCAGTGGCTCCCTAGCTGCTCAGAGTAAAATCTAATGTTTTTACAATGGCCTGAAAGGCTCTCCATAACCTTATCCCCTCCCACTTACCTCCCTGTCTCCTCTCCTCCCTCCGACACTCAGCCCCTGTGTATTTTAGCTATTGAAAGAATATGTGGGCACACTGCTAATTTATTGTCTTTGTGGAGGCTTGGTTTGTGCATTCCTTATTTCAAACACTTATGGGTGGACTCTGGTAATGAGCAGTCATATTTATGAGTCCCCCTCCAAGTGAGGAGATGTACTAGGTGGAATGTGCGCCCTCCCTCACGTGGTATACTCTTGATACAGAGCCAAGCAGGTAGTACCGTTGGTCCTGCTTTGTAGGTGAGGGAAAGCAGACCCAAAATGAAGGAAGTTGTCCAGGGTTACATGCTGGGAAGTGGTGGAGGTAGAATTCAAACCCGGAGCGCAGGCGTTGTCTGCACCTCGGAGAGGCACCGCTCTTCCTGAAATGCTCCTCCCTGGTTATCTATGAGGCTGAAGTCCTCACCTCTTTCAGGTCTTTGCTGAATTAGAACCTTCTCCATAAGGCAAGGCTGATGCTGAGCACCCCACTGAAAATTTTCCTCTCTCCCAAGACCCTCTTCTCAGTCCCTCTACTTGGCTCATTTCAGGTGTCTAGCACGTCACGCCCTTTAATACATTTTGCAAGTATTTCTCCACGAGTGTGAGAAAGTGGTTTTCTTTGGTGGGGGTTGATTTTTCATGGCACATAAAGGGCAGCAGGGTTTCTTTGGGTCCTGTCTGGAGGCCTGAAGGTCACGCTGGGCTTCTGGGGAGCGGGTCCCCTTCCTGCAGCCTCCCTCTCCACTTGCGTGTTTCTCACTCCTCTCTCTCCCTGGGAAGTGTTGCTTGATAAAGATGCAGCTTTTAATTAATGTAACTGTTCAAGATTACAGCCGGTCATCAGCTTTCTAACCAGTGCCTCACAGCTCTGCTGGAAGAGCCTTGCTCCGGTGATGGTTGATTTGCCATTCTCTGTCCCAGCCCAGAGAAGCTCCCCTCACTGTCAACGTGCCATCTGTCAGGTGCATGTTATAAAGCTGTCATCATGATCAGCTCATTCACGCACCAGCTTTAGCTTTGAGGAACTGCCGGCCATGGCGTTGAAGACCTGCTGAAGCCTCCAGCCAGACATCTGATGTTCAGGTCTCAGGGGGTCCTTGCTGCTTGTGTAGCCTGACAGGTGTGGCCACGGCAGGCACACCATGGTTTGGAGTTTGGAAAGAAGAGACCCTGTGTTATTGTAGAGTGACCACTGGATTGGGCTTCTGGAAATCCAATTCTAATCAGACTTGGGTTATGCATTTACTATTTCAATAAAACATTTATGGATGGACTCTGGTAATCAACAGCCATATTTTTGAGTACCCACTGCAGGTGAGGAAATAAATGTACTAGGTGCGATATACATCCTCATGTGCTGTGCTCTTGATACAAAGCCAGTCGGGTAGGACTATTGGTCCTGTTTTGTAGATGAGGGAACTTAGACCCAGAAAATGAAGGAAGCTGCCCAGAGTTACATGCTGGGAAATGGTGGAGCTGGGATTCGGACCCAGAGTGCAGGCTTGCCTCTGTTGCGGCATAGATGTCTTGCTTGCCAGGGCACCGTGCCCAGTGCTAGGTCAGATATGAATGCTTACAGGACGAGGCCCTCTTCTTGAGGACTTCCCTCTCCTTCCCTCCCCTCTACTCTGCTGCCTCTCCGAGTAGCTGTCAGGTCACTGGTAGGTACCAGTTGTGTTGGGTTACATGGTGGATACACGATGGAGTGCTGTGGCTAACAGGGTGGCCAAAGGCAAGACGTTTCCCCTTTCTGACCTTTCCTTTGGCAGCCTCTGGGTGGTGGTGGGCAGGAGGTGTGAGGGAGACATTGAGTTTGAGGTATGGAATGACCGTGCGTGGCTCTCGGAGCCAGCCCGATCTGCGCCTGCCTACGCTGCCACACCCACAGGCTGTCTACATGTTACTGGAAACCCAAGCATGAGTTTCTTCTGCAAAATGGAAGATGACCACCCTTTTGTACTCCTGGGATGAGGCATACTGTGGGTGCACCTCCCTGCAGGCAGCTGTTTCTCAGTGAGCGGTGCCTGTTGCTATTTGGAAGTGACCACCATGTCTCCTCCAGCCAAAGAATTTGGCAATTCTAAGTTCAGAGTGGTGGGTGTTGGTGAGAGAGTCAGTCCACAGGGTGAGGTGCGATGAGTGGGCAGAATGTGCCTGGTAGTCAGAGTGGAGATGGTCTAGGTGTGCTCTCATGACCTCCTCAGCTCTTCAAGGGAAGGGAAGCCACCTGGGGAGGGTCAGTATGGAACCCTTCCTGGACTGGCTGGTATGTCCTGGAGGGAACTTCGTTAGACTTCATAATCGATGCAGTGTGGACTCCATGGGGAGTTTTGGAAAGAAAGCAACAGTCATGAGGATGACTAAGGGTGAAAGAAATTAGGTGTGTGGCCATGGTTGGGATTCTAAGTCTAGCCCTGCCAGTCATTGTCAGGTGACCTCAAGCAGGCACCTTTGTCTCTGGAGGGCTCAGCTTTCATCTCTGCCCAATGAGGGGTCAGGTTTGGCCTCTAAATTCTATCCAGCTTTAAACACTTTAGTTTACTGTCTGAAGTCTTTTTTTTTTTTTTTTTTAAGACGAAGTCGTGCTCTCTCGCCCAGGCTGGAGTGCAGTGGCACGATCTTGGCTCACTGCACCCTCCGCCTCTTGAGTTCAAGCAATTCTACTGCCTCAGCCTCCTGAGTAGCTGGGATTACAGGCACACGCCATCATGCCTGGCTAATTTTTTATATTTTTGGTAGAGATGGGGTTCACCATGTTGGCCAGGCTGGTCTTGAACTCTTGACTTCAAGTGATCTGCCTGCCTTGGCCTCCCAGAATGGTGGGATTACAGGTGTGAGCCACCGCAACTGGCCTGAAGCCTTGTTTCTAATAGTTGTTGGACTTTAAGAGCTTGTTCTTCAGGTCACCATCTGCTGGGAATCATCCACTATTCCCAAGACTAGGCAAGGAACACCAGTAGAACTCCAGCCTCACAGGGACCCCGTAGCAACTTCCTGCACAGGATGCACCTCCAGGGAATGCAGAGAACATGAATCTCTGTCAAGAAGTATTGGTAGCTACTAGAACAAAAGCCACAGGGAAAGGTCCTTATCCCAGATTTTGGAGGTCTTCCAATGGCAAGGATTTTTGAGTGTTTGGGGATGGTTTATGTGTAGGCTGACAAGAGGAAGATGAGCAGGGGGACATTCTGGAAAGCTTTTTTTTTTTTTCATTCAGATACTTGCATTAGGCCATGTGCTAAGTACTTTATATATGCTGCCTAATTTGATTTCATAATAATCTTGAAGTAAATGGATTATCCCCCTTTAACAAATTAGGAAAATAAAGCCTAGAGGGTGTAAGCCCTCATAACTCCTAAGTGACTGAGCCTAGAATCAAGTTCTTTCTGAATCTGAGTTCCATTCTCTTAACCCTTATGCTGTATGTTTAAAACAAATACAAAAATATGGAAAATACAGAAATGTCTTAAAAAGTCACCATCATTTCCAGCACCCAGAGATGATCACGTAGTGAGATGTTTTCTCTCCATCATCCATTTGTCACCAGAGGTAGGCAGTAGTAACTTTTGGTCTTATTGGGGTGGGATATGGGGAAAGAGAAGTGCTTGAGGGGCCAGTCAGTCTGTGGTTTGATTCCTGGACTCATTAGCTGTGTGCCCTTGGATAAGTTACTCAGTCTCTCTGATTCCTTTTCTCACTTGGAAAACAAAATGATATATATTTTAGATGCTCTATGCACTGTGGCCGCGCGTGGTGGCTCATGCCTGTAGTCCCAGCACTTTGGGAGGCTGAGGCAGGTGAATCTCTTAAGGTCAGGAGTTCAAGACCAGCCTGGCCAACATGGTGAAAACCATCTCTACTAAAACTACAAAAATTAGCCTCGCGTGGCATCGGGCGCCTGTAATCTCAGCTATTTGGGAGGCTGAGGCAGGAGAATTGCTTGAACATGGGAGGTGGAGGTTGCAGTGAGCCGAGATTGCGCCCTTGTAGTCTAGCCTGGGTAACAGCAAAACTCCGTCTCAAAAAAAAAAAAAAAGAAAAATTAAAGTAAAAAAAAATGTTGAAGAATAGATTAAATAATGTCTTTTATTAGTAGAGTACATAACTAATGGTGGCTTCCATCAATATTTTGGTAAAAAAGGTTTGTTTTTTTTTTTTTTTTGGAGTGCTTGGAAATTGGCTAAGTGGAGCTGGCCGGCAGGAGGAGGGAGGAGTTTCTAGACTGAGGAGACAGCAGAGGTCTGGGCTGGGGGTGGTCAGCGTTCTGCGGCTGAATCGAAGGGTCGCTGTGGGGCCGGCGGGAGATGGGTCTGCAGAGGTGGAATGGGCGCCACTGTAGAAGGTCTTGAAAGCACGCTGGGGTTGGCCTCTGTCCCCAGGCAGTAGGGAGTCACCGACAGTTGAGAGGAGACTGCTGGGTAGAGCAGTCCTGGGTTGAGGACAGTTTTTAATTCTCTGTTATTTTTGTAACTTCATCGCAGCAGGCGGGACAGCAGATCAGAACCCTTTGAAGCCAACTTCAGAGGCCCCTCTTGCCCCTGCCGCAGCTGACTTCCTGCTGTCTTTCATCTCTGCTGTTATCTAGATCACTGCAGTTAATTATTTCTCCAAATATTAGCTCCATCCTTGACTTTATAATGAGGTTTTCCCTCATCTTCCAAAGAGAACCCCTGGTTTCCACAGGAAATACCCTTGGTAGTAACATTGCGGTGCCTAGGAAGTAGAGACATTTTCAAAGTGTCCTTCCTTGAAGCAAGCTCAGCTGGAAACTTGGGAGGAGTTCTTGGGACTCTGAAAGCCCTGGCTGCCCTTTCCCAGAGCATGAAACGGAGACCCCTCCTATTAACTCAGCCTCGCCCATCCATCTTCCTGCCAGTCTTTCTTGCACATTTATTCAGCATTTAGTGTGAGCCAGGTCTGGTATTAGGCCCTAGGGTTATGAAGCCTGCTGAGGCCATCATGGTATGTTGGACCCTTGACAGGAAGGCAGATATCTCAGGGGGTGCAGGATGAGGGGGCAGGAGACGGAGAGCCTGCAGCGACATGCATGGGGCCAGGCTGCCACCTCCGAGTCGTGGGGCTTCAGATGAGCTATTGCGTCTCACTGTGCCTCTGCTTTCATTAAGAAGGGATGTGATCTCTTACCCAGGGTTTTGCCTTTTATGACTTGTTCTTATATAATTATGGTTTGTTGTCTCTCTCTCTGCAGTCTTCTGTCAGTCCTTGAGGCTGATCCTCAGCCTTTTGGACTGCGACTTTTAATTTTTGTAGCACTGGGAGCGCTCGAGTCTCTGGGAGCAGGGTCACACCAGTCCGGCTTCTGGAGCTAAGACGTATCACCCAGAAGCCAGCCCATTAATATGGCCTAGAAATGGTCTGTCCATCACGTCAGCCTGTTGGCCTCCGCTGTCAATGAACAGCTGCATGGGAAGCCAGGCTGCAAGGCAAGGCTGCTCTATGAGCTCAAGATCGGAGCCAGGCATTAATGAGATGCCCAGCTCTTTACCCTCCTTATCCTGGGATGGGCTCATGTACTTTGTTCTGAAAGCAGGGATGGGTACACTTGGTGGGGGATGGCGATTTTCAGGGTTAGCCATGAAGTGTGCTAAGGGCCTGGCCCGGACCTCTACGCAGCTGGCGTGGCCAGGAAATCTGGAATTATGGATTAGCTCCAACCCCCTGGTCTCCCGGGTGACCTGGAAATGAGTCACCTGGTTCTTGGTAATACGCCAGTGGAGCTAAGATAATAGGTTATTTTTTAAGAGTATAAGCTGTTTAATGTCAGGTGAAGAAATGAAACTTGCCTTCCACTTAGGGTTCACTCTGAACCTGGGGCATCGTAAGAGCTGAGTTCTCTCAGCCCTCGGTCTGAGCAGGTGTGGCGTGCGGTAGGAGGGCTTCTGTGGGAGCTGCTCATGGGGCGGGAGGCAGTGTCTGGTGCCAGGTGAACAGTGTGTTTCCGTGTGTATATATTGGTGTGAATATTTCCATATTATGGGCAGAACCTGAATTCATACAGACACACTCAAATGACTTCAAACCGGGTCAACCTACATATGTTATAATAGCCAGAGGAGACCAACATAGTCACAGTTGTATTTGAATTTGCATAGACATTGCCTGCCCTTATTTTTGTTGTTGTTGTGTTGTTGTTGTTTTTGAGACAGAGTCTCGCTCTGTCGCCAGGCTGGAGTGCGGTGGTGTGAACTCGGCTCACTGCATCCTCCACCTCCCGTGTTCAAGTGATTTTCCTGCCTCAGCCTCCCGAGCAGCTGGGACTACAGGCGTGCACCGCCACACCCAGCTACTTTTTTTATATTTTTAGTAGAGACAGGGTTTTACCGTGTTGGCCAGGATGGTCTTGATCTCCTCACCTCGTGATATGCCCGCCTCGGCCTCCCAAAGTGTTGGGATTACAGGTGTGAGCCACCACACCTAGCTGCCTGCCCTTATGTTTTTAAGCAAACACTCAGAAGGTCTACCAGCCTACTCATCTATCAAGTGCGGGACCTCTCCTGTGTGCCAGACCCTCTGCTTGGCTCTGGGAATCTGTGATAAAGAAGGCGAGGTTCTCATCTTTATGGAGCTCAGTGTCTCTTGGGGAGACAGGCAGGAAGGCAGCTTAGGCAGCTCCATGGCCCTCTGCCTGCTATTCCAAAATCCGAAAAGCTCCCCAAAGAAAGGCTTTTCTTTTCATGAAGATGGTATCCAAGCCCATTAGTGGTGAAACCTGGCATAAATTTGTATGGGGCCATTTAAAGTCTTCCCTTATTTCACGTAGTAGGACTATTTATTGATTTGACTGCAGACTTAATGCATCTGGTTACAGGGGGCTGCCTGGTCCATGGTGTATATACCCTATGGTCTTTCTAAAACCCGAGCAAGTCTTAGTTCTGAAAAACACCTGGCCTCAAGGGCTTCAGATGAGTGTATTTCTGACCTCTGAAAGATAGAGACATTCGTGCGGATAGAAGAGGATGAGGTGCTGCCTCTGGGGAACACTCGGGGGGGAAGAGGCTTTTGAAGCGGGCTGCCCAGTGGGAGAGAAGAAAAAGGCCATCAGTGCATTGAGGGGCTTCGAGGAGAAACTTGTACAGCCCACAGTGGGAGCTTGGTTTGCTAAATCATGAGGTGGAGCTATTGTTTTTATTTCTGTGTTTGTTGTTTAAGTGCAGTTTGCTTAAATATGATTTTCATTTTTATAAATACAAGCACAGCAGAAGGGTCTAGAGAAAAAGGCTTCCCAAACCTTACTACCCAGAAATCGACGTTATTAATGTTAGAGAAACCTTCAAACAGACCCGTCCTCTGCATTTACGTGTGCTGAGAAAGACTGGCAGGAAGGAGAAGTTATTTCCCCTAAAAGTGGATCGTACTCTACTTGCTCTTTTAAATAAAACTATTAATTTAATTTTACGTTAGCATATCAGAGAAAAAAATAAGTCGAAGTGAAGTTTATGGAATTGCTGAGCTTCTGATATGTTTATTCATGACGAGAGATATGATTCCCTATCAGGTCTCTTTAAGATGAAGAAAAAAGATTGTGAAAAACCTGAGGAAGTAGCGTAGTTGTATTGTTCAACTGTATATGTCACATTTTCAAATTACTGATGAGTTTCTTGTTAGGAAAAATAAGGGAATTTATGCACTTAGACTTTTTACCATCTCCCACCCCACCTTCAAGTACTGGCCATTTCTTCTTTGTTAAGGGTTATAGCATTTATATTCAGCTCTCAAGTCATAATTTCAAAAGGTCCCAGTCCTCGTTGTGTGTTTAAGCGGAGATGAGGCTTGCCACTTCTGTGCTACAACTTTTCCATTCCCAAGTTTGTTCTTGTTTATCTCTAGGTTGGTGGACTCTTATCACTAAGATGGTTTTGAGGATGGATACCTCTTAGGTGATAGATTTTCACATTTCTTGCATAACTATCAGTTAACAAATACTGAGCACCTACTATCTGTCAAATGGGTTTTGGGACACTGGAAATACAATTGTGAACAAGACATTTAAAGTCCTGCCATCACGGAGCTTATATTCTAATGAGGAGAGGGTAAAGTATGAATGTGAACAAATAAATCAAATAGCTTCTGAGAGTGCCAGTTCCAGGAAGAAATATGAGTATATGGTCCAGAAGGACTAGGGAGGCTTGTATAGCCAGAGTGACCAAGGAGCATCTCTTGAGGAGGTAGCATTTGTCCTGAGGTCTGAACCATGAGAAAGAGATAGCCATCTAAAGAGCTAGGGGCTCTGGTAAGCCACATCTTCCAAGCAGAAATCACAGCTGGTGCAGAGGCCCAGAGATGGTACCACGTGGTAATGGAGGAGCTGGGAGCTGAAGCCTGCTCTCCAGGACCTTGTCAGTGATGGTGGGTTTTTCTGGGGCTGGCGGCGACAAGCTGCAGGAGAGAGCCAGGGAATGGTGCGGTTGCTCGTCATGCATGAGAATGGTCACTGTGACTGCTGGTTGGAGATGGATTGCAGGGTGGAGAGGGAAACGTGGACGAGTAGAGGCAGGGGAGACGAGGTGGGGAGCCAGTGGCATTGTCCAGACAAGCGATGACAGTGGCTTGGATGAGGGCGGCAGCAGAGGAGGTTGGCGACAGTGGTCAGACCTTAGATGCACTGAAGAATAAGCAAGGGTGTCTTTTAAGGTTTTGGCCTGAGCAGCTGGACGGTGGTTGTTTTATTTACTGAGATGGAGGAAGCTCGGTGGGGATTAGAATGTGGGGAAAACACAACCATATTCTTCAGGCGAGTCATGTGTGAGCACCGTTCGGCTCTTCAGCGGGGCTGTGCGGGAGCCTGTTGGTGTTCCATCTGTGCTCCAGGGAGAGGTCTGGGCTGGAGGGAGAAGTGTGAGAGTCAGCAGCTTAGAGGCAGCGTTTAAAATCCTGGGCCTGGATGACATTCCTGAGGGGGTTGCAGAGATAGAGTGCTGTGCTTTCGAGGCACCCCGACATCTGCAGGGTGATGGGGCCGGGGGGAGGGCACGGGAGACAGAGGAGGAAGAGCCAGGGACTGGGAAGAAAAGCAGGCAGCTCAAAAGCTGGAAACATGGGGCGTGGCTTAGGAGCAAATGACAGCTGCTGAGAACGTCAGGAAGACAAGGCCAGGATGTTGACCACTGGCTTTGAGATTGGAAAGAGTCATTTCAGAGGAGTAGGAGGATGGCAGGCTGACGGTGGCAAGAAGTAGAGCCAGCCCGAGCAGGCAGTGCTTGCAGGAGCTCTGCTGTAGAGAACAGGGAAACAGGATGGTGGCTGGAGGGAGGTGTGGGATGAAGAGAGGGATTTTTTTTTTCTTTTTTTGAGACAGTCTCACTCTGTTGCCCAGGCTAGAGTACAGTGGCGTGATCTTGGCTCACTGCAACTGCTGCCACCTGGGTTCAAGCAATTCTCCTTCAGCCTCCCGAGTAGTTGGGATTACAGGCGCCTGCCACTGCACCCGGCTAATTTTTGTATTTTTAAAAAAGTAGAGATGGGGTTTCTCCATCTTGGTCAGGCTGGTCTTGAACTCCTGACCTTGTGATCCACCCAGGATCCCAAGCCTCGGCCGCCCAAAGTGCTGGGATTACAGGCATGAGCCACCACGCCTGGCCGAGAGAGGGATGTTTTGAAGGTGGTGTTGGCAGTGTGTGATTGTGTGCACTGACAAGGATTGAACAGTGGAAGAGACGGGTGGAGCAGGACGGGATGGGGTGCCTGGGACCAATCCCCCAGAGGCAGCAGGAGCTGGGCACCAGGGCACAGGTGGAGCTGTGGCCCCTGAGAGCCATGGGGAGGCTGCTGCCCTCATCACAGAGGAAAGGGGCTATGTGGGGCTGCAGTGCAAAATTGTTGGTGGAGAGACGTGTCATTTCAACCGACTGCCTCACCTGCTCCCCTTCCATTTCTACCCCGCTTCTTCTGTCTCTTCTTGCCTCTCCCTGCTCCTTTCATCGTCTTCCCCTGTCCTTCTTCCTCTCCCACCATCTCCTCTCTCCCCTCCTTCTTCATCCTCCATACTCTGGGATCCTCTTGTACTTTCTTTGTGGTAGCACATTTCAAAACCTGTGTCTTTCACCCACACCATACCCGCTCTCCAGCACACGATCCAAGCCCTGGTTAGGCTTTGTTTCTGGTTTAGTCTTCAGGAGGATGGGAAGGATCTGGTAACCTGCTAGGTTGCCTTCTGCTTCAGGTGGGGAAAGTCATAGTTAGAAAATGGAGAAGTCTTCTTAGAGTTGTGTGTGCAAGTCTGAACGGCTTCATTTTTATTTCCTTCTGCCAGCCTACCCTTAGAAAAAACCACAGTGATTCCTAAGGGGGTGTGGGGTGGGGGGAAGCTATAGGCTTAGGGGAGAGTTCTGCCAGCACTTTGAAGAAGAAATGTTTATTTTTAACAATGAATCAGAGAAATGAGAGGCAATGCGTTGACAGAGATAGGCTGTGGCTCCCCATGTGGAACGCGCCAGATCGGGACACGATTACCCACAGCAGAGGCTGTCATCTGCTTTTGTAGGGGCAGGGTGGCGTGGACCTCAGCAGGCTGCTGCCGTCCATGACTTGCCCCTTTCTTCTCTAAGTGAGTAGGCAGAGCAGAAGGGGGATGCTCACTCTGAAATAGCAGAATTGGTCACCTGGTGGGATTGAAAGTCCTGGGCTCCCTCCAGCACGTCGGCTTCAGTGAACCCAGTCCTCAGAGCTTAGGCCGGGCTGCCTGACGGGGCTTCCCTGGCATTTCCATTCGAGAGAGGTTTTGGTGGTTCTCATTTCACAACAGAAAGAGCTTCTGCATGGAAAAGAAAGGATGGTTTATATTTAAAGAGAGAGATTTTATCAGGATGGTAAAGATACAAGAGGTTGAAATTTCTGTTTTTCAGTCTAGACCAGTGGTTTCCAAGCCTTTTTTTTTTTTTTTAAACAGTAAGATTCTTTCTGCAAACATACTTATGCAGCAGGAACCCAAAGTGTAAAATAAGGGCAAGTGGTGTAGTCCTGCTGGACGTGGGCGTGTGGGCTCGTGGAGCCTTCATCACATAGTCCACGTCACTCCTGTAACTACAGCAGGAGAGACTGTGGAGCGTCGGGGAACTCTCTTTTTCAAAGAGTCATGGGGCATGAGGTTTGCAAAAGGTGTTTGCAGTGAAACATGGAGCTCTGCAGAGTGTGCTCTCCCTGCACCCCCATCTCCACTCTCCATGAATCTGTACCTGGATTGGCTATAGATCACACAGATGTAAAGCTTTCAGAGTCGAGCGTTGCGAGCATAGGCCTCGGAGTCCAGCCTAACGCTCATCCCAGGCCTCTCCTCTTGGGCAAGTTACCATACCCCACTGGATATCAGTTTCCTGTCTGTAACAGGAGCCTAATGATACACTTACTCCAAGGATAGAAGATACCAGGCAAGAGCTTAGCCCTGTGGCTGGCACTTACTCATGCTTGGTAAACGTCTCCAAGGGAGGAAAAAGCTTATCCTACCCTTTGAGGTTTCAGGCCCCAGAGCCAGGGCTTTCTGACAGATGCATCACCTGGCTGAGGGGCCAAGGACCATGCCAGATCTTTCAGGATGCTGCTCACCACTGGGAGCCTTGGACAGTCCTGGGCCTGCCTGTCAGTCAGCAGCCTTGTCCTCGGCGGTTCTTGGGCAGAAGAACTCAGAAGGCGACATTAGCACTGGGGAAGTGATACATTCTGATTTCCATGCTGGCCTTTTAGAAAGGTAGGCTTGGGTCAGATCATGAAGGCCCTTGAGTGTCATGTGGTGAGCCTGGATATCATCCTATAGGCTACTATTGAAGGCTTTTAACCAGAGAAGGGACACGCTCAGCCTGTTTACCATGGATGAGGCAATTATATGTGGATTAAAACAGCTGGGTTCCCATCTGAGGCAGAAAGGAAGTGAAAGTGAGGAGACTAATAATATTTTTATTACCCTATCTATTTAGGATTTTTAAGTGGACAGTTTTAGATTTATAGAGATTTATTTTCATTATAGCAGTATAACATGTTTACTATAGAAGATGCTAAAATTGTAAGAATGTTGGAGGAAAAAAATTAACCATGGTTCCACTGCCCAGCCTCAATCATTGTATGTTGTTATTCCCTTTTCTATGCATAATTATAATAATAATAGCTACCATTTTCTGAGTGCCTACTCCATGATACATACTATTCTAAGCTTTTTATTAAAACAGTCACTTGGATGATGGTGCCTGTGAACAGCCACTGCACTCTAGTCCGAGCAACACAGCAAGATCCTGAATCTTAAACAAACAAACAAAAACCCAAGCCTGGGCCAGGTGCGGCGCTCATGCCTGTAATCCCAGCACTTTGGGAGGCTGAGACGGGCGGATCACGAGGTCAGGAGTTCAAAAGCAGCCTGGTCAACATGGTGAAACCCCATCTCTACTAAAAATACAAAAATTAGCTGGATGTGGTGGCCCGTGCCTGTAATCCTAGCTACTTGGGAGGCTGAGGTGGGAGAATCACTTGAACCTAGGAGGCAAACGTTGCAGTGTGCTGAGATCACGCCACTGCACTCCAGCCTGGGTGACAGAGCGAGACTCCATCTCAAAAAACAAAAACAAAAACAAAAACAAAATAACAAAAAAACACCAAACCCTTCTGTGGGTATTCTTTTCTCCAGTTTACACAAATAGAAATGGAAGGGCAGCGAGGTTAGGTGGTTTGGCCAAGACCTCCCAGCTTGTGAACGGTGGTGCTGAGATTTCCGTCCTCACCTTTCTCTCTGTGGTTCTCGCTCTTCCCTGGGTACTGCGTTGCGTGTGCGTTTCTGCGCTCTACCTTATTCACTCAGCGCTAATACAGAAGCATTTTCCCATTCCACTCAATGTTCGTCAGTGTAATTGTAAAGACTGTCAGCGATGTTATCAGAATATTCTGAATATTTTTCCCAATGTTAGACCTTGAGATACTGCCCCATTTATTTGTAATTTTATTAAACACTGTTTGATATCTCCGTGGAAAGGTTTTCCTGGTCATATTATTAGGATAGATTCTCTGAAGCAGAATTACTGAGTCCAAAGATGTGAATTTTTTTTTTTGAGATGGAGTCTCATTCTGTCACCCAGGCTGGAGTGCAGTGGCACGATCTCAGCTCACTGCAACCTCCGCCTTCCAGGTTCAAGCGATTCTCCTGCTTCAGCCTCCCGAGCAGCTGGGACTACAGGCACATGCCACCATGCCCAGCTGATTTTTTTATTTTTAGTAGAGAGGGGGTTTTACCATGTTGGCCAGGATGGTTTCGATCTCTTGACCTTGTGATCCACCTGCCTCGGCCACCCAAAGTGCTGGGATTACAGGCGTGAGCCACCGCGCCTGGCCAATGTGAACATTTTTAAGTCCTTTGTTACCTGCTGTCAAATTGCTTCCCAGAAAAGCAGTCCCAAGTCAACGTGACCAGCTGAGTTTGAGGATGCCCCTTGTCTGAAATACATAGAATTGTGACCTCCAGCCACACAATCTTGAACTAAATCAGACCATTTTGATGTATTTTGTTTAACAATAGGAGAAAAGAACGTGTTTAACAATCTTTTGCAAAAGCTGTATTTCTAGCAGAAAAATTAATGTGAACATCAGGCTGGAAAAATATGAAGTTAATAACAGTTTGTCAAAGGCTAGGCTATTCAAAGCAGTATTTTCAAATTCAGTCATTTATATTCCTTTACTCCTTTACCCCTTTTCTTTTGTGTATCTGTCACCACCTAATGTTAATTAGGTTGTTAAAATGCATTAACATATCAAGACATGGTGGCACTTTCGCCTCTCACCTGTCTTTATTATTTGGGAAATGCAGATGCCCTTTCTGCTGATGCTTCTGGGGCATTATTTCTCACTGGGGCAAGCTGGGATGGAGTTATATTTGTGTCGAGGAAAAAAAATGATTCCACACTTTATTCAGCACATTTTTCATCCTTAGAAAACACATTGCTGTCTAATGTTATATTTCAGGTTCTTCCTTCCTTTAAATTCTTAGGGAAAAAAAAAAATCACTGCTGGGCCCAGGTCAGAAAAACATGTAGCTTTTATGTGGCTGTTGGGTCTGATAACAGAAACATGTGGCTTTCATATGGGCTGGAGAGAAACTCACATTTCAGATAAGGAAGAAATGGGTCAAAACATTTTAAAGCTGCTGCTTTCCCTGACAACATCCTTTGCTTGTTAAGCACGCTTCAATTTGATTTGGTTCCCAGGCTTGCTTTGAAGACATGCTGTGTGCTAGAGAAGGCTGGGCCTGAGGAGTTGGAGGTGAGTAAGAGTGTGCGTGGTCCCCTGGGAGAGGCAGAGATGGTACCAACATCTAGAAACTGCAGTGAGTGCTAGTTAAGTCATATTCACGGAGTTCCTCCTGTAGGCCGGGCCTCGGGCGCAATGCTGAGGACAGAGATATGGACTGAGGGGCACATGGACTGGTGGGTGGAAGGCAGCCTTGTCTTGAGAGAATAGCAGATTGAAACATTTGGGTGACCATCTTTTTCTGGTCCCCGCCCCAAAAGAACGTGCGACTTGACATGGTTTTCCCTCATTTGTAAGTGTTTTTATGCGAAATGCCTTACACAGGAATCAAATGTGCATTTCTAAATGTACTGATTGGCCGGGCGCAGTGCTCACGCCTGTCATCCCAGCACTTTGGGAGGCTGAGGTGGGCGGATCACCTGAGGTCAGGAGTTTGAGACCACCCTGGTCAATATGGTGAAACCCCATCTCTACTAAAAATACAGAAATTAGCTGGGTGTGGTGGTGGGTACCTGTAATTCCAGCTACTTAGGAGGCTGAGGTACGAGAATTGCTTGAACCTGGGAGGCGGAGGTCGTAGTGAGCTGAGACTGTGCCACTGCACTCCAGCCTGGGCAACAGAGTGAGACTCTGTCTCAAAAAAAAAAAAAAAAAGCATTCATTTTATTCTTCACCTTGACTATGTGGAGCAAAATACTGAGAATAAAGAGAAGACATTGGAGCCATCTTCTGTGGAGAGACGCCAGAGCTGGGATTCCAGGCTGATGGGTGCTGAACAGCCTGAGATGTGGTAGTGGACTGTGAGGAGCAGAGGTCCAGGCAGAGTGTGCTGCTGAGGAAGGAGGGCAGGCTTCTCAGCTGCAGACGCACTGGGGATAGATGGCATAGGATGGTTAATCTTGGCCTTGCTTCTCTGAGAAAACTTTGGTCACACCTCCAGAGCCAGGGTGGGTGCCTCCCTGGAGGAGGGGGCTTTCCTGGTTGGTGGCACAGCAGGAGTCCAGGCTTTGTACCGTGGACACCATGGGCTATGGCAACACCTTCCTCACCATCCTTCCATGAGGACCTCGGGAGAGAGTGGACATGAAACCCTTTGTGCTCTGAAGCATTCAACAGAAGCTTTCTGGTTCTGTGCCTATTTCTTTGGCACTTGAGCGTGTTTGCAGGTTCATTACACACATGATGAAAGCTCTGGCCCATAGCACTAGAATTCATGTTTTTAGGGTTTGTGAGTGTGACAGGTGCTATGGTTTGGATGTGGTTTGTTTCCACCAAAACTCTTGCTTGAAGTTTAACTGCCAGCATGGCAGTGTTGGGAGGTGGGGCCTAGCGGGAGGTGATTGGGTCATGGGGGCTGAACCCTCCGGAATAGATTGGTGCTGTCTCCTGAGAGAGTTCTCGCTGTCATGGGGCTGGATCAGTCAACATGAGAGTGGGTTGTTATAAAGCAAGACTCACTCCTTATGCACGTCTCTTTGCATATGCCCTCTGGTGTTTCTTCTTGTCTGCTACATCTTGACGCAGCCCATGGCCCTCACCAGAAGCCGAACAGATGCCAGTGCCATGCTTGTGGACATTCCAGCTACCAGAATCATAGCAAAATAAACCTCTTTTCTTTACGCATTACCCACACTCAGGTATTCTGTTGCAGCAACACCAAATGGACTAAGACAAGAATGAGTGTGGCGTGGTGTTTTGTACTGTTAGCTGTTGTGCATCACAAGTGAAAGAAAGTTTACTCATGTGGTTCTCAATTTCCACAGTGCTGAGTGTTAAGTTACAGGGAGAACTATTACAGACCCACACATGATATGGAATGTTCATCACTGACCATGTATGTGCCTTCTATGACCTTGTATGTACTTGATTCCCCTGGATCATTCAACATCTCTTCTTGGGAATCTTGGCCTTTTGATGAAACAGGGTTAATTCCAAGGTGTCATTTCTTAAAGCAAACTTTGAGCTGAAATAACATCTGACCAGGGGAAAGTGATGCCATCGCCTTCTTCTTCCCCTCCTCCTCCTCCTCCTTCTTCTTCATTTTTATTATTATCATTATTATTATTATTTTGAGACAGAATTGTGCTCTCTCGCCCAGGCTGGAGTGCAGTGGTGCAATCTTGGCTCACTGCAACCTCCACTTCCCAGGTTCAAGCGATTCTCCTGGCTCAGCCTCCTGAGTAGCTGGGATTACAGGCATCTACCACCACGCTTGGCCAATTTTTGTATTTTTAGTAGAAATGGAGTTTTGCCACGTTGGGCAGGCTGGTCTCAAACTCCTGACCTCAAGCAATCCGCCCTCTTGGCCTCCCAAAGTGCTGGGATTGCAGGCATGAGCCACCATGCCTGGCCTGCCTTTTTATTATTATGCACAATTAGACGTTTTTGTTGCCAGTGTGCCACTGTAGTTATAAAGTGGGGAGAACAATAGTCCAGGTCCTTGGGTGTAGGGAGAGCACTTGTAATAAATATGAACAAACTTCACTGCCCTTCTGCAGGTGCCTCTTTTCTGCTGGAGCCGCTGCTTGTGGCCTCTCTGGTCCTGGAGGCACTTTCCAGGGGAGTGTTATCTTACTTCTCTGGGGCCTCATCAAGTTAAGGAACTTGCCAAATTCAAACACCTGTTAAAGGAGCAGAACCAAGAGTGAACTAAGTGTCACCCATTCAAAGTCTGAACTCTTCTCAGATTCTTTGTTGCTTCTGGCCATCTGTATTAGTCTGTTCTCACTCTGCTAATAAAGACATACCCGAGACTGAGTAATTTATAAAGGAAAGAGGTTTAATGGACTCACAGTTCCACATTGCTGGGGAGACTTCATAATCATGGCAGAAGGTGAATGAGGAACAAAGTCACGTCTTACATGGCAGCAGGCAAGAGAGCATGTGCAGGGGAACAGTCCTTTATAAAACCATCAGATCTCGTGAGACTTATTCACCATCACGAAAACAGCATTGGAAATACCCACCCCTATGATTCAGTTACCTCCCACTGGGTCCCTCCCATGACATAATTCCCATGGGAATTATGGGAGCTACAATTCAAGATAAGATTTGGGTGGGGACACAGCCAAACCATATCACTGGAAAGCTGTACAGTTGCTGGAGAGATGATAGGATCCATCCAGCTTTAGGAATGTCAGAGTTGAAAAGCCTTGAGCCATTGCTGGGTAGGCCCCCTGTTGACTGGTGGTGACTGGGGGCAGGGAGGGGAGGTGGCTGACCTGGTGTTAGAGTGCAGACCTCTGAGTTTGGGACTGTGGCTCCTGTGTACCTGCATGTGACATCCTCTCAGTTCCTGCATGGGCTCCTCAGAAGATGACACATTCTCAACCCTGAGCTGCCTCTTCTTAAAGTGGGTGCAGTTCCTCTATCAGACCCCTCTTTGTCCTTGTGATTCATGTTTTTGCCCATACTGCCTTCAGTTCCTAGAATAATTTCCTTTCCCCACCTAGGAAGCTCTTTTCCATCCATTCATCCCTGCCCCATCCCACCTCTGGCCTTCTGTCCCATATCTGGAAGCCCTCCCCCGTGTTCAGCCATGTACCTCACTAAGCCTCCATCCAGTGCAGTTGCCACTCCACCCTCCCTGCCTGAGGCCAAGATTTTGGTGGGATCAAAGAGTGCTGAAAAGCCTGGGCTTGAACTTGAGTCCAGCCACTCCTGCGTGACTTACCTTCTCTCAGCATAACAGCAGTGTCTTCCCATGGCACTGCTATAAAACCACAAGCACTTTTGCAGTTTTCTCCTTGCCTTTTGTTAAAATGAAATGTTCTCTGAAAAGTTCTTCCAAAATTCTATACAACTTTGTATTTTTGCAATTTGAACGCAGAGAAAAGCATGAAGAGATGGTTTGGAACAGGTTCTTTCTTGTCTGGAAGCTGATTCTGGGACAGTTTTTCTTTCTTTCACAGTAATTTCCAGTTAAATGGAGATGAACTGCATGCTTTGAAGACAGTTTGCCTTGCAGTGTTTCTACTAGTGTTACTGGTTTTTCACACTTTGTATCTAATTATTTTATCTCCATGACAAATGCAGGATAAAGTTCTCCATTTTCTGAGGAAAGTCATGTTTTTCCATAAGAAACATCACGATTGTCCATGCTGGACTTTTCTATCTGGGGCCACGCAGCCTTTTCCATCTCCTCTCCCAGGTTTCTCTTGTTCTGGCCCTGCGGTCCTGCAGCTTTCCTGCCTTTCCGTTTTCTACACAATCATTCTTCCGCCTGCATTGCTTTCTCCCCATCTCAACATTTCTGGTCCCATCCCTGGGGCCTGGCCCAGCTGCCGCCTTGTTCAGGAAGCGACTCCTGATGTCCACAGTGGGAAGGGTCCTCTCCCTGTTCTGTGTCCTTGCCTTGTCCATCACATCACATCGACCAGCCACTTGGCCTTGGAGTCCCCCCAGCAAGCATCTGCCCTGCTCAAATGCATGCAAGCAGAAGATAGCGGAAGGCACCTTCTCTGGGCTGCCTCAGCCCTGGGGCTCAGGCTGGGATCTCTGGGGTCAGCTCTTAGAGAGTAGGCATCTGGTCACACCTGCCTTGGTACCTAACTCTCTGAGATGACAGAAAAGAAAGCTAGAAAGTCATTAGATTATCTTTTTATTTTTTATTCTTTTCCACTAAGCTACATGTTCCCTAAGAGCAAGGATTATGTTCATTCACCCATTTATTCATTTACTCAACCATTATTTATTATCTTCTGTTGAACAAGTGAACCATGATCCCTGTCCTCATGAAGCTTTCAGTCTAATGGGAAGATATTTGTTCAATACACAAACAAATATGTATTATATTTATATTTTGTGGTTATATTTTCTTCCTTTTTTTTTCTTTTGAGATAGGATCTGGCTCTCTCACTCGGGCTGGAGCACAGTGGCACAATCTAGGCTCACTGTATCCTTTACCTCCTGGGTTCAAGCGATCCTCCTGCCTCAGCCTCCCGAGTGGCTGGGACTACAGGTGTGTGCTACCATGCGCAGCTAATATTTAAATTTTTTATAGAGACAGAGTCTTGCTATGTTGCCCAGGCTGGTCTTAAACTCCTGTGCTTAAGCCATCCTTCTGCCTCAGCCTCCCAAAGTGCTGGGATTACAGATGTGAACTATTGTACCCAGCTGATTTTGTGGTTATGTTTTCTATACATTATATAAATGTTATTTACATTTTATGTTTATGTCAGATGTAATTACATCTATGTCAACTACAAATTTTAACTGGCGCATGATAGTTGCTTGCATGGATGAACTCATAGCAGCTTGGATGTGGCCTTGGTGAGGGCTGTGTGACAGTAGGCGCCGATGCCAAGGCCAGCCTTGGGGTGCCACGGCCGATCTTCGTGATCGTATTCAGACCTCACAGTGAGTGGCCTAGGAATCGGGTGTTGTCATCTCTGAGTTTCAGATGGGCACCCAGAGGGGATGGGCCCCATGGCCTGAGGGACACAGCGTGGAATGCGGATGGACACACGTTGGCTCGGGAGGCCTGGCGCTCTCCTCTGCACTCTTCCTTTGACCTCACTTTCTTTGATGTTTGATCCTAGCTAGATCCTGGCTTTTTCAGAAAGAACAGTGTCTGTGGACTTTTTACTTTGTGAAGCAAGGATGCACGAGTTGTAAAGCAAGGATGCAGCTCTCACGGTGGTGTCACTGGAGAGTGTCACCGAAGGCCCACTGACGAGCAAGGGCCACACACACAGCAGCCAGGGGAGGGCAGCTCTTTTCGAGGCTCTCCGGGGTGCCATTTTGGCAGTGATGTCATCAAGTGGACATTTATAGGCCATGCTGTGTTCCACACATGCAAATCAGAAACTCTCTTCCTTATGTAGACTCGTCACAGTGCTGCTATGTATATATACAGTGCTTAAGAGTGGTTGGACAGCTTGCGTCTCTCCATCTCCCCACCTGTAAAATGGGGATCGTGATAGCACCTCCTCTCAGGACTGGCCTGAGGTTTACAAGAATCATGTGCAAAGCCTGCAGGAAAGCAAGGGCTTCCTGTTAGCTGTTATTATTAGCACTGCTCTTCTCGTTATCGTTGCATTAGAAGTGGGCTATCATAAGAGATTTCACTCCAATGTTTAGTTGCTTCAAATCAGTAACTGCAAAAGGCAGCTAAGCAGAAGTGAGTCAAAATGCCCCGTGTCCAGCTTCAGAAGGATATTTTCCTTACAGCTGTTGCAGCTGAAGGTGAAAATGTGTACAGCCCTAGAAATATCACAGACATTGGCTCTACATCCAATGTGTCGGATGCCTCTACAGTGAAGGGCATCCGAACACTTGGCAGCCTCTTCTTTTCTCCTATGGAAAAGTGGTTATAGGAAAGAAGGGGGATGATGCTGTGCCGTGCTCACTTTACTGACGTGCATATAATATACATGCTTAACAAATGTTGGAGCTGATGATGGTGGTGGCAGTGATGACACTGGCTAGCTACTTATATGGCGGCAGCGAAGGCAGTTCCATGGTGCTGAAACCCTCCTAATGGAGGAGGAATAAGTGCCTTTGCATCCCACATGGTGGCGATAAGCAGGCTGGAGGAGGAGAGGGATGTGGGGACTTTGTCCATAATGACAGAGTTGAGGTCTGACATTCGTGCTGTCTGTGGGCTGATCTTCTCTGTCTTCACTCCGTGATGACCACACAGAGCTGCTACTAAGTTGGCCCCAACTAGTCAAGAGTTATTAAAATAATCTTTGTAATGAGTAACAATAAAAACATAGTTTCTCTGTGAATAGTTTTATGTACATTATAGCATTTAACCTCCAAGACAGTCTAGTGTGGTAGGTGTCGGTAACTCCATTTTATAAGACGCAGGGCCTAGAAGGCAAAGAAGGGTGGTGTTTTTCTGGAGTCACCTGCTCTGGGGCCGAGCCCTGTCTGCAGGGCTCTGATGGTCACCTTCTTGATGGGCACACATTGCCTCCTTTTATTGCAGAGGAGAGTGGGTCAGAGGCAGGAGGTCTAGGCTTCAGATCTCTTCTAACATGAAGGCTGACATTGGGCAAGTGATGTCTCTTTTCTGGGTTCCAGTCCCCTCATCTAAAAAAATTGGGTAGCAATTTTCCTGAGGTGCTTACAGGGATCAGCATCTGAATGCAGGTCATACCACTGGCGATCAACAGCACCAGAGGCCCAGCTACTTGCTGTGGTCCCGTAGTCCCTGCCCTCTGACCCCTTCCTGTCTGTGCCCGACGTTCTCTCTTCCTGAAGGACCTCCAGAGCTCTCCACTGAGCGGCCCTTCTTTCAAGAGGCCTGCATTGCCCACAATCAGATTGTGACTCCACCGAGCTGAGGTCTTTCACAGCTTGATCCTGCTTGTCTTCTCCTAAGGAATTGGCCCCCTCAGGGCGGGGACTGTCTTTCCTCTGAGTTTTTCAAGTGCCCAGAACAAAGTCTGTCTGACAACGAGAGCCCAGTAAGTGTTTGTTAAGTGCAGCGACATCAGCCAAGAACCCCATGTATCCTTCCCACCCTGCCATCTTCTGTGCATCTCCTTCCTTCCCCTACGGAGGGACCCTGGTGGACGGGAAGCAGATGTTGATGAAGTGGCCTCCCTTTTGGAGATGAGGAAGAGGGACGGGGAAAAGCTGGAAGGGGATGCACTTGCCCTGAAGCCCAAAGTAGTGGCTTTTCTGAGCATTTCTTCCTTAGGGTGACAGTGAAGCACGGCTGTGACCACTGGAGTTCTGATTGCTGGGTAGTTCGGGGGATGCTGTGTCCCAGGGCCCGCCCACTCCAGTGTCCCTGGGCTGGAGGGGTGTAGGAGGAGGAGGAGTCTTGTCAGGAAAGCAACCCTGACTGCCTCCTGTCCTCTGGACCTCTGTGAGGTCTGCTTACCTGCCCTGCACTACTCATTCCGTGCTGTCTGACCCACGATGCCTTTGGAATTTTGTCCGTGATCGGGAGCACTTCCTGTCTGTGACGGTAAAGACCTGCATTGGGCAGTGGCAGGAGGGATGAAAGGCGACATGGGGGTCCTTGGCTGGTTCTCCACGTCTCATTTTCTTCTCCTGGACAATGGACTTGCCTCACAGGATTGCTGGGAGGATTTAATGAGGTCACAGGTGTGAACATGCAAGGCAGACGTATATCAGGGATGCAATAGGTGATTAAATTTAACTCATTTACTAGGGAAAATTTTAAACGTATAGAAAGTAAACAGAAGAATGTGAGGAACCATCCACACATCCATTAACAGCTTCAGTAATCATCAACGTTGAGCCATTCCCATCTTTATCATCCCTACCCAGGTCACCATCCCATACTGAGTGACGGTGTTGAGAATGATGATGATAATGAGCTTCAGTTACTTTATTTCAAGGTAAAGCTACACACATTTAAACACACACATCTTAACTCTACAGTTTGGATGGATGGATACATTCTATTAACCCTTCTCCCTCGTAGAACATTTCTATCTCCCCAGAAAGTTCTCTTGTATCCCATCTAGGTTAATCCCCATACGCTAACTAGAGGTGTCCTCAGTTCTGATGTTTTTGCCTTTGCCTAGTTTAGAGTGTCACATAATAGGCACCTCAGCATAAGTGCTCTTCTGTCCTGCTTCTTTGCTCAGTATAATGTTCGTGAGATTATCCCAGTTGTTGTATCAGTAGTTCATTTCTTTTTATTGCTCAATTAGTAATCCATTGCATGGACACACTGTAATTTGTTTATTCTCCTATTGATAGACATTTGTTTTCAGTTTTTGACTATTATGAATAAAGCTGTTATGAACATTTTTCAAGTAATTTTGTTGACATGATTTTTCTTTCTTGGAAATATTGATAAATTGGAAATACTAGGAGTTATTAAGGGGTAGAATTGTTAGGTCATATACTAAGCGTGGGTTTAACTATAAGAAACTATCAAAACAGTTTTATAAAATCGTTGCTCCATTTTACATTCCCCCGGCAGTGTAAGAGCTCCGGTGCTGTGCGCCTTCACCATGGTACAGTGGGATCACATTCTAAAACTGTAGTCATTCTGGTGATTATCTTTTCATTGATTATAATTTATGGTTCCCTAATTCTAAGGACATTGAACACTTCTTCATGTGATTATTGGCCATTCATATATTTTCCTTTCTGAAGTGTCTGTTCAAGCCTTTTGTTCATTTTATGGGTTGTTTGTATTTTTATAGACTCGTAGGAGTTCTTGAATATTCTGGATCTAAATAATTTGTCAGATATACAGTGAAGTGAAGATGTATCTAGTGAAGATATATATATACATATGCACATATATTTATGTACATATAGTGACACTATGTTATGTATACACACATATAGTGAAGATATATATATATATGCATTGAATATATAGATATAATACGTTCTCCTAGTGTATATCTGTGGCTTGCCTCTTCACCACCACCGCTCCTCCTCCTCCTCCTCCTCCTCCTCCTCCTTCCCTTCTCCTCCTCCTCCTTCCTTTCTCCTCCTCCTCCTCCTCTTCCTCCTCCTCCTCCTCCTCCTTTTTTTTTTGAGACGGAGTCTCGCTCTGTCGCCCAGACTGGGGTGCAGTGGCGCAGTCTCGGCTCACTGCAAGCTCTGCCTCCCGCGTTCAAGCGATTCTCCTGCCTCAGCCTCCTACAGGCACATGCCACCACACCTGGCTAATTTTTTGTATTTTTAGTAGAGACAGGGTTTCACCGTGTTAGCCAGGATGGTCTTGAACTCCTGACTTGTGAGCTGCCCGCCTTAGCCTCCCAAAGTGCTAGGATTACGGCATGAGCCACTGTGCCCGGCTGCCTCTTCATTTGTTAAAAATTCAGATCTATTGAAATATAATTTACATGCACTGAAGTTCACTCTCGTTGGTGTACAATTCTGTGAGGTTTGACAAGGTTATCTGTGAAACCACACCAACAAAATAAAGATACAGAACAATTTCTTCACCTTAAAAAAATGTCCCCTCATACTGCCTTGTAGGCAACCCTGGCCCCTACTCCAAACTCTTGACAGCTGCTGCTCTGTTTTATGCCTTATAGTTTTGTTAGGTGCTTTTTCTGCGTCAGTTGAGATGATTGTGTGATTTTAATCATTGATTTTGTGAATGTGGCAGAGCGCACTGATTGACTCCAGTGCTAACTGGTCCTTGTTTTCCCGGGATCAACCCCGCTGGGCTATGGTGTTGTCTTTTCCCTACTGCTTGTCATACGCAGTGTGTGTGTTTCAAAATCTCTTAGCTACTTTTGTCTTAACAATTTGCTCAGAGCTTTTGTGCGTTTTATGAGCCAGAGCGTGGTATCTGCTTGTCCAGAGAGGCCCATTGAGAGAAAGGAGCCACTGCTTATAGAACCCCTGCATTATTGCATGTGTCATCAACTTAACCCCCAGAGACCCTGTGGGGCAGGCGTTACCGTCCCCATCTACACGGGCAGACTGAGGGTTCCAGAGGCAGGCACCGGGCCTCTGGCAGGACTGTGCAACTCCAGGGAAGGCCCCTTTGTCCAGCACGTCAGGGCCTCCCAAGACATTGTGCCTTCCTCCAGTATCACAGGGCTGCTTTCTAAGGGGGAGACTGCACGCTTGAGCCCGTGTTTCCTCACTCTTCCAGGGAAAGTGCCTGTTCTTTTCTGCCAGTCTCCTTGCCCACAGAAGAAGCCTGGTTGGGGCTTAAAGGACAAAGTAGATCTGGTGCCTTTTAGGGCCAGGGACTGAGCAGCATGACCGCTGGAGTGAGAGCGAGACTGTGAGTGTCGAGGGCTGGTCCACAGAGGTTCCTGGCCTCCAGCAGTCCCTTCTTGCAGCTCAGTCCATCAGGCACAACCACAAGCTGTAGGTAAGGCAGTGGGTTTCAATATAAGCCAGACATGAGTTTGAATCAGCTGTTATCACTTAGCCTTGGCTTCAGCTCAGGCAGGTTTCATGATCTGATCCTCCATTTCTTCATCTGGAAATTGGAGAAAAAATAATATTTACCTGTGAGGATTAGGTGAGATAATATGGGGCACCAAAGCTCAATATGCTAGAACGATCGCACGCACTAACGCTTGGTGGTCCTGCTCCCGTTGCTTCTGGCCGAGTGCTGCCAAGGCCTGGGCCCCCCGTCCCTCTGCTTCACAACAGAGCCTGAGCTGTAGGTAAGAGACGTGGAGGGCCTGGCACCCAGGGCTGTAGGTAAGAGACGTGGAGGGGCTGGCACCCACAGCTGCCTGGCAATGCTTGTTTGCCTGTCTCCAGCCCTCCTGGAAGTGTTTCCTGGGCCTGCTGATGGCTTTGATCATGTGTGGCTCTATGGAGAGTCTGTGTGTGTGGCTTTAGGGGACAGCCCTGCTGGTGTGAAATGCTGGTGAGCAGCCTGATCTTTCTGAGCCAGTTTTTGGCGTGTTTTGAGAACCTGCCACACTCTTCTGTCACTATGGTCAATTTCGAAACGAGGCCCTACTGTTCCTCCCCTCAAGGAGCTCCTTGTCTAATTATGGAGCAAGAACAGTCTGGTTTTTCTCATCATTTTTCCTCATGGAATTACTAATTAAGTGTCGATTATTGAAAGAAAAATCACATAGCTTTGAGCCATCATTATGTAGGTAGGTATGTATATATTATATATATGCGTATGTATTATGGATATATGCATGGATTTTTTTACATTAATTCCAGTGCTGACAAAGTTTATGGAGACTGACATATGAATATGTTTCTGTTGCCAATGTAAGTTGGTACAATGTCTTAAGAAGGCTGCATGTTAACACATATCATCTGTGCTGTGACATTTCTATATGTTGCCTCTACCTTAAAATAATTCAAAAGTAGAAAAAAAGGTATGCGTGAAGATGCCCTTCCAAGTGTATTTGTATTAGCAAATACGAGAACAACTTCAGTGCCCCTCGTGCTGGTGAATTTTGGTTGTCACCTTGACTGGATTGAGGAATACCTGGAGAACTGGTAACGCGTTGCCGCTGGGTGTGTCCCTGAGGGGACTGGCGTGTGAGTTGGGGGACTGTGTGGTGAAGATCCACCGTCAGTGTGGGTGGCACCATCCATTAGCCGGGGGCCTGGGTGGAACAGAAAGGCAGAGGAGAGGAGAATTGTCTTCCCCTCCTGGAGCTGGAACACTTTTCTCTTCCTGCACTTGGACATCAGAACTTTGGGCTCCCGGGCCTTTGGACTCTAGGACTGACAGCAGCAGCCTCGAGGGTTCTCGGCCTGTGGCTTTGGACCAAGGGCTACAGCACTGGCCTCACTGGCTTTGAGGCTTTCGGACCTGCAGCTCCTCTGGTTCTCCAGCTTGCAGGCGGCTTGGTGTGGTGAACCTAGGGATTGAGTTCTCCTAATACATCCCCTCTCATGTCTCATGTGCACACACACTGTGTCTGATTGGTCCTCTAGAGAACCCTGCCTGATACACCCATCAGCAGGAAACATTTCTGGTGGCTTATGGTTTATTTAAGTGATGCTGTATTGTGGGGTCATATGGGGTATATTAATGTGATTTGCAGGCCACAAAGTTGTCTAAGTTTATGCAGATTATACTCATTTATAAGTTGCGTGCAAGTAAACAGGGCCCAGAGGGACCGCCCTCAGTGAAGCAACACTGAGGCCTTTTCAGACCTCTGTGCTGAGCACTTACGTCTTGGTGCCTTACCCATGCCCACCAAATTCCACCCCCGCCGTTTAAGGTGGATCACATTCTTACTGTTTAGAGGAATAGACTGAGGCCTTAAGTTGCTGATTTGCCCAGGTGGGGTGGGCAGGGAAGGTTGACAGTGGGCTTTGAGCCAACCTTCAGATCGTGGGCCCTGAGGTTTCTGCGCCACTGCTACACTCAGTGGTGAGAGAATAGCAACATTCAATTGAATATGTTTTCTTCTTCAGCAGATACTGAATTCTGCTGTTATGCTTGCATTCTTTAATGGTTCCTTGAGCACAGCGGCTTCAGGAGGGGATCGGGACAGCTCCCTTTGATAAGCGTAACTGTGCTCTGAGCCCTGGGCATGGCCTGCTCATTTTGCTTGTGCTGGGAACTGGACTCAGGCACAGCCAGTTGGCTTGTGCATTTCAGAAAGTGAGTTTGTCGGCATCATTTAAAAATCTTTTCCTTCTTGTGTTTTTTTATCCCCTATATATTGTGGATGCAAGGGAAATTCAAAGGTGAATTACTCAATATAGTTACACAGATTAAATAATCAAACTTGCATTGACACAGAAAGGTTCATGCATAATTCAGGTAGTTAATACTCACTGATTTAATTTATTAGGCAAAGCTATATCGTTGTGCCAAATGAAGAGCTGTTCTGAATGCAGATTGAACAAGCGTCCAGAGTAGTGCTGTTTGTGGTAAACTAATTAGGCTTTGATTGTGGCCTGCAAAATACAAATGGATGAATTAAGCTATTTCGATTGAAGAATTTCATAAGGCAGGTGATCATCCATTCTTGTTTAACTAGCGGCCTGATTTCATGACAAGCGTGGCTGAGTTTGAATCATTCATTTGGAAGAGCAATATTAATGATGGGAATGTTTTTGAAAGTGAAACTTATTTAATTCATAATTGTTTAAAATTCCTGAGTGAAGGTCCCCTCCAAATGTAAGAGTTCATGTCACTTGTGCAGCCTGCCCAAGCGTCTTTGCCCTGATGCGAGGTGACTGTGACTTCTCTCAGTTCCCTGCAAGTCTAATTGGTCTTCTGGTTGCATTTGGCATCTGTGTCTTCAAGGCTGCTCATGGCCAGCAGAAAACAGAGCTGCTTCCCTTGCCTGGAAAGCCTTCTGTATTCTCTTCATCCCTTCAGAAGCTACCATTTCTTTCTTAAATGCCTCAATGTCACACCTCCATGAAGCCTTCCACTTCCCCAGGCAGCTCTGCTCTATTACTGGGTGGCACGCATAGCACTGGGGCCGTGAGGGTGAATCCGTCATAATCCTTGCTTGTAAGGAGCTCAGACACAGGAGACTGACAATTCCCACACGAGGTCTCCACCCACCCGCATACACATACTATAGGTAAGTGCAAAGTTCAGAAGCAATACGGGCAACAAAAAATGGACACATAAATCCGCTTGTTTTACTTGCCTAATGAGAAAACATGCCTGCTCAGACACTGCAGGTGTGGGGCTGGGTATGGGCCAGGTGCTTCCACTGGTGACATGATGCGTGCCTCAGTTCTTCTTTCCACAGTCCTGTAGAGCACTGAAGTTGGCAGCCAAGCTTCTCTGGACTTCTTTCCTTCCTTTGCAACATCTTTTTCTCACAAGTCTTGCCTTTTCTCTGCATGAGCTCTGATTGGTCTAGGTTAATAACACATATAGAGAAAGAAAATAAGACTCTTGTATTTGATACTCACCCCCTTTACTGTGTTTATATTGTCCCTTTATTTGCCCTGTGACCTTGATCAAGTCACTCTCTTCTCTGGATTTTCATCTGCAAAATGAAGAAATTGAGGAAGATGCCCCCAAGTTCGCTTTCAGTTCTTTTCTTTGCTTAGATGCAACCAGGGACCAAGCTCTGTCCTCACGTAAGTGGACATGGACAGTAGTTCTCATGGGATTGAGGGAAATCAGAACAGGTGGTCTATTGCCAAGAGCCCAATTTGATCATTTAAAAACTTAGAAGGTTGGTGGGGCGTGGTGGCTCAGGCCTGTAATCCCAGCACTTTGGGAGGCCGAGGCAGACAGATCACAAGGTCAGGAGATCGAGACCATCCTGGCTAACATGGTGAAACCCTGTCTCTAGTAAAAATACAAAAAATTAGCTGGGTTTGGTGGCACACGCCTGTAGTCCCAGCTACTTGGGAAGCTGAGGCGGGAGAATCACTTGAACCCGGGAGGCGGAGGTTGCAGTGAGCCAAGACTGCGCCATTGCACTCCAGCCTGGGAGACAGAGCGAGAATCTGTCTCAAAACAAAACAAAACAAACCTTAGAAGATTGAATTAGAAAGAAATGGGTCTTTCATAAGCCATGGCTTTTTCTCTGAATGACTGCTTACATTCTGTTGAACAGATATGTGACAAAAATGTTTCAAGCAGAGGAAATACGTTTACCCTATTCAAGACTCCTGTCACTTGTCCTTACAGATGTTTTCCCTAAGCTTACAGCTGGAACCTGGAGAGGGTGCCTGTCAGTAGATGGCTTGGCTTCACATGCAGGAGCCTTTCTTCCTCTGACAGCTCCCCTGCAAGTGCTGCAGGGAAAAGACTGCAGCTTCCCTTCATCAGGCATGCTTTGTGCCCCTTGGCACTGCTCCCTGAGATGAGGGTGCCCATCCTTTGGTGCCAGGTATCTTTGATCTCTGTCTCCTTTTCAGATTTCTTTTTAAACACAATAGTTTTCCATTATATATTGGACTTATATAGGCTTTGCACCGAGTAGGTGTTAAGTACCTCCCTGCTGGTTGAGAATTGCATGCTGCATGTAATTACTCACTGATTAATGTCTTTACATTGACGTATTTACAAATTGTAGTCTAGAGTAAACCTAATAAAAACTTCTGGTATTCATTTTCTCAGACAGACATTTCATTTTGCCTGTATTCTCAATCTCACAGGTCTTGCCCCAGCTCATATCAACTTAGTTCAGTTCAATTCACTGCACTTCAAGAGATATTCATTGTGTGGCCCGTGGGGGAGCGACATTAAACACAGCACAATCGCCATTCTTAAGGAGCTCACAGCCATCTGATGACCATCGGCATCTTCAGTGTCTCCCTTCACATAGGCTCAGGTCTCCCGGGGCTTACAAAGTGCTTCTGTGAACTCTCCACCCCACTTACTGCTCCCATGTCTCCCTCCTGTTCATCAGTGGTGGATTTCATCCACAAGAGTCACATGTCAGTCGGTTGTCACATCTTCAGACTCCACTTCTAATTCTAATTCTACTGCTATTTCTACCATATCTGCAGTTACTTCCTCTGCCAAAGTCTTGAGCCCCTGAAAGTCATCCATGAGGTCTGGATTCAACTTCTTCCACACACCTTTTCATGCTGCTATTTTGACCTCCTTTCAGGAATCATGAATGTTCTTACTGGCATCTAGCATGGTGAATCTTTTACAGAAGGTTTTCAATGTACTTTGCCCAGATCCATCGGAGGAATCACTATCTATGGCAGCTGTAGCCTTATGGAATGCATTTTTTAAAGAATACATGTACATGTAAAGATACATTGGCAAATGTCAATGTTTGCAAAATTCCCAGGACTCTTTGATCCATGGGCTGCAGATTGGATACTGTGATAGCAGGCTTGAAAACAACATTCACCTTCTTGTACATCTCCATCAGCTGTCTTACGTGACGTGGTGCATTGTCAATAAGCAATAATATTTGAAAGGAATCTTTTTTTCTAAGCAGTAGGTTTCAACAGATGGCTTAAAATATTCAGGAAACCATGCTATAAACAGATGCGCTGTCATCCAGGCTTTGTTATTCCACTTAAAAGCACAGGCTGAGTAGATTTAGCATCATTCTTAGGGGTCCTCGAATTTTCAGAATGGGAAATGAGTGTTGGCTTTAAATTCAAGTCACCAGCTGCATTAGCCCCTAACAAGACAGTCAGCCTGTTCTTTCAAGCTTTGAAGCCAGGCATTGACTTCTGCCCTCCAGCTATGAAAGTCCTAGATGGCATCTTCTTCTAGTAGAAGGCTGTTTTACCTACACTGCAAATCTGTTGTTTAGTGTAGCCATCTTCCTCAATGATCTTTGCTAGGTCTAATGGATGTCTTGCTCCAGCCTCTTCATCAGCACTTGCCACTTCACATTGCGCTTTTATGTTATGGAGATGACTTCTTTCCTTCAACCTCATGAACCAACCTCTGCTAGCTTCAGACTTTTCTTTTGCAGCTTCTTCATCTCTCTCATGTTTCATAGAATTAAAGAGAGTTAGGGCATTGCTCTGGATTAGATTTTGGCTTAAGGGATTATTGTGGCAAGGTAAATAACCGTGGTAAGGAGCATCAATACAAGTTGTATTAAGCATATGGATATAATGTCTTCCTTGGTTATAGGGGATGATATCTTACTGCCAAGATCACCAACCTTATCCTTTGGGCGAAGTCTGTGCTCATTAGGAAGGGGAGATGACAGTTGTGTGAATGTAACAGGATCATTTCTTCTCACTGTAGAGAAGAGGTACTGCACTTGTAGTTCCCATGGACAAACATTGTTTCAGGAGACTTGGATGGGTAGAGGCCTTTACAATCCTGCAGTGAATGGGGGGAGTCTTTTGTATACTAGCAGCACATCCAGGCCATAATACTGTATCCTTTTTCTTTAATCTGGTGTCCAAACCAGTCACAGAGAAATACCTCCTAGAGATCCTATTGCCAGGAATTAGTAATGTTGCTGAGATAACACTGGCTAATGTTTGTGCAATTCCCAGGACAAGAATCTGAAGTTTTCTTTTCTTCACAGCTTCCTGCCGCTGCACTTAGCCCTCCAGCATTTAAGCCTCTGGAATATGCATGTCAATTTCTCTTTGCTTTGTTACCTCTCTAATTCTGGGAGGACCCTGTGCGCCTGCAGGGGAAATTCACAAGTATAATATCTTTCCTGCCTTCCAGGAGCTCTGGGTCTGGCATGCAACGTGTGCTATCAGGTAGAGATAAAGACTGCCATCCTAGCTTTTGGTTTCCTAAGAGCCTTTATATTTCATCCGTTTTAAAATGCCTCCTTGTCGCTCCTGTGCTTTTCTGTTTCCGCTTCCTTTTTACCCTTAGAGTGGCAACCTCCAGCTCATGTTGCACAGGACTCTAGGTATACATCGATGAATGTCACGTTGTAAAACCAGAAAAGGTAAAAGAAAGCTGACCATTTCACATAACCCATTATTGTATGAACACAATGCTATTTTTCATATTTTCCAGGAAAGGGTCATGTGGGTTAGTGTATAATTGGCATAGAAATTTGTTATTCCTGCCAAGTGTAACAGTCGAGTTGGGAAAATTAATTATGTGACTATGTCATTGTAGACAGGTATGCTGTTCTGATGCACTGAGTCACAAAACCACACTAGATAAATGGCTACACAGAGAAAAAGGAATTCATCCTTCACTTCATGGAGGAACTGCCATTTTAGGAGGGCCTGCAGCAGAGAGTCGAATTTTTGCTGGCAGGAAAGAGGAGACACAGTGTCAACAGAGAGGCAGAGCAGGGGCCAGCATGTTTCGGGAGGCAGGGCCACCCGTGTGCCTTGCATTTAGGGGTGTGATAGGAAGCGGGCAAATTGTGAACCCGAAAGGGTGACAAGAGAGCAGGCAACATGGGCCACTGAGGAGACACTCGGAGAAATTTGATGCATACCCCGCCCGCAAGTCCCGCTCTTAAGGAAACACAGAGCAATTCCTCAAAAGCAGAAATATTTCTAGTTAGTATTAGTTCAGCATCCTGCCGAAATAATTCTTTTATGGAAAAAAGTATGCACTAAATCTTATAGTGTGACTAGTACTCAGGTACTGTTTTTACTGATTATCAAAATCTAAGTTTTCTTTATTGCCGTTCACTGTTCTGTTCCCCGATCCATTCAACAAACATTTCTCCTGGGCCTCTTATGGTATAGGCTTGGATAAGGCACAGTCTGATGTGTTTAGAGCCCTGGAATGCCACATGCTAACAGGGACATACACTAAATCAACTAGGAGCTCTAAGAACAAGATGGCCGTAGGATTATTTCTCAAAGTGAGTACCGTGTTACCTGGCTCGTGAAAGGTACGTGAGAATTGACTGCGTGGTGACGTGAGGTGAGAGCACAGGAAGCGGAAGGCCACGTGGGCCAAAGAGGAGTAACTGAAAACCAAAATGTGTTGGTGATATGCTTAGGCTTTGTGCTCCCACCCGAATCTCACTGTAAATTATAATCTCCATAAGCCCCATGTATCAAGGGAGAGACCAGGTGGAGGTCATTGAATCACAGTGGCCGCTTCCCCCACACCGTTCTCATGATAGTGGGTGGGTTCTCATAGGATCTGATGGGTTTGTAAGTGTTCAGGTGTTCAGTAGTTCCTCCTGCATTCACTTCTCCTTCCTGCCGCCTTCTGAAGAAGGTCCCTTGCTTCCCCTTTACCTTCTGCCACGATTGTAAGTTTCCTGAGGCTTCCCCAGGCATGCTAAACTCTCAATTAAACCTCTTTCCTTTATAAATTACCCAGTCTTGGAAAGTTCTTTCTAGCAGTGTGAGAACAGACTCATACAGTTGGCTACTGAGAAGTAGTGTGTGATAGTCGGGGTGCTGGGTGGCTCTGGGGCCAAATTGGGGATGGAATGAAGACCCTCCATTCCTTCCTCAGAAGCTTTCTGAGTGCCACCATGTGCCAGGTGCCACTGTGCGTGCCGGTAATGACGCAGTGAATAAGGTTAGGTTTGTGCTCCCCATAGGAGCTCATCTTCTAGTAGGAGAGCAGACAAGCAAGTGGACAGGAAAGCAGGAATGTGGCTGGTGGCAGGTGCTGTGAAGGCTGGAAACAGGAAAGTGATAGTGCTGAGCAGGGCTTACAGGAAGTGAGGAGGGTCTCTGAGGGCGCTGTCAAAGGTGAGCCTTGAGGAGTAAGAGGGACCCAGAGGCCAGTGGAAGAGGCAGGGAGAAGCAGCAGCTGGAGTAAAGGCCCTGGGGCTGCGGAGGACACAGCCAGGACATAAGGAATGGGCGAGAGAAATAGAAGGTGAAGCTGGAAAAGCAGGCAGGAGCCAGGTTACACACGTCCTACCGAAATGTCATGCTCAGTAGCGTGGGTTTATTCCGTGTCTGAGATCATGCTGAGGTCTGATCATGCCCAGTAGGATGGAATACCGAGCATCAGAGATCTCGGAGGAGGGGAATGACAGGCACAGCCCCTTGCAGAGAGCCCGCTGTGTACAGGGAAGGTGGAGGCCCATCCTGGTTTCAGGCAGGTCCATCCCAGGCCCCATCCTGTCCTGCCCTGCAGACCTGTGCTCCACTCAGGCTCCCAGGTGGTCAGGCGGGTCCTGGAAGGTGTTGCCTTTTTCCTCAGGTCAGAAGGGTGAACTGCAGGGAGGCCCCTGGCTGTGCGTGTATTGTGTTTGAGTGTGCGCACACCTGCGAGGGAATGGGGTGTGACTGGGCTGTTAGCTTTGCTTGATTTGCAGTTGTAAATGTGGAGATGCGTGGGAGGTGGCCCTGTTTGTATTCTCACCCTGCTCCCTGTAATGTTGGAGTGGGCCTGGTCTCCAAGCCCATGGTGGGAGGACTGGCCTGGAGAAGGTGTTCCGCCAGCACATATTGACTTCAATGCTCTGTTAATGACAGGATCAGAGGTCTCCAAAGCCCTTCCCAACGTGGGCCCTGACTGCTGCTCCATTCTCAGCCTCTCCCCCTTCCGTCCAGGCTTCTGGCCTGTTCAGTTTTATATTTTTGTTGCTTTGTGATTAGAGCAAGTGCCCAGTGCTTCCACTTCATTCGCCTGTCTACACCTCCTTTTCCTTCAGAGCCCAGCTCAGACAGCCTGTCTTTTGGGGTAGCCTCCTAGACTGCTGGGGCTGGACAGGGCGCCTCTCCTTTGTTCAAGGCTCTGTGGCACGCTGCCAAGCCTGTCAGAGCGGACATGGCTCTGTACTCACTGTGCCGTGGCCTGTGCTTGCTTCTCTGCTTCCTGCTTGACTGCGGGCTCCTTGAGGACAGAGAACCGGACTTGTGTATCCATCCCCAGCTCCGAGACAGCATCTGGCACATATTAGGTATTCACGAAATGCTCTTGATTAGAAGAATCAAAATTAAAATATGGCCTCAAGAGCTGCAAGAGAGGACACAACAGGCTGCCGGGCAGCCTTGGGAATGGCAGTCTTCCCGTGAACACCTTGCCTCTTTCATGGTGCTAAGAGAATATTTATAAATTAAGGGCTTCCACCAACTCCAGTGTGAAACCAAATGTTGGCCTTAACTGTTTCTGAAATCTTCCAATGGCTCCCCAGTGCCTACAGATCTGTTTCTCAATTCTGGCTTCTCATTAGATTTGAATGATCTGACGATATTAAAAAGAATGTGCAGGCCCCATGTCAGACTGCCTGAATCATCATCGGAGGTGGGGATAGTTTACAGTCTCTCCAGACTGTGACAGTGTGACTGGGAAATGCTGACCTGTAATGTTAGATCCCTCATTCTTAAAGCCTTGTTTTCACAAATTGGCTGAATATTGGAATCATTTGGAGAGCCTAAGAATTCAGCCCATCTGGACATGGCCTTCGCCCTAAGATCTCTAAGAGCACACTGGGTCTGCCATGATGGGGCAACTGGTGCCAGGCCTGCCCTCCTGCTGCAAACCACTAAAAATTATGGGGGGATGAATTAAATAAGGGTCGTCAGATAATAGACAAAAATCCTTCCCCCTAATCCTTCCTCCCCCCAGAAATAAACCAAAACCCACCCAGCACAGCACTGTGGTCTCTGAGGGCAGAGAAGCCAATTCGGTAGTGCCCGTGGGCAGGGATGGGTAGGGATGGGTAGGAACAGGTAGGGATGGGTAGGGTTGGGTAGGGATGGGTAGGGCTGGGTTGGGACGGATAAGGATGGGTAGGGATGGGGAATGGCAAAGAATGGCAGCTTTGCTCAGTGGCGGGGGTGGAGGGCAGAGTGCAGGAGGCCAAGGGGCTGAAATTTGGGGCAGAACATTAGAGAAAAAGGAACTCAGCAAAGAGAGAGCTCCAGAGTCTTCTGGGGGTCACCACAAGGCCATTGCTGAATCCTAAGCTGAACACATGGAGAGTGAAACTCCTGCAGGCAGGCAGAGAACTCCAGGCAGGTGTGCACTGAAGAATCCCAGAGCCTCACAGCCAGGGGAGGGACCTCGTGGGACACCCGAGGCCTTCTGGATGAGAGACCACAGAAAAGCCCCCTACTTAGCAGTGGGGCCGGCCTGGCCCCAGGGTGAAGGCTACTCTGGATGTGCCTTAAGAGGACTGGAAAACAGGCATCAGAAAGAACGAGCTGCTCCACAGGTAACGCAACTGCCAATCAAAAGGAGACCTGACACTCTTTAAAGGATGACAGCGACATTCAGACATTTGTCAACTGAAAACTCACAGTGCCCTACAAAACTAGCAGGAAGATAGGAACCATAACTGGGAGGAAAGCCTGTCACTGGAAGCAGACTCAGAAATGATAAGGATGATGGTGTTAGCGTACACAGACTTTGAGTTGATTGTTAGAATTATGCTTAAGAATTTAAAGGAAATCATAAATATAATGAGGAAAGGAGTGGAAGGAAAAGGACAACATCAAACATTTAGAGCTGAAAATGCAGCTCTTTTATCAAGAATACGTGAATAAATTTTGTTACTCAATAACATGAAAACAACACAATTAGAAGTGTGCAAAAATGTGAACAAACACTTCATAAAGGAAAGTAAATAGATGGCCAATGAGCATGGGAGAAGATGCTCAATGTCACAGATTTTCAGGGAAATTCAAGTCAAAACCACGATTAGACACTCCTACACACACATTGCCCAGAAGACCAGTGGCGTATGATAGGTGGAACGCACCTGTACTGCTGGTGACAGTGTACAATGGTGTGGCTACTTTGTTGAACTATTCATCAGTTTCTTTTAAAGTTAAACATATAGCTCCTGTACAATGAAGCAAACTCACTTCTAGGTACTTACCCAAGGGAAATGAAAATGCATGCCTGTACAAGACTTGTACTTTGATGTTCATTGCAACGTTATTCAGAATAGCTCCAAACTGGAAATAACCCCTGCAGCCAACTATATATAAATCAATAGTTGTAGTATTGTGGAATGCTACTGACAACAAGGAACAAGCTGCTGCTCCACTTAAGAACGTGGATGAATTTCAACAAAGCATGCTGGGTGAAAGATGCCAGACACAGAAAGTACACACTGTTATGATTCCATTTATATGAATTCTAGATAGATAGATCTAGAGAGAAAGCAGATCTCTGTTGTCCTGGAGGGGTGAGAGGGCTTTGGATTGGTTGTAAAGGGGCAGGAGGAAGGTTTAGGGGGTGATGGAGTGGCTTTATCTTTTCTCTGTGTGGATTATACAAGTATACATTTGTCATAATATGTTGAACTTGACAGTTAAATATGTATGTTTTATTGTATGGAAATCATACTTCATTACGATGGATTTAAAAACAGCAGCAGCAACAACGCAGAACCAGCCTCCCAGGAGTTTCTAGTATGCAGCGGAGTCTGAGAACCCACTGCCGCAAAGGCCCTCCTGACTCTCCCGACTCTCCTGACTCGGCTCCCAGCTCTTTCTCCATCATGGCTGTTTACACTCTGGCCAGAGCCCATGTGGAGTTGCATGCGGCTCCCTGCACAAGGCATCCTTTGTTTGTTTTCTTTTCAGATCTGTCCATTTGCCTAAATGTCTGTCTTCCACATTCTCTTTCGTCCCCACAGGCCTTCTTGGCAACCCTGGTTCTCCCGGCTGTTCTTAGTTCCTCCTTCCACTGTCTGTCTTGCAGGTTTCCGTCAGGATGCTCCCTGCCCAGCTTGTCTTTGTCTGTGAGGTTCCTTGTCCTGTATTGCGAGAACTTTGTAGGCCCAGGCCCTGCATTTCCATCTCTGTTTTCCGGGTGCACAGCTAGCCCAGGCCCAGAGGTCTCTAGCGAGCAAAAGAGGCTGAAGGGATGAATAGTGAATGAATGAATGAATAGTTGAGGACAGTTCATAGAGTCATGGGGCTGGAAGAGGTGAGGGCTGTGTTCTCATGCAGAGAAAGACCAATCAATGGAGGAAATTTCGCCAGTGGGTTTAAATGATCACTGAACCCCGTGGACATTTACAGGGAGGGCATTTTGGAACTAGTTGTCAAAGTGACACCGTAGTGTCTATAACCTCCTCCCCCACCCACCCCTAAGCACATCATATATTAAAGATTCTGAGAAGTGACTGGAGAAAAGGAAATTAATGTTCCACCATTGCTGACTGATTTCAATCTCAGCTCATTTCAAGGGCTGACCCAGGAATTTTCTAAAACCAAACAGGACAGTGTCCCAGAAGTCCAGAGTAGACGTGCCCCATGAGCTGTCACATTCGCGAGCACTTCTGTATGCAATGCGCTTAGAAAAACAAAAGCTCAGCTGGAATGCCAGCCGTTGCTGGGTGGATGCTGCCCCCAGCGTGGTGCAGGTGGTCGGAGACTGGCAGGACCACCTCCACTAGAGCTCTGGTGTGCTGAGCTCATCCTGGATCAGACGCTGGGCCACCTACTGCATGTATGAGTTTGCTCTCATTTTTTTTCCATTGTGGGAAGAACATGTAACCTTGAGATGGTTTTTAACAAATTTTTTTGAGTGCAATACAATATTGCTAACCACAGGCACAATGTCTTATGGCAGATCTCTAAACTTACTCACCTTGTATAACTGAAAACTTGATACCTATGGAACACAACTGTCCGTTTCCCCTCTCCCAGTCCCCAGAAACCACCATGTGACTTCCTGCATCTATGAGTTTGACCACATCCCTTAACTAAGCAGAATCGTGCAGTGTTTGTCCTTCTGTGACTGCTTTATTTCCTTTAGCATAATGTCCTCAAGCCTCATCCATGTTGTAGCATGTGGCAGGGTTTCTTCTTTTGAAAGATTGAATAACATTTCATTGTATTTATCGACCACATTTTGCTTATCCATTCATCTGTCCGTGAACACTGAGGTTGTTTCTACCTCTTGGATATTGTGAATAATACTGCAGTAAATGTGGAAGTGTACATATCTCTCTGAGATCCTGATTTCAATTCTTTTGGATAAATACCCATAAACAGAATTGCTGGATCATTTAGTAGTTCTATTTCTGATTTTTTGAGGAAACTTCATACTGTTTTCCATAGCAGCTGTACCTTTTTCCATTCCCACCATCAGTGTCCAAGGACTCCAATTTCTCCACATCCTCACTAATACTTGTCATTTTGATTTTGATAATAGTCATCCTAACAGGTGTGAGGTAATGTATCGTCATGTTTTTGATTTGCATTTCCCTAATTACTTACGAGGCTGAGCATCTTTTCATATGTTTGTTGACATTTCTATGTCTTCTTTGGAGAAATGTTTCTATTTAAATCTTTTGCCCATTTTTAATTGTGTTATTTATTAATCATTTATTATTTATTATTTAGTTAACTACAGTAGTTAGTTGTAGGAGTTCTTTATACGTTTTGGATATTAATCCCTTATCAGATAAATGGTTTGCAAATATTTTCTCCCATTTTGTAGGTTGCCTTTTCACTCTGTTGGTTGTTTCATTTTCTGTATAGAAGCGTTTTAGTTTGGTATAGTTCATTTTGTCTGGTTTTGCTTTTGTTGCCTGTGTTTTTGGTGTCATATCCAAGAAATCATTGCAGAGACCAAGTCATGAAGCATTTCCCTTATGTTTTCTTCTTGGAGTTTTAACATTTTAGATATTAAATTTAAATCTTTAATTCATTTTGAGTTTCTTTTTGTGTATGGTATAAGATAAAGATTCAATTTTATTCTTCTGCTTGTGGGTGTTCAGCTTTCCCTGCACCATTTGTTAAAGTGATTATCTGTCCCCCATTGTGTATTCTTGGCGCCTTTACTGAAGATCAGTTGACTTTATATGCATAAGTTTATTTCTGAGCCCTTTATTCCATTGATCTCATATGTCTGTCAGTCAGTACCATGCTAGGTTTTTGTTGTTACTTGTTTTTTGTTTTTTTTTTAGAGACAGGATCTTACTCTGTTGCCTAGGCTAGACTGCAGTGGTGGAATCATAGCTCACTGCATCCTCAAACTCCTGAACTTAAGCCATTCTTCCTCCTCAGCCTCCTGAGTAGCTAGGACTACAGGTGCACACCACTACACCTGGCAATTTTTTTTTTCTTTCTGTAGAGATGGGGCCTCTCTGTGTTGCCCATGCTGGTCTCAAACTCCTGGGCTCAAGTGATCCTTCTGCCTCAGACTCCCAAAGTGCTGGGATTCCAGGCATGAGTCACTGTGCCTGGCTACCATGCTGTTTTAATTACTATAGCTTTGCAATACATTTTTTAATCAGAAAGTGGATGCCTCCAGCTTTATTTTGGTTTTTCAAGATGGTTTTGGCTGTTCTGGGTTCATAATGGTTCCATATGAATTTTAAGGTTTTTCTGTAATTTTGTTAAAAAAAAGCCTTTGTTTAGATGGAGATTACATCTGTGGATTGCTTTGAGTAGTATAGCTATTTTAACAATATTAATTTTTTCAATCTATGAATACGAGATGTCCTTGTATTCATTTGTATCTTTAATTTTGTTCATCGATATTTTGTAGTTTTCAATGTACAAGTCTTTCACCTCCTTGGTTAAGTTTATTCCTTAGTATTTTTGATGTTATTATGTTATTATAAGTGAATTTGTTTCCTTAATTTCTTTTTCTGATAGTTCATTGTTAGTGTTTAGAAGTGTAACTAATGTTTGTATGTTGCATCCTGTAACTTTGCTGATATTTGTTTAGCAGTTCTGATAGCTTGTAGAGTAATGTTTTCTGGATATAAGATCATGTCATCTGCAGAAATAATTTTACATCTCTTCTGATTTGGATGCCTTTTATTTGTTTGCTTTTCCTCCTAATTGTTCTGGTTGGGACTTCCACTACTGTGTTGAATAGAAGTGGCAAGAGTGGTCATCCTTGCTTCATTCCTGATATTAGAGGAAAAGCCTTCAGTTTTTTTTACCATGGAGTGTGATATTAGCTGTGGGCTTTTCAGATATGGTTTGTATTTTATCGAGGTAATTTCTTCCCATTCCTGGCTCGTTGAGAGTTTTTGTTATGAAAGGGTGTTGAATTTTCTCATAGGCTTTTGCTGCATCAGTGCAGGTGATCCTGTGATTTTGCCCTTTATTTTGTTAATGTGGTAGAGCCACATTGATTGATTTCCTGTGCTGACCCTTCCTTGCATCCAGAGATAAATCTCACTTAGTTAATGTGTTGTTGAATTTGATTTTCTATATTTTATTGGTGATTTTTGCGTCCATGTTAATCAGGGTTATTAGCCTGTAGTTTTTAATAAGGTTCTTGTCTAGCTTTGGGATTAGGATAATGCTGGCCTCCTAAAATTTGTTTGGAAGTGTTCCCTCCTCTTCAGCTTTTTGGAAGAGTTGAGAAGGATTGGAATTAATTCTTTAAATGTTTGACAGAATTCACCAGTGAAGCCATCTGGTCCTGGAATTTCCTTTGCTGGGAAATTTTTGATTACTAATTCCGTCATCTTACTAGTTGTGATTCTGTTGAGGTTTTCTATTTCTTTGTGATTCAGTCTTGGTAGGTTTTGTGTTTTTTTTTTACGATGTAGCCATTTCTCATAGGTTATTCAATTTGTTGTTGTGTAATGGTTCATAGTCATCTTCTAATGATTTTTCAGATTTCTGTGGCATTGATTGTAATGTCTCCTCTTTCATTTCTGATATTATTTATTTGAGTCATCTTTTCTTCTTCGTTTTTTAGTCCCACTAAAGGCTTGTCAATTTTAGCTTTTCTAAAAATTTAGTTGTTTTTTAAAATCATTTTTGTATTCTCTATTTCATTTATTTTTGCTCTAATCTATTATTGTCTTCCTTGTGCTGATGTTGGGCATAGTTTGTTTTTTTCTCATTCCTCAAGGTGTAGAGATAGGTTGTGGATTTGAAGTTTTCTTTTTTATTACAGGTGTTTATTGCCACAGACTTCTCTCTTAGTACTGCTTTCCTGCATCCCATAGGTTTTGGTATGTTGTTTTTTTGTTTTTGTTTGTCTGAAGATATTTTTGAAATTTCCTTTTTGATTTCGTTTGAAACAAAATTTTAGATTCAGGAGATACATGTGCAGGTTTGTCACATGGATGTATTGCATGATGTTGGGGTTTGGGCTTCTGTGGAACCCATAACCCAAATGGTCAACATAGTACCCAACAGGTAGATTTTCAGACCTTCCCTTGACCTCCCCACTTTTGGAGTCCTCAGTGTCTCTTGTTTCCATCTTTATGTCTGTGTGTAGCCATTATTTAGCTTCCACTTTTAAGTGAAAACATAGAGTATTTGATTTTCTGTTTCTGTGTTAATTCACTTAGCATAGTGGCCTCCAGCTACATCCATGTTGTAGCAAAGGGCATGATTTTGTTCTTTGCTATGGCTGCATAGTATTCCATGGTGTATATGGACCACACTTTCTTTATGCAGTCCACTGTTGATGGGCATCTAGGTTGATTTCGTAACTTTGCTAATGTGAATAGTGCTGCAATAAGCATATGAGTACAAGTGTCTTTGATAGACAAAATAAACATGAAGGCAAACACTGCCATAAGACAAAGAAGGCCATTGTATAATGATAAAATGGTTGATTCAACAGGAAGATGTAACGGTTATCAGTATGTACGCACCCAACATCACAGCACCTAAATGTAAAGCAAACACTGACTAAAGGGAGAAAAAGACAGCAACACAGTAACAGGAGAAGACTTCAATACCCCACTTTCAAGAATGGATAACATCCAGACAGAAAATGAGGAAGGAAATCAGTTGACTTGAACAACACTATAGACCAAATGTTCCTAACAGATCTACACAGAACATCCCACCCAACAGTGGCAGATTATACATTTTTCTCAAGTGCAGACAGAACATTTTCCAGGAGAGATCACACATTGGGTCACAAAGTAAGTCTTACCAAATTTAAAAAGACTGAAATTGTACCAAGTATCTTCTCCAACCCAGTAGAATAAAGCTAAAAATCAGTTGTACAAGGAAAACTGGAAAATTCACAAATGTGTGCCAATTAGGCAGCACACTCCTGGACAACAATTGGGTCAGCCTCATCCTGGTGCTGGTAGCTTTGGTCACAGTGGTCAGGTGGTGTCTGCCAGGCTGCTCCACTAAAAAGTTTTCCTCTGTGTTTAATGAATGTCTGTGGGAGGAGCTTTGAGACTAAGTAAATGTTCTGTCTCATCGTCCTTTCTCTCACGAATCCTGTGATGATTCTTACCTTCAATGATTATGTGTTTGCCAAATGGTGACTTTTCTATTTCCATAATTCCTCCTACATTCATTTGTGGGAATTCTGTAGGAAAGAGATGTCTCTTTTTCCTCCCCTTTACTTAGTAGTGTCAGTTGGGGGTCATGGGTATTTGTTTTATTTAATGGATTTGAATCCACTCCTATCATTTTTTATTTATTTTGAGACAGGGTCTCACTTTGTCACTCAGGCTGGAGTGCAGTGGTTCAACCACGGCTCACTGCAGTCTTGACCTCCAGAGCTCAAGAGATTCTCCTATCCCAGCCTCTCCGGTAGCTGGGACCACAGGTGTATGCCACCATGCCTGACTAAATTTTTTTTTTTTTTTGAGACGGAGTCTTGCTGTGTCACTCAGGCTGGAGTGCAGTGGTGCGATCTTTGCTCACTGCAACCTCTGCTTCCCGGGTTCAAGCAATTCTCCTGCCTCAGCCTCCTGAGTAGCTGGGATTACAGATGTGTGCCACCACACCCGGCTAATTTTTATATTTCTACTAGAGACAGGGTTTCACCATGTTGGCCAGGCTGGTCTCAAACTCCTGACCTCAAGTGATCTGCCCACCTTGGCCTCCCAAAGTGCTGGGATTACAGGCATGAGCCACCACACCCAGCCCTGACTAAGTTTTTAAATAATTTTTTGTAGAGATGGGTTCTTGCCATATTGCCCAGGCTGGTCTCAAATTCTTGGACTCATGTGATCCTCCCACCTCAGCCTCTCAAAGTGCTGGGATTATAGGCATGAGCCCTCATGCCCGGCCATTACTATCATTATTTATTTTGTGGCTGAAATTATTCCAGACTTACTTTTAAAGAGAAGGTTTCCTTGCATTTACATCCAATTAAGAGAAAGGACTGCAGTTTCTGTGTTGTTGTTGTTGTTGTTGTTGTTGTTGTTGTTGTTTTGGAGAATACCGTGTGATGAGATACCTCTGGATGTTCTTTATTTGCTGTGGTAATTTTGAATTAGCATTATAAACCCTGGAATGCAGAAGGCCGCACCCCTCTTTGCCATGCCTTGTGCTTTGCCTGCTCTGCCTTCCTCCTCTGGTGGTCACCTGGCCGGCCCCTGATGCTCCATCTTTCTTAACTACTGGTGCTGGAGAGAAGCTGCAAGTGGGGGAGAACGTTTTCTTCTCTGCAGTCTTCCTCTTCCCTTTCATGGGTCTATTACCCTGCATACAATGGAAAGAAATACAGTGGATGCATTTGGATTGGAAACACAGTTAAACTCCTGCTGTGATCTTACAGGAGAGTGAAAACTACTGAATCACTACTAATGAGTCTAGATGTCTGCTCTTCTCATTAGTCCTCTCCACATATTCTTACCCACAGGGATCCAGGACTACAAATACTCCCTTTGTCCTACGTGGGGGAGCAGCCGTCCTTACGATGCATCCTTAAATAATTATCAATGTCCTTTATAGACCATTTACTATAAATCTCTAGAGAACAAATTTTTCCATTTCCTAAGAATGTGCTTTGTATTTGCTATTTGCTTTATGTTCTCAAAGGCAAAAAAAAAAAAAAAAAAAAAAAGAATGAACAATGTTTTCCTGTGTGGGTGCCATGGGGTGGGAGGAGGAAGCCTGTTTCTTGCAGGTGTATGCAGCACCCTTGCCTCCTCATCTTCTGTGTCAGGAAAGGGAGAGGGACCCCTCAGATGCTTGCTGCAAGCAATTGAGAAACCTGTGGCGATTAAGGCTTCTGAATCCAGGGTTGAGGGTTCAGATACACCCATGTGAAAAATGACCGACCAACGGTGCAGGGCTTACAGGAACCCCCGGGGTTCAGATCCCAGTGTGGAGCTGCTCTGTCCATCCTGGCAGGTCCCACAGTGCTCACTGAGGTCATGGTGCTCATGGAGGAGGTCTCATTGGCCCTGTGGCCCTGATTTTAAAGGCTCCACCGCCCCTTCAGGTCTTCTAATGGGCATGAGGGAGGGAGGAGTGTGCAGGAATGAAGGCACTTCTCTCTTGCTAACATCTGGTGGTCTCTGATGACTCATTCCTTTAAGGATGCTATCTGTAGTGGGAGCTCATCATACTTGTTAATTCCTTGTACGGAATGGCCACAAACCCTCTCTGTACGAGATTGTGTCTTAATGGCAGTTGAAGGTCTAAAATAGCCATCAAGGACTGTTTCGGTGACTTCCGTTCCTTCAGCGTGGAAGACAATGTCCAGAAGAACCTGAGAGTGCCAAGATGCCCAGCTGAGAAAGAAGGCCACGTGCAGGTGCCCTTCCCCCTGTGCAGGGCTGTGTGGCCCCCCAGTGTGTGTGCCCTGGAAGCTGGATGCCATTGTTTCCCTCCTGGGGTTGTCGGTGGGTTGTTCCCATCTGGTGTTTCCAGGTGGGACCCCAGGCTGGTGACTCATTACTTCCCCCCTTCTTCCCTCCCCAGCCCCCATCTCTCCATCTCCCATCTCTCTTCCTCCATAGACATTTCATGAGCATTTCCTGTGCCCCGGGTGGAGGTGCTGGGGATGAGGAAGGGTGTCCTGAGTCCCGTGTGCCTCCGTCAGGGGACCATGAGACCCAGAGAGTCATGGAGGCTGGTGCATGCAGTGTCAGAGGGAATTCTGTTTATGGGGTGGGGGCACTGAGGGAGGACCTGGGGTGGGAGTTGGGGTTGGGCATCTCACCTGGTAGAGGCACAACATGATACTTCTCTGAGCTTCAGTCCCCTGATTTGCAAAGTGGGAAATTGTTGTGAGAACCGCATGAGATGGTGTGTGCACATCGCTCAGCATGTAGGTTTTCCACAGACGTTAATTCTGCATTCTCCAGTTGGAGAGTAGCTAATGCGCATATTTCATGCCAGACTCCCCACAGCTGAAGTGTTAAAGGGAAGTTCAAATGAATCCTCTGCCAAGGACTTCTTCATTGGCTTTGATGACTCATGAAGCACTGGAGGCTTTACGCCTGAGCTGCCCAGTGTGAAAACCAAAGGCCTCCATTGCCGAATCCTCTCGCTAGCTCATGGCTGACCTCAGATCTGGTGGCCCCACTATCAACATGGGTCCCCAGGTGTCCCTTGTACACTCAGTGGCTTAGCCCTGTTGCCCCCACGCTGTACTCATGCCCCTGGTGTTACACACCCCAGTGGCCTGCCTGACAGTCACCGCTCACACCTGCATGTGTCATTTGGCGTGTAGGCAACAGTTACACACTATCTGCTCAATGGCCATCCAGTTTGGGGACTGAGTTGTGGTGGAATTGAAGGAGCCTTTCCCACTTGATCTTGGACAAGTTTTCTGATCCCTACAATGAGGAATAAAGCTCGCACCTCACAGAATGATCTTGAGGACTCGGCGGGAGACCTTCCACAAAACCTCACACAGTGCCTGCCCTGTGGGATACAGACGCTCAGGAAGGCTGCTCAGAGATCCGCTTTCATTTCCAGCCTCAAGGAAATCCCAGGGTTTGGTGTTTGGACAGGGGGTCCCTGTGACCTTCCCCTTTCAGCTGTATATGAGTTTCAAAGACCGACGAGCAAATGGGAGGGATACATAACCTTCTATTCACTTCCCTGGTTGCCAGGGAAATAATTTGGTGGTCTCGGGGGGGGGAGCCCTGTAGGATTTATCTTCATGCTTGATGAGAGGTGGGCAGAACACATCACCGAGGGCCGGCTCTTCCCGCAGTGTCCACAGTGTGCCTTCCGCAGGTCCCTAGTGAAGGAACAGGAGCCCGGGTACAATAGCAGGAACCTTGGAGCTCTCCCCTTCCTCTGGCAAAGAGTAAGCCTGGGTTGCAGCTTATTGATTTTCCACTTCGGCCCGGAAGGGAGCATTTATATTTTTAAGTCAGATGGCATGACTCTCCTTGCCAAAAGTTTTAGGAGCCTCATGCCATAGGACCAACTCTGGGCCCGCAGGCCCCAGCATGGGCTTTTGTTCTGGCCCTGCCCTCAGTAGGTCCTGCGAACGTGGGGGTTTACTTTACCTGTATGAGTTTCTGTTTCCATATCTATATAGCAAGAGAGTCCCCTAGCTATGAGATGAAAGGGATGGGGCCAGTTCCGTCATCGCGGGGAATCAGATGTTGCTGTGGGCCTCTGGTGTGCTGTGTGCCTTGGGTTTGGTCTGTAACCACCCCTGCAGGCCCGCCTTCCTTCCGCCTCAGCTTCTCGTGTTTCCTTTTGGTAAACATTTCTGGAATTTCTGCTGTGTTCCGGGCACCGAGGGTATAAAGATTAATGACACCTGATTCCTGCCTTCGACTAGAGGGGTGGTACTGACGAACTGGTTGGAGCTGGGAGTAGGGGAGCAGGGGATGGGTGACAGGAAGCAAGTAAGAGCAGCCCTGGGCCTGCTATTCATGCGGGAGAGGGGGTCCTGGGCTCACGGGTGCCCTCCCTTCACGCTGGACCCCGCACCTCCACTAGCTTTGTGACTTTGGGTGAGTCACTTCAGCTCCCTAAACCTCAGTCTCCCACTCTGGGAAGAGCATTGAGACTTGAGAGTTAGAATTTGTGTTTGGGGCTTCAGTTAGATGAAAACCCTGTCCCTCCGCACCCAAGCTATAGCTCCTGGCCTTTCTGAGCCTTGCTCTGCTTGTCTGTTCCATGGAGCTCTTGGTCTCCACTTCATGGATGGCTGCAAGGATTACATGAGCCTAAACTCGCTCTCATGATCCTGGCCTGGCACCTGGCATAGGGCTATTGTCCAGAAATGTTGCCCTCACCCCGACTTTCCTACTCTTCCTCCCAAGAGGTGGGCCCTTAAAGAGTTAGTATTTGTTTCTTCCAGAGCTTCCAGTAAGATTGTCTTTATGCCATCTGAGTGTTACCCTGTACAAGGTGGAGTCATTGTCATCATTGTCATTATCCTGTTTATGACAATTGATTGGACACGTTGCATATGCCAGGCACTGTCCTTACAACAGCCTTGTGAAGCCACAGTGGTTGGCTGCCTCATCTTCTAGACAAGGAGATAGGCATGCTCAGGGACCCACAGCTGTTAGTGCAGAGCTGGCATGGACAAGCCAATTGTGTCCATCTCCAAAGATGGCATTTCCAGGAGGGGACTTTAGAGAGTCTGCCTATCAGAGGGGCTTCTGGCCAGCCCAGCTTCTGCTGGGCCATTTGTGAAGATGCAGCTGGCCCAGCCAGTGCTGCACATGCGTCCTTGTTTGAGCTCTGGCTGGGGCCTGTGGCTATGGCTGGACCCTGCCTTGCTGGCAGCTTGTGGCCTGGCCCCTGGTGGCCCTTTGTCTCCTGACCTCGCCCTCCACTTCTGCCCCGACCTCTGCTGGGTCATGGAAAGTGGTGTGTGCACTGGAGTCTGGTTGGAGTCTGATCTGGCTTTCTGCTAAGGGTGGTGGTAGAGCCAGCCAGCCCGGGCTCATGTCCCATGTCTGCTGTAAAGAATGCTCCAGCACACCGGAACTCGGGGCTGGCACCCAGCCCCTCAGCACCAACTGGGTGTTGTTGTTGCTGTTGTTCTCCATGTTGTCCTTCAGCAGAGGCTGTGGCTGTGTCTGCTCTCACACAGCCTGCAGAGAAGCAGGCAGAGCTGAGCAGCGGCCGCTGGGCCCAGCCAGCCCACTCTTGTCCCCTTCTTCATGCGCGATGTGTTTTCTTCCCTATATCCCGAGGCAGTCACTCGTTTTCTTCTCCATTCTCTCAGCCTCTCCTCTGGCCCCTGGGGACCCGCCTTTCACCCTGTGGGCTGCCATGCCTGGCTCTCCGGTGCCAGCGGGGCCTCCGCAGAGAACGACTTCCATACCCTTCGCATTCGGGCTCTTAGCGCAACCCGGACTATTCTTAGCATACCGAAATGCGAGCTGTCCCCCGTGCACTGCAGGTGGATTGACTGAGCTTCTGCATGCGTGTTTCTGAAAGGGGCCTCCGCCGAGGAGCATGTGTTTTGTGCGTGCGCGTGTGTGATGTGGAAGGAGGCACAGCCCGGGCGGGTGACCATCCGCCCTGGAGTCTGAGGAGCTATATTTAGCTCCTCCAACATGCCTGCTGTGAGGCTGTGCCGGGAGAGGCTGGCGGGGCCCAGGCAGGGTTGGGCTAGAATCTCTGGGGAGCTGCAGGCCTCCCTTCCAGGACACCTCACAGACAGCTGGTCACAGAAGAGCTTCCACAGAAAGGAACAAGAGCAGTTTATTGTAGGTGCCACGGGAACCTTTCTAGGCTTTTTCTGTACACGTTTCTATTTCTCAGAACAGGCCTACAGAATAAGGAATATCTGTCCCATTTTACAGATGAAGAAAAGTTGAGTTCCAGAGAGTGAAATAATGTGCCCAGGTTGGTTGCTTGTGGAGCTAAGATATGAACCCAGATCTTAGTTTACATCTTAGGATGAAGGGCCAATTACTAACATTTATAATTTAGGGCAATTATAAAATATGGGGCAATTCTAATTTAGAAAAGGGGTATGGGGCATTGAAGAATAAATTCTGGGTCCTTTTCTTCATGCTGTATTATTTAGAAAGTGCAAGATGACTGCACTTTCTTGGATGTAGCAGGGCTCATGTCCACCAAAGCACAAAGCCTGTAAGATAGGCATCCAAGAATGCTCTGGGAACCATTTTCTGGAGGAGAAACATTGCAGAAGTCTTCCCAGGCTGTGGACAGCAGGGGCTCCTTTTGGAACCTCCTACCTTCTAGCCAGCGTGACAGAAGCTGCTGGAGACAGGGAGGAAGGCGCAAGGAAAGGGAGGGAGTCGGCGGCTGTGGGGAGTCTGGGGCGAAGGCCCCTTGGCCTGCCCGCCCTGTCCATCCAGCTCTCTTTCCTGCTATAAAGCCTGAGCTGTAGCCACACTGGGCTCCTTGCCTTTCCTTGCCAAGAAGGCATTGTTGCCCTGTCTCACAGAGGAGAGAAAAGGTTTCATAGCCGTCGGCGAAGACCTGGGACAACACACGGAGCATCCAACTTCCTGGGAAGAGCTCTATTGCACCGTGGACCGTGCCAAGCACCACCGGAGAGCGGCAAGACCGCTCAGCACAGTGCTAGTGCAAGGCGGGGGACGCCAGTCTCCTTGGGCAAGACCCCTCAGCTCTTATCCAGGTGTTCCTCAGGGAGAAGGGTGGCTTGCTGTGTCACAGGAGTCCCATCCTCCCATCTAGATCCAGTCCCACATTAAAAAAAGAGTCTCCAGATTCCTTTTTCTTCTGGTTAAAATCCCACCATTCTTTTGAGAGGACAGCTGATTTATGGAAAGCCAGTGCTGCTAGAATATTAACTAACTTCAAACTGTAGTCTTGGTGATAACTGCTTTTCGTTTTTCTTAGTTACATAAAATGGTATTGACTCAGAACCACCATTTGGTGAAAGGATGAATAAGGGAATGTAATTGATCTGGGACTCTGCCACCTCGAGGCTGAGCTGGGCGTGTCCTCCTTGGACACTGTGGGTTTCATCTCCCCAGAAGACCTGAGCAGCCACCGTCATCTTCCTTAGGATGTATAGTGTTCTCCAAGCAGAAGCAAAGGACCTGACTTGGTTTTTTTTTTTTTTTTTTTTTTTTTTTTCTGCCGAGATGGAGTCTTGCTCTGTCTCCCAGGCTGGAGTGCAGTGGCGCGATCTCAGGTCGCTACAACCTCCGCCTCCCAGATTCAAGTGATTCTCCTGCCTCACCTTCCCGAGTAGCTGGGACTACAGGTGCGTGCCGCCACACCCAGCTAATTTTTGTGTTTTTAATAGAGTTGGGGTTTACACCATGTTGGCCAGGATGGTCTCTAACTCCTGACCTCAGGTGATCCACCCGCCTCGGTCTCCCAAAGTGCTGGGATTACAGGCATGAGCCACCGCACCTGGCCGGACTTGGGTTTGTTAAACCCAAGGTCCTTGTGCTCATTTAATGCTCACAGCCCGCAGCAGGCAGATGTGCCACCATCCTCGCTTCGTGTACGCAAGGAAGCTGAAGCGCAGAGGGTCAGGTTGTTTGCCCAGGTCTCAGAGCCGGTGGAATAGCAATACTGGACTGGTGTCTGACCTTGGGCCTTCAGACTCCTCACCTCCTTCTCCTTTTCCTCTCCATCTCTGCTGGAGATGGGGTAACCAGAGGCAAGGACTCAGGAAGTCAAATGCCTTGGTGGTGACTTGGCTCTGGTTTTGGAGGTAAAGTTCTATGCCTTCATTCTGCATCTTATTTTGTTTTCAATCTTGGCGATTCCTTGTAATAACTTATTGACTCTTCACCAATCCTAGTTTACCTTTGGCTTAATTTTTCCAGCTGACGTAGACTATATTACTGCGTGTAAGTTATATCAGTTAGCTATTCTTAGTCTTTAGAGTGAATGCATCTTAGGTGAGGGTAATTAGAAATGCGTATTTAGCACACAAGGGAAAATTTTCTCTTTTGCAGCTGTGCATTAGGAAAAATAAAGAGCATCTGCGGGACTATAAGGTTTCCATTTATAATAGGGACTTATTCTCCCCGAGGCGAGAAGCTGTAATCTTCTGAAAGCCCTGCGTATCAGTGCCGAAGGTGTTGCTTTCGTCATTTATGTATTCCGTCCGTAGCATTTACCCACCTCCTCCACTGGGCAGCTTGCCAGGCTCTGTGCTGTGCCCTGGGGGCACTGTCATGCCCTGAAGAAATGCTCATGGGTGGGGCCTGATAAACAGGTTATAATGCCAATTTTTACAGTGGTGTCATGGCTGTCTGTTAGCATGGTCTTCAAAGTTGGGCACGTATGGAACCAAATTCTGCCACTGAAGCTGTGGGATTTGTTGGGCAAGTTGCACATCCAAGCCACGGTTTCTTTACCGGCCCATGAGTGGTTGTAGGGGAACAGTGGCCAGAGGTGATTGATATCTTGGGATTGAGTGCCTAAGTAGGATGTCATATCCTAGCCCACTGTGATTTTTCTTTTTTTTTTTTTTTGGTCGTTGTTGTTCTGTTGCTTCTGGACCAGCACAGTGTCTGGAACAGGGGGGCACCCAGTGAATGTTTGTCCAGTAGTTGAGGGGTGTGGCTTTTTGTTGGACTGCTGTGAAGCAGAAGAAAGAGGGGATGGCACTGGGGTCAGCCTTGGCTTGACCGTCTACCTTGGCACGTCTTCAGGGCGACTACCAAGGTTTGAAGGCGCCTGGCTGACACCCTGCTGGCACAATGATCTGAGTTTAGAACAACTGCCAGGTACGGCAGGAATGGGGCGGTCTGCTTACCTGCAGGCTGTGGCTGGAGTCTGACCTGGCTGTAGGCAGGCCTCATGGTAGAATTCCTTGTACCCAGGCAGTCATGGGCAGGCCACACCCATGGGGCAGGCTGGGAGGGCCACTGGAGGGGAGAGGGAAGGACTGGGGCCCACGTCACCATGCTTTCCCCATCTCACTAATTAGGGAACTTGCCTGTATCGCCCCATTTCCATTGCAGTGGTTCTGAAAGTGTGGTCCCTGGACCAGCAGCTTCAGGAAGCTGGGCTCTTCTTAGAAATGCACATTCTTGGGCCCCTCTCTAACCTGTAAATCAGAAACACTGGTGTTGGCCCAGCGATCTAGGTGTTCAAGCAAGCTCCCCTGGTGACCCTGCTGTAGGCTGGAGGGCAGAGCTGCTCCTTCAGATGTGCTGTGAATGGATCTCAAGAGTTATGACACTGACCCATCAGGCCTCAGGATGGTCGGCTGGGGTTCGGGGTAGCCAGGGTGAAGGGACTATGCTGGGGAAACCCTTCCCATGGAAGCAGGAAGAATGGAGAACAAGGTTTATCACTGAAGGTGAGGTCTGGGACATGTTACTTCATGCTCTTTAAGCCTCATTTTCCTCACCTGGAGAATGGGAATAATGGGCTTTTTTTCTGTAGGATGGCTTTGAGGCTTTAGCCACAAGATGATTAAACAAAACTGAATTTAGTGTACAAGAGATGTTTGTTAAGAGGTAGCTTCCTTTCTTTACCCTCTTTTCCAATTGGCCTATGTAAGATATTCTGGAAACTATAAAAAGTGGAAGAGCTTATAGACTGGAAGAAGAAATTCTAGATGCTGGATTCAGCCTTTCTTACTGCACATAGAAGCCAACAGAGGGTTTAGAGCAGCGTTCCTCACCAAGTCCTAGCTCCTTAACTTTCATCAGGCAGGGAGAGTGGGGGACAGCTGATGTCCATGGAAGAGACAGGACCGGTGGGCCCTGACTCTTGTTCTGCCAGTCGAGCTGAAAAACAGTTTGGTAGGGAAGTTATTACATTGGCTCCCGTGTGAAGACAAAGGGACTGAGTCCCTCAGATGGGAGCCGTTCACCTAGGGCTGCCCAGAGCGAAGGAGCCCGGAGGCACAACTGCTGGCTCAGCAGACAGAATGTTTCTGTTTTCTGTGTAAATAAGGAGGTTTGCTGGCATGAGAAAGAAGCAAAGGCCACAGACTAGAAGAGTCGTTGAATAACTGCGAAGATCAGCAGAAGGAAATTGACTCAGGAGCAGCCCGGTGCTGGGAAGGCAGAGATGTGTTAGGTGGGGGCTCTGCCACCTTTGCTTTGCTCTGGCATCTGCAGAGGGCGTGGGCCCAGGCGGTCCCGGACACTCCACAGGGCCGTGGAGAGCAAGCGTAGGTGAAGGAGGTCAGCTAGGCTCCCTAAAGACCAGGTGTCCTGGGGTAAACTCTGGGACCTTGGCCAAGTCCCAGTTATCTCAGCTGAAAAAGTGGGGAACTAATATCCATGCCTTGGTCTTTCTCAGGAAGATCAGGACTCTTCTATAAAAAGCAGCCGGAACCATCCTTGGAGCATGCGTGTGTTCCGCAAGGTGGCTGCCTCCTTTACACATTTTGAATGATTGTTTTAAAGTCAAAGACTCTGGAAGACTTGATTTGTTAGTATTTTCCCCAACGTTTTATTTTGAAATATCTCGAACATGAAGTTGAAAAAATTGTATACTGATCATCTATACCCATTTTCTTTTTTCTCTACTTTCTCTCTCTGTATATGTTTGTACACACACACACACACACACACACACACATACACTTTTTTGGGCTAAGTTGCAGACTTTATATTATTTCTCTCCTTAAATAATTTTTGCATGCCTCCTAAGAAGGATACTTTCCTAAATAACCATTGTCACACCCATGACCTTCGACATTAGTACAATAGTGTTATGTCATAAACGTTCCATATTCAAACTGTCCCAATTGTCCTGAATATTGATTTGTTGTGCTTCTTTCATTGATAAGAAGCTATAATAGATTTTTTTTTTTTTGAGACAATCTTGCTCTGTTGCCCAGGCTGGAGTACAGTGGTGCGATCTCAGCTCACTGCAACCTCCACCCCTGGGTTCAAGCAATTCTCCTGCCTCAGCCTCCTGAATAGCTGGGATTATAGGTACACGCCACCACACCCAGCTAATTTTTGTATTTTTAGTAGAGATGAGGTTTTACCATGTTGGCCAGGCTGGTCTTGAACTCCTGACCTCAAGTGATCTGCCCGCCTTGGCCTCCCAAAATGCTGGGATTACAGGCATGAGCCACTGCGCTTGGCCCAGAAGCTGGAATTAGATTAGACTTAGATGCCATGTTGAGGCCCAGGATGGTGTGACCGCCATGAGGGCGAGCAAGTCACGAGCGTTCTCCCCATCCCCTGCAGAAGGGGTTGGGTGATGGGCAGGGCTAGGGTGGAACACAGGCCTTGGCCTTGAGTTCAGGGCCATGGTCTGTTGGCTGTTGGACCTTGGGCTTCCCAGTTGAAAAACAAAGTTACTGACTTGATTCTTAGCCTCTGTTTAATTCTCACTTTCTGTGGAAAAAATCATTTAATCTTTGATGTTGGGAGGGAGTACTTGCAAAGTCTCTTAGTTTACCTTGCTGTGCAGGTGTACGCTGTTTGAACACCTGTACTGATAGCTCATTGTTTCACAGGGCTCTAATCATTTGGACACTTTACTATATATGTGTATATTTTTTCCCTGCCAGGTACAGTATGTTGATGGTATTGATTATACATGATTCTCCTAATCTCCCTTCTTCATGGGTCCAGGGATGGAAACTGTCAGAGAGAGGAGATTCAGAGTGTCTTGCGGGTAGGGCTGGGTCAGGGAGCTCTAGTAGCTGAGGGCTTGTTTTTCTCTTCTGCTATTGCAAGAGATGTTGGGCCTGGTCATTCTTGGAGGTCACAGGGACCATGAGGTCCACCATTCATACCTGGATATTACCTTGACAAAGTAGTTGTCGAAGGTAAATGCCAGCGCCAGCATCAAATGTTTCCACCTTTCCGTGGACACCTCTGTTGAATGTTTCCACCTTTCTGTGGACACCTCTGTTGAACGTTTCCACCTTTCCATGGTCATCTCTTGACTGTTTCCCCCTTTTCATGGACATCTTGATTGCAGTTGACTTGGGCCTCCCCGTGGCTCAGGACACCTTCCAAGGAGTCCTTTAGTTACTGCATCACCACCTTCTTGAGGTCATGATAATTGGCTTCCTCTAGACACTAGGTCATATCCCTGAATGATGTGTGTTGGGATGGTGACATAGAAAGCTTGCCAGTGTGCGGCCGAGCGTGGTGGCTTACGCCTGTAATCCCAGCACTTTGGGAGGCCGAGATGGGCGGATCACGAGGTCAGGAGATCAAGACCATCCTGGCTAACACAGTGAAACCCTGTCTGTACTGAAAATACAAAAAAATTAGCGGGTGCCTGTAGTCCCAGCTACTCGGGAGGCTGAGCCAGGAGAATGGCGTGAACCTGGGAGGTGGAGCTTGCAGTGAGCCGAGATCGCGCCACTGCACTCCAGCCTGGGCGACTGAGTGAGACTCCGTCTAAAATAGGAGCACTGAGCGTGCTCCTATTAAGCTCAGAGATGACCTTGCCACTTGACCACTGACCTTGGCAGTGTCCATGGATGTTGGATTATGTTGTGAGCAAGGCCATCACACTTCACTTTGTTAGAGGGGCAGGCTCCTGGGACGTAGTGTTGGTGTGCGCTGTGGTCATGAGTACCTCCACTAGGCCATGATTGTTGTGGATAGTCTTGGCTGGGGGGCTTGGGTGGTAAGTAGTTGGTGGTGGGCTGGGCACTGCTGACAGTCTCGAGGGAGTTTTCACGCTTCTCATGATATACATGTGTCTATCAGCAGTGGTTCCCTTCAGGAGAGTCTCAAATTTCTTAAGGGAGTTGTAGACTCCTCCACATAGTCAGTATTAGAATTGCTCCATTTGATCTTGATGGGGTCTTGCTCCTGGGAGAGGGATATGGGTTTTCCCTTGATCACAAACCTCCTGTGTGCAGCCCTGGTCATCCCTTTAGAGTTGTGGACTCATACTAGAACATGCTCACCATGTAATTGTTCAGTGAAGAGATCAATGAAAAGGGCAATGGAGAGATCATGACTGGCCACTGACAAGTTGTCCAGGGTTGAAAGTAGCCCTGGTGATTAGGTGCCTCATACAGCCCAAGCCACATACTCTGACCGGCACCATCAGTTCTTAGGGATATCGCTAGCACCATAGCAGGAAGGCAGCTACCTAGTGAGCAGAGTGGGCTGGAGAGCTTCCAGCTGCACCTTCCACAGACATTCATACATCAAGTTTTTTATCAAAACACTGAAGTAAAAATCGAAGAAGAAAAAGTCAAGTGTACTCCATGGCTTAATGACTAGAACACAGGTTTTGAATTTAAATACAGCTGGCATTTAAACTATTTATTTGTTGTGCACATTAAATCATTCAGTGTTTAAGTTTTCTTACCTATAAAAAGTGGGTAATAATTATATGTTTTTTAAAATCACACAATCCAGGGAGGCGCTGAGTATACTGGAAAATCCTCCCACTGTTTATCTGGTATATTTACAGCTCCCAAACGTAAACCTGGCTCCTAACTCCAATCTCATTAACAAGAAAGTGTCCTCTGTGAATCAAGCCTTTCTTATTCTTGTAGCTCTCTTGGGTGAAGCCATAATTGCATCTCTACCATTTGAGTAAATGAACTTCACGTTTATAGTCCTGGTTAATAGGGCACGTGGCCCCATGCCTATCAGACAGGCCGTGGACAGTAAAAGTGGATTTGATGGTGCTTCCAGACTCTGAGGCTAGAATGCTATTAGCACTGCAATGAAGGTACAGTAGCGTAGGGCTAATGATATCAAAGATGGACTGGTTACCACAGATTTAACACCGGATGGGATCTTGTAGATCACTGCACATTGACCTGAGGCTTTGACCCTGCAGGTTTGTGCCCCTTCTCGCTCCGCTCCTTCCCCAGCTCTGTGCTGAGCTCCCTGTGAGTTCCAGGTACGAGGGTGTGAGGATGAAATGCTGGGTGTTCTGTCTCTGGGGACACAGTCTAGCAGAGATACAGAGCCATCTGAGGCTGTGGCTTGCATCCTATGGAGGCTCCGAGGAGGGCCTCTGATTGCGCCCTGCAGACGGGAACCATCTAAGCACGTGGATTAGACAGACTTGGCAGATATTGGCACATCTGGTTTCCTGTCGAGACCTCTGTGCTCAGCTGCCTCTCTCCCTTCGTGGGGTTTTTGCTTTGACCTTACCCTGGCCGCCGTCATGCCTGACACTGGGTGTTGTTGCATCAGGAGAGGCCGCCTCCCTCTGGATCAGTTACTGTGTGCTCTGCTTCCGTCTCGCCACTTGATCGCCATCTAGACAGCAGTGTGCGTGGAGCCAGGGCCACTCATCCATCCACACACACCTTGTGTCAATGCGTTGTTCGCTGCAGGTATTTTCCAGATGTGCTGTTGGTGACCTGTGATGCACAGGACATAGCCTATTTGTTCCCCACAATACTGTCATTTCCACCCTCTAGAGTGAGGGGCCTGGTCCTTCTCATCGTCCTGACTTGAAGGCCAGCTTTGGATGCAGCCTCAGGGGTGTCAGGCCACGTTGCAGGTGCTGGAGGCCCGTGTGGCCCTGCCCGTGGAGCACGGGTGAGCAGAGGTGAACAAGGGGATGCAGGAACCAGCACCTGTGGAATCCTTGCCCTGGGCCAGGCACTGCGGCGAATCAGCTTCTCATTCAATTCTCACAGCAGTCCTGTGCCATCCTTTTTATTCTCCGTTCCTCACATGATGAAAATACACTTTGGTGGGATGGAGACATGGAGGAGATGTCTGATGACACAGAGGCCAGAGAGGTTGTGTCTAAACTGAGGGCAGGGAGTACCAGAGAGAGTTTCTTAGTCTTCTGGAATAAGGACTAGGAATGTCCTAGTTGGAGAGAGTGGGTAAGGACATTCATTTCAGGCACACAGGTGTGAAACAATACAGCTTTCAGCAACTTTCCTACCATGCAGCACGAGGGAAGCTCTGGGGTGTGTGTGTGTGTGTGTGTGTGTGTGTGTGTTGGAGGTGTGTGTTGGGTATGTGTGTATCTGTGTGTGTGTTGGTGTGTGTTGGGTATGTGTGTATCTGTGTGTGTGTTGGGTGTGCGTGTGGTGTGCATGTCTGTGTGTGTTTTGGGTGTGTGTGTGGGGTGTGTGTGTGTGGGGTGTGTATTGGGTGTGTGGTGTATGTGTGTCTGTGTACGTGTGTGGGATGTGTGTGTGTGTATTGGGTATGTGTGTATATGTGTATGGTGTGTGTTTTGTGTGTGTGTATGTGTCTGTATATGTGTGTGGCATTTGTGTGTGTGTGTGTATGTGTGTGTGTGGTATGTGTTTGACCTGAGACAGGAGGAGCAGTAGGGGTCCGATGTGGAAGGGCTGGGAGCGGCTATGCTGAGGTCTGAACTGTAGCTGGGCAATTGGGGCCAGTGATGGTTTATCTGAAGAACAGATGTGGAAATTTGTTTCTTTATTCTTGGCTCTACTTATGAATTCATTTGTTCCAAGTATCTTATCTTCCTTTCTCACTGTTGAATACTGATTTAGTAATAATAATATTAGCTGGTACTTACAGCACTCTTTCCAAACGCCAGGCACTGTTCTCGGTGTTTTGTAAGACTAGCTGGTTTTGTCTTCCTGATAACCCAGATGTGAAAGCTGCTGCCTGAAGAGATCAGATCACTCGCTCAGGGGCCTGGGCAGGAAATGACGATGGGGTCTGAGCCCGGGCAGCCTGCTTTCACAGTGGGTGCTATTAACTATTTTATTCTTTGCTGCTTAAGATGCATTTTGTAAAAATTTGAAATACATCACATGACAAGTGTTTATTAGCAAGAGGGCTGAAAGACTGTATGATAAAATAATGTGACGGTCACACACCAGGGCCTGTCGGGGGTGGGGGGCTAGGGGAGGGATAGCTTTAGGAGAAATACCTAACGTAGGTGACAGGTTAATGGGTGCAGCAAACTACCATGGCATGTGTATACCTATGTAACAAAACTGCACGTTCTGCACATGTGCCCCAGAACTTAAAGTACAATTTAAAAAAATAAAAAAAATAACAATAATGTGATCGTGATGATTTTCCGTAAACACACACGCGGCATCTTAGCTTCCAAGGAACCCCAGGCATCAGGTGAGGGTCGCTCCGCTGGCTCCTGCTCTCTCTCTGGACAGATGGGCTCCCTGCTCTGAGTTCTGCAGCGTCTCCCTGTGAGCCACGTCTCTTCAGCCCGACTTCTCCCCACTCAGGACTCGTGTGTCACACTGTCATCACTTGGATGTCCTTCGGAATCTCAAACTTCCTGTGTCCTAAATCAGAGTCATGGATCTTTGTACCACACCCTGTCTTCTTGCTCCTCTGCCTCTCTCCCCAACTTGAGTAAACTGGTAGTGCATTCTTCTCATTTTTTTTCGGTCAAGAATCTAATCTTGAAGAGATCCGTGGCTTCCCTTTTCCCTTCCCACTCAGCGTACCGTCGGTCAGCTCTGATGTCTTCAATGGCAGCACGTGTGCGGAGCCTGACCGTCAATGTTCACTCCATGCCACCCCCCGAACACGTCCCCATCAGTCTTCACCTGGCAGTGACTTCATCTGCTAGCTTGGCACCTCCTCTTTAGCCTTGTCCCCAGTCTGTCTTCCATGTTGCAGCCAGAGTGTTCTTTTTTTTTTTTTTAAAGAAGTCGTTCAGGTCATGCCTTTAGCTAAAAAGTCTTCGAAGGCTTCCCAGCCCGTTGGGAGCACAGGCGTGGGTCCCCTCTGAGCCTGGTGTGCCTGTGTGGTCTGGCTGCGGCTGCCTCTGCTCTCTCTGTAGCCCCGCCACATGGACCCTCGTAGCCAGTGTTTGTCCAGTGACGGGTGAGTTGGGCATTCAATTCCCCTGTGTAGCCCAGTCAGGTGGAAAGGGCCACTGGAGATTAATTGGTCCAAATCCATATTTCACAGATGGGAAAGCTGATGCCAAGAAAGGACAAGTGACTTTCTTGAGTCTACACCTAGGCTTGATGGGGGAGCTGTGGCCAGACGCCAGGTTTCTCCTGCAGGGGTTCTCAGTTTACCGCCTTGCCTGGTGTTGGCTGTGGGCTCACGTGGAGCAAGGCATCGAAAGACGCTTCTTCAGGCCGATTCCCGGTGAAGTCACAGTGCCCTGTCCTTTATCAGTGGCCTTCAGTGTGGTTAGGGCCTGGCGATTGTGGCTTTTGGGGTCAGATGCACCTGAGCTCTGTGGTTTACTAGCTACGGGAACTGGAGCAACGTACCTCACCTTGCCGAACGACAGTTGCTATTCAAGGCCTTCCTGTCGGATAGGATGGGGAAGTCCTGAGAGAGACCCAGTGTGCGCAGCTCCCAGCATTGTGTCTGGCAGGGGCCGGCCACCTAACACACACTGGTTGTGAGGATTGCTTCTTGCTGACCTGCTAGCAGTTTCTAGCCCTCTGCAGGTACTTAGTTTGGCATCTTTGCTGGGGGTCCCCATCAATTTCCTGCATGCGTAACACCTTAGTGTCTCCTCTTGAGTTGATTTCAGTCATACAACTTTGGAAGGATATAGCATTCCTTTCTATAAGCCGGAAGTCTGATGAAGTGCTGGCTGTCAAGTACATTTCTCTAATATTGAAGATCAGCAGTATTTAAAAGGCCACATCCTATGGCCAGAGAGTGTTTCTCATAACTAAATGAGTGCCAATGGAAAATGTCCTAATTGCTTATGGCTTATAACAGTGAATTAATGTAAGGACAATTCTGCTGATCCTAACAAATCTCTGCTGCCTAATTTCAGGCTGATTGTATTTCAGTTTTACTACATTTATTAAAATCATCCCTTCCACAGTTTACCCTCCTCCAGCTGTGTATACAGAAGGGGAAAAACCGTGAGCATCTTGAATGCAGCATTTAGCACCAAGGCCAGGGCAGCCTCATGGCGCGGCAGCTGTGAAACTGGCCTTCCTTCGGGAACCCAGGCCTGCTTCTTCAGGGCAGCGCCAGCTTTCTGCTCACAGTCTCCTTCTTTGTCTCCTTAGCCTTTCTCTGGGAGACAGCATAGGGCTGCCGGAAGAGCAGGACCTTCGGACTCAGACCTGGCTTTGAGCTTTGTGGCAAGGCTATTTATTTCCCTAAGCTTTCGATAGTGGTGAGCTGTTGAGGTAGTGATACCTGTGCTGCATTGTGGTAGGACTTAAAGTTTCTGAAGTGCTGCTCACAGTGCCTGGAGCACAGTATGAGCCTACTGAATGTCAGCTTTCTCCTTTCTCTGAGATTTGTTGTGAAGATGCTGTCATTCAGTTAAACGGAATGCATGTGGGGCACCTGCTCTTCAAGGCACTAGGTATGGAGCATGGTCCCTGCCCGCAGTGAGCTTTTATTCTGTTGAAGGATCCAAGCACTTGTGCTGCAGCGTGGTAAGTCAGAGGCAGGGAACGTGCTCCGTGCTGTTTATTGAGGAGGTGCAGCCAGCCTGGGCTTTGCAGGATCACAGAGACTCCCTAGGTGATGTGAGTTGTCCACAGAAACCCAATAACCAAGGAAGAATTTGTCAGTGGGAAGAGGGTAGGGTGGAGAGGTGAGGGAAATCTTTGTAAAGCCAGGTTATGAAGTATGGAAAAAGTGTTTATTAATAAGATTATCCATCCATCTGTTTAATGGACATTGATACATGGTTAATGTATAAATCATCTTCAAATGTAATTCTACTTAGCAAGCATTTATTGAATAGTTGCTTTGTGCCAAGTCTTGTGTTGGGTACAAACACACACTTGAGAAAATTAACAAAGCCAAAAATTAATTCTTGCAAAATATTAGTAAAGTTGATGATTCCCTAGCAGGTGTATCAAAAAGAGAAACACTATTACCATCTGGAATGAAAGAGGAACATACTATAGATCTTACAGATGTGAAAAGGTTAATAAGAGAACATAATGGGCTGGGCACAGTGGCTCATGCCTGTAATCCCAGCACTTTGGGAAGCCGAGGCAGGTGGATCACTTGAGGTCGGGAGTTCAAGACCAGCCTGACCAACGTGGTGAAACCCTGTCTCTACTAGAAACACAAAAATTAACAAGGTATGGTGGCACACCTCTGTAATCCCAGCTACTCAAGAGGCTGAGGCAGGAGAATCACTTGAACCAGGGAGGTGGAGGTTGCAGTGAGCTGAGATCACGCCCCTGCACTCCAGCCTGGGCGACAGAGCGAGACTCTGTCTCAAAAAAAAAAAAAAAAAAAAAAAAAAAAAAAAAAAAAAAAACCACATTATGAAGAGTTGCATTTCAATGCATTTGACAACTTGGATGAAATGGACAAATTTTGTATTCTAACTTTTTGGAGATTTCCCTGGATGAAATTTTATCTTAAAGGAAATGAATTTTTTTTTTCCTTTGATGTTTAGTGCTTTTTGTGGCTTCTCCGAGATCTCTTTTCCTATCCCAAGACTACAAAGATATTCCATGTCTTCTTCCAGACGTTCTAGGTGTTATATGTTTAGATGTATGACCCACCTCAAAATAATGTATGGTCAATGCCGAGATTTGTTTCTACACATTTGTCCAGTTGTTCCACCATCGTTTGTAGAAAAGGTAAATTTTATCATTGAATTGCATTAGCTTTTGGTAACAAATCAATTACCTGTGTCAGTGTGGGTTTATTTTTGGAATCTTTATTCTCATCCATTCATTTACTAGTCCTGGCCAGTGCAGTAGTCCAAGAAAGAAAATGTAAAAGACATAGATTTTGGAAATGAAGAAGCAAAACTGTCTCTGTCTGCAGACATGATTTCGTACAAGGGGTAATCTCCTTAGTGTAGAAAACCTCCCAGGAATTTGGACAAAAATACAGGTCAATTAAAAAAATAGGGAAATGATATGAATGTGTAATTCATGAAAAAGGCATGAAAATGTGCCAAGCATATGGAAAGATGTTCCACTTTTTTAATAATGAGAGAAATGTAAAATGAAACTACATTGAGATTCTTCACCTGTCAGACTGTCAAAAAGCCAAAAGTTGAACAATATACCCTGTTTTCAAGGCTTTGAGAAAAGAAGTGCTCTCTCAAGCATGGCTGTTAACATGTGACATGGTTCGACTTTCAGTTGAACATTTGGGTAGTATCCATTAAAATGACAAGATTTGTTTTTTGACCCAGAAATCTCCCTTGAAAAATATATCTTTCAGAAATATCTTCATGTATGGAAAGCAACTTATGTATGTGGTTATTTATTATAACATTGTTCATAATAACAAAATATTGAAAACAACTATGAATCCAATTTTTAGGGTACTGTTTAAGTAAGCTGTAGCATATCTGTACCATGGAATGGCACACATGTCTACAAATAACCTGCAAAGGATATTCTATAAAGGATGCTCTGTCTGTACTAAGTAAAAATTTTCAGGATCTATTAAGTGAAAGTTAACAAACAATAAGGCATACAAAGGTGGACAGCATGTGTAATTTATGTATTTATTGCAAGGTGGTGCTGGCTGGAGGAGGGTGGGGGGGGAGGAAAAGTTTACATTTGTATTTTCTTGTTTCTGTGTAAATAAATGTATGTAAATAAATGTGGATACATTAAGGAAAACTAATAAGGTGGTTACAGGGGATGGGAGAGGACAGTGGTCTGGACGTGGTGACAGAGGTGGGAGCAAGCCATCTCAGCACCGACCATTTTATATCACTTACATTTTAAATGACTGAATACACTTCTTATCGACAAAGTATGTAACTCCAGGTGTGATGGGTGCTGGAGCAGAGTGTCCATGTGGTATGTGTTAGAGAGTGGCAGAGTTTCTTTGGAGACGCTGGAAAGACTTCTCAGAGAAGGTGAAATTTGGCTGGAGCGTAAGTGCAGGTAGGACGTGGCGGCCCTCTGCACTGCTGTGGTCTATGGCACTGGGCTCATCGCCCAGGGAGTTAGGTTGGGGGTCCCAGGTTCTGTCTGGCCTCGACTCTCTGACTTGATGCTCTCCTTAGTATCCTAAACCAGACTTTCAACTTGGTCTTCTAACAGTCCCCAGACATACCCCCTCCTTTGGACCTTGTGTCCTAACTCTTCTCAGCCACCACGGGACTCCTGGGCCTCTTGGCTGGAAGCTGTTTTGATGGCTGCTGTTGTTCAAACCCATCCCTGCACTGCTGTGGATGGATCACTTAATTTGTAGTTACTTGGCATCTTGAAGGCATCATTAACACTGAAGAAAAACTTTGGTTGAAAGTGCTAATTAACTGGAAAGTAATGGTATGGCTTTTATTTGTGAGTTTCATTGACCTTAAGTAAACCGTTGTGCTGGTCTCTTGGGGAATGAGCCCCAGCCTTTGGTCTTGAATGTTTGACTTATTAAGTGGATCACATCACAGCTATTAATTTTATGTCATATTATAGAAACAGAGCAGAAGGAAATCCGTGGTGACAGGTTCAATTGAGGTCTTTAAATATTAGAGATCTACTTCATATACATTTAAGTTGGCTAGCATACATATGAGGGTGATTGTTTTTCTCTGACAATAGTGTTAGTTATATTAGAAGTTGTGGAACGTTAGGAAAATAAAGAATAACTGTTCATATAAGAGCTGGTCAAAACCTCAGGCAACATCTGGCATGACCCTCAGGTTTTAAGGTGAGGAGACTGAGAACTGGACAAGTGATGTGACTTCTCCCAGGTCACATGAAGCTTTAATTATGGTGAATCATAACCTCACTGCTGTTTCTTCTGATGCAGAACCCGGGATTCTTAAGTCTCCATCTGAAGCCTCTTCGAGGGCCTCACATTCGCTCTTAGACATGGCTGGTCCCACATCAACGTGGCCCACATTGTGACTTAGATTCTTTAATAATGTTTACGAGTGATTGTATGTCTATTAATGGTCAGGATCAATTTCAAAAATCAACTTTACTGAGTGTAATTTGCATTCTATAAAATGTAGCCTCATTAACCATACAGTTTGATGAATTGTGACAAATATATACTCCATGTAACCACCACCACCACCATAAAGATATAGAATATTTTTATCACCCTCCATAGTTTCTCTGACCCCTTTGCAGCTAACCCTCTCCTGCCTCTAACTCCAGGCAACTGCCGATCTCCTTGCTACCAAAGGCTGAGCTTTTCTAGTATCTCATATACATACAAGCAATGGTATGCACTCTTGTGTGTCTGGCTTCTTTCTTTCAGAATAAGGGGTTTTGGATTCTTCCATGTTGTGTATGTATCAGTAATTTGCTCCATTCTTTAGCTGAGTAGTATTTCGTTTTGTGAATTTACTACAATTTGTTTATTTGGTCACCTACCTCTTGTTGGACATGGAGGTTGTTTCCAGTTTGGTATTATTATGAATAAAGTCTCCGTGGACATTTACATCCATGTTTTTGTGTAGATATGTGTTTTTATTTTTCTTGGTAGGAGTTGCTTTGCTGAGTAATATGTTAATTGTAGGTTTAAGCGTAGGAGGATTTACCTAGCTATTTTTCAAAAGGATTTTACTATTTTATAGTGCCACCAGCAATTTCTGAGAGTTCCAGTAGATTTCTTAGGATGTTTTTGGTACATGATTATGTTGTCTGCAAACAAAGATAGTTTTACCTCTTCCTTTCCAACATGTATGCCCTTTGTTTCTGGACTTATTGAACTTGCTAGGATCTCAAGTACAATGCTTACAAAAATTATTACAGCTACATCTTAATCTGGATTTTAGATGCAAAACATTCCATTGCTTATCATCAAGTATGGTTTTGACTATAGGTTTTTCATGAGTGCATTTCATAGAATGAGGATGTTCCTTTCTATGCCTAGTTTGCTGAGAGTTTTTAAAAAACTATAAATGGGTTTTGAATTTCGTCAACTATTATTTCTGAAGCTATTGATCATTCAGCTTTTCTTTTTGTTGCCTGTCAATAGCTTATTAATATGGTGAATGACTTTGATTTTTGAAGATTAAACCAGCCTTGCATTATTGATGGCCGTGATGTATTACCCATTTTATATTTTACTGAACTTGATTCATTAGTACTTTAAAAATATTTTTTACATTTAAATTCATGAGGGATATAGGCCTCATGAATAGTTTTCTTAGAAGTTTTCTATCTGATTTTGATATTTGAGTAATATTGGTCTCATAAAAAGATTGGGAAAGTTTTCTCCTTTTTTCTAATTGCTAAAAATGTTTATTATATAAAATTGATATTCTTTCTAATTTACATGTTTGTTAGAATTCAGCTGAGAGACCATCTAAGCTTGGGGTTTCTTTTGGGAGTATATATATATATATTTTTAATTTTATTATTATTATACTTAAAGTTTTAGGGTACATGTGCACAATGTATGTCCAACAACGATAGACTGGATTAAGAAAATGTGGGAGTACATTCTTATTTGCTTGTTTGTTTGTTTGTTTGTTTGTTTTCAGAGACAGAGTCTTGCTCTGTCGCCCAGGCTGGAGGAAAGTGGCATGATCTTGGCTCACTGCAACCTCCACCTCCCGGGTTCAAATGATTCTCATGCCTCAGCCTCCTGAGTAGCTGTGATTACAGGCCTGCGCCACTAAGCTCAGCTAATTTGTGTACTTTTAGTAGAGTTGGGCTTTCGCCATGTTGGCCAGGCTATCTGAAAGTCTGGGGCTCAAGTGATCTGCCTCTGCGCAGCCTCCCAAACTGCTGGGACTACAGGCATGAGCCGCAATGCCTGGCCATCTTTTGGGAGTATATTCTTGATTTGTCTTCAATTGGCATGAGGCTCTTCAGATTTTCTGTTTCTCCTTGATTCCTTTTGGTAATGTGTGACCATTTTATCTAAGTTGTTGAATCTATTGACACAAAATTATTGATACTCTTCCCTGATTGTCCTTTTAATGGTTGTAGGATCTGTACCGATAATCATTCTCATTCCTGATGTTGGCAATTTGTTTTTCTCTTCTCTTTTTCCTTGATCAACTTAGAGGATTGTCACATTTATTGATATTTTCAAGAAGTAGGTTTTAGTATAGTTGTTTTTTTCCATTATTTATCCATTTTCAATTGATAATTGTCTAATCCTGTCTTCCTTACTGGTTTGTTGTTCCTTCCTCTGCAACTCCTACCCACCTGGCATATGTAGTCCTTTCTCCTCCTGTATTCTCATATATTCTAATACACTTATCCATGACACAACGTGTCACAATTTACTCAGAGGCATCAAGGCTTGTTTCTTTTACCAGACTCGAGTGCCCCAAGGGTGGCACTGTGCCTTCTTCCTCTCAAGTGCCACAGTCCCTGGGACATAGTAGACAGGGTTAGTGAGTGAATGATTGCATGGGTGAATGAATGCTATTCTAAACAGTTTGCCTGAATGGCAAGAGAGTGGGCTGTGCAGGCATGTTGCTCTGCATTCAGTTCCTGCCTGTGCTGCTTCCTGGGTGCTCTGAGCCTCATTGATGAAAGCAGCACTTCCCTTGTGGGGCTCTCATGACTGTTGCAGTTGGGTGTGTAAGTCACTCAGTGCAGCACTTGGCATGGAGTAGGTACTCTTTAATAAAAGGTACCTACTGACAGGCCTTTCATGTTAGCTGGAATAATAAGTTGTGTGCCTAGAAAATAAACATTTTGGTTGTAGTCCCTCGTTTATGATTTCTGTAATAGTCTTCTGTCAAAGTAAGGATTGAAAAATGCTCTCAGATGGGAACATCTTATGAAGTCTCTTGGATTGAGGAAAAGGGCTTGGACATCCTGTGTCTTTCCACTTCCCAGCTCCCCTTATGTTCTTATTATTAATAAGACCATATATATAATATATAAGACCTTATATATAATATTCTAATTTTAAAAGACTGAGGAGGCCTTTTTTTGTTATTTCTGGTTTTTGTTTTTATCTCAAAGAGGTAAGGCAGTGACACTGAACTTCAGAAAACCTTTTGATGTGGTTAGACTCTGTGTCCCCACCCAAATCTCATCTTGAATTGTAATCCCCATAATCCCCACGTGTCGAGGGAGGGACATGGTGGGAGGTGATTGGATCATGGGGGTGGTGTCCCCCATGCTGTTCTCATGATAGTGAGTTCTCATGAGATCTGATGGTTTTATAAGTGTTTGACTGTTCCTCCTTCACACACACACTCACTCACTTTCTCCTGCCGCCATGTAAGATATGCTTCTTCCCCTTCTGCCATGATTCTACATTTCCTGAGGCCTACCCAGCTGTGTGGAACTGTGAGTCAATTAAACCTCTTTTCTTTATAAATTACCCAGTCTCGGGCAGTTCTTTATAGTAGTGTGAGAATGGAGTAATACAACTTTTCTGTGCTTGATTTTGTTAAATTAGATATTTCCCCTCATAATTATATCTTTTTTGTGGTTTTCTACAGAGTAAAGTAATAGTAAATTCCCAGAAAGTAGAAACACAGACTATTTCCTCTTGGTGATGTGGTACTTTGACAGTTGTCTGTGTACTTTTTGTTCATTCCCCAGGTGATTTCTTTTACATCACTCTCTGTAGGTGACTTTTAAGTTTACCTCAAAAAAACAAACAAGAAGCCAGTGTGACATTTGTTGTTACTTCACAGATTTTGGCTTTTCACAGCCATTACTGAGAGTTTGTTTATTTCCATGACCACTGTGCCTGCATTTTGAGAAAGATGCTGTGTATATGTTAGGTGGTTGGTTGGCTTCATTTATTTATTATTTAATTTAGTCATACATTGCCTCACTCAGCATTTACAGAGCTTTCTGAGATCAGGGACTACATCTTCTTCATCTTGTACTGAGCACAGAGCCCTGCACTCAGAAGATACCCAGGAAGTGTTTGAAAAGATGAATGAAAAAATAGATCAAACAGATGAAAGTCAGTTGAACTCTGAAAGTTTTGACAGAAAGACTTATTGAGTGTGTGTGTGTCGAGTCTCACCTTCTGCTTATGACAAGGGCAATGTAAGAGGTCTGAGACGTGTTCACAAGAAATCAGCAGCCCTTTGGAGATGACAGGGCGGTGCTTGGGAGTAAAGGGAATGAAAAAAGGATTTGGGATTTTGGTGAGGCCAAAATATGATCCTTGAATATTAAAAAAAAATCTGTATTTTATTGAGCCATTTGTAAGTAAGAGGAAGGCATGGCTTTATTTGGGCTGTCGAGTAGTAATATTTACATAGGTGGAGAGAATCAGTGAAGGTATTTCTCTGGCAGTACAAATATTGAAGGGAACCTGTCAATATGTAGTCATGAAATATACCTATAGGAGTGGTGAGAGGGGATTTGGAATAGTGAGCTTTTAAAATGAGACTGAAGGACTCAAATAGAAATTTCTCCAAAGAAGATACATAAATGGACCATAAGCACATAAAAAGATGCTCAACATGACTAGTCACCAGGGAAATGCAAATCAAAACCACAGTGAGATATTCCTTTGTGTCCCTTAGGATGGCCATTATCACAAAAACAGAACATAGCAAATGTGTGGTAAGGATGTAGGAAAACAGGAACCCTGTGCACTGCTGGTGGGAATGTAAAATGGCACAGCCACTGTGCGAAACAATATGGTGGCTTCTCAAAAAATTACATAGAGAATACCCGTATGATTCAGAAATTCCACTTCCGGGCATATACCCCAAAGAACCGAAAGCAGGGTCTCGGCACTGTCCAACCATAGCAGCACTGTTCACACGAGCCAAGGGGTAGGAGCAACCCAAGTGCCCGCTGACAGACGAATGGATGAGTAAGACACAGTACATACATGTAATGGAATATTGGTCTTTAAAAAGAGGAAATTCTGACCCACGATTCAACACGGTTGATTCTCGAGGACATGATGCTGAGTGAAATCTGCCAGTCACAAAAGGACAAGTACTGTAGGATTCCACTCATGCAAGGTGCCTAGAGTGTCAAATTCAGGAAGACAAAAAGTAGCATGGTGGGTGCCAGGGCCGAGAGGAAGGGAGACTGGGGAGTCCATGTTTAATGGGTTCAGAGGGTCAGTTTGGGAAGATGGAGTAGTTCTGGGGACGGAAATGGATGATGGAGATGGTTGATAGACAGAATGAGTGTGCTTAACACCACTGAACTGTGTACTTAGAATTGTTAAAATGGTAACTTTTATGTTATGCATACTTTGCCACATTACAAGAATATAAAACAAAACTAGAAGAAACGGGACTAAAACTCATTTCCTCCGATTCTAAGCCATGTTGCCTCAGGGTGTCAGATGGGTAGGTTGCAGGGGAGAAAGGAATTTATTTAATGAGCGACTTCTTGTTCTGTCACTATATTTCCTCATCAAATCTGCACGAATCTAGTGAGATACATATTAATTATTGTCCCTATGTAACAGTTGAGAAGCTTTGATTTCCTTTTTTTCCTTTTTCTTTTCTTTTTTTTTTTTTTTGCATTTTGCTTATGCTTTTGGTGTCATATCCATGAAACCTTTGCTTAATCCAAGGTCATGAAGATTTGTTCCTATGTTTTCCTCTGGGTTTTATCTGCAAATCTTTGATGTAAAGGTCCACATAGTATTTTAAGCTTTGCCAGCCGCATATGGTCTCTGTTGCGTATTCTTCTCTGGTTTTGCTTTGTTTTGTTTTGTTTTACAAGCTGTAAACAAATGTAAAAACTGTTCTTAGCTCTCAGGCCACACAAAAACAGGCGGTGGTCAGATTTGGTCCATGGGCTGGATCTGCTGTGTCCTCTGCTTCCGGAGGGTCCTGGGGAAGGCAGGGTCCTTCAGTCCGGAGGGGAACCTGGTTGAACTTCTTGTTGCTGTGGTTACTCTGGGTGCCCCCAGGCTCCACATTCCCCTGATGTTGCCCTGTACTCAGGGTTGCAGAGAAGCTGTAATGTTCCCCTTCGGTCCCCAGCCATCCTGAGTGCAGCGCCACCCCCATGGGTGGGGTCTCCCCATACCTCTGTTCTTCGCCTCTCACTGGGTACCGCTGGGCCCCAGCAGGAGCACATGAGTACTCCCCACTGTGCAGCACCCTGCCTCTCCTGGAATGCCTTGGTTGCCCTGGGAAGTCTTCTCTTGGATGGGTTCCAGGAAGCATCCTGAGTGTGGAGTTTGTCGGCTTTTACTCACTGTCAGCCCAAGTGACCCTACCTTCTGGATAGAAGCACCCCCGCCCCCGCCTGTCACCTCATCTGATGTTGAAATGATGCTCATAGAAATGTGTTTTTCTCTCTAAAATGCCGTGTTTAGGCCGGCGCAGTGGCTCACGCCTGTCATCCCACACGCCTGTCATCCCACATGCCTGTCATCCCACACGCCTGTCATCCCACACGCCTGTCATCCCAGCACCTTGGGAGGCCGAGGCGGGTGGATCACCCGAGGTCAGGAGTTCAAGAACAGCCTGGCCAACATGGTGAAATCCCATATCTACTAAAATACAGAAATTAGCCAGGCGTGGTGGTGTGCACCTGTAATCTCAGCTACTTGGGAGGCTGAGGCAGGAGAATTGCTTGGACCTGGGAGGCAGTGGTTGCAGTGAGCTGAGTTTGTGCCACTGCCTCCAGCCTGGGCGACAGAGTAAGACTCCATCTCCAAAAAAAAAAAAAAGAAACCATATTTAACCACAGAGTAAGTTTTGGAAGCCCTTTCCGTTTGCATGTACAGGCTGAGAATTGTGTAGACTCTGGGACATCACAGGAAAGATGGTGCCCACCGGGGGTGTAAGATGGTGCCCGCTGGGGGTGTGAGTCGGTCCCCGCCGGGGGTGTGAGTCGGTACCCGCCGGGGTTGTGAGTCGGCCAATGCTGATGACTTGACTAGTTGGGATTATCTTCAGACTCTTCCTAAGCGAAGCCGCTTGCCTCCTGGTGGATCAAACTAGAGAGTTACTAATGTGTGTGTGTGTATTTTTTTTTTTAATATCTTTTAGACCCTGGAAGCTGTCCTGAATTTCAAATACTCTGGAGGCCCGGGCCACACTGAAGGATATTACAGGAATCTCTCCCTGGGGCTGCATGTAGAAGTCGAGCCGTCTGTATTTTTCACCCGAGTCAGCACCCTCCCAGCAACCAGGTAAATGTCTTCCTGCCGCACAGCCGTCTTGTTCTAGAGTCTCAACAGCACTACGTTCAGAATCCTGACCTCAGTGTGTTTTTGTCATGCATCCCGTCAGATCCGTGCCATGGGGCCAAGTTGCTGAGCCTCTCTGGGATGTAGGTTTTTCTTTAGGAAACCAGGTGTTACATGAGAACTGCCTCTCAGGTGGTCGTAAGTGAATGGGCTTTACATATCACGCCGTGCTGTAATCATAACGCTGATGATTGCAGCATTCCTACGTGTGGTTCTCACTGTGCACACACATTTCCCGCCCAGCCTGGCCTGGCTGCATTCTGGCTTACCTCTCCTGTTAGCAGGGGCTCAGTGGATAGCACATGTCTTAGGGACTCCTGGACAAGTCCAGCATCTCTTCTGCATCATTCCTGGCATCCCCATAAGATGGGCACTTTGTGGAGCTCCCAGCCATCTTGGCATCAGGTCATTTCTGCCCAGGAGGCCCTTCGCATACAAAGGCTTTCTCTCCTGCCTACTTTCCAGACCTAATCTTCCTTCAGGGAGAAAGAAATTGGACAGTTTGTACACTTGAAACCCAGAGGTGGCAAGAGATACTCAGGGTATTCTTTTCTGAGGTGGGAGAATGATATTTCTCATCCAGAACTTTCCCCTCTGGTGATGTTGGAGTAGTGGAATCTAGAAGCTGGAGGTGAATGAAGCTCCTGCCAGCTGGGGACCCTCTGTGGCTCCCATTCCTCCGTAGTGCCAGCAGCCTTCGGGAAGCAGGTGCTCTTCACCTCCGAGCTCGTCCTGGTGTTCGTGTCCGGCTAGGTCTTGCCTATCTGAGTAGGGTGGGCTGGATGGGTATTATTTAAATGCTTACCTGTCTATCCTCGAAGGGGGCGGTGGGGGGATCCCGTGCAGCCCCTCCTCCTCCAGTGGGCCCTGTGTGCTGCAGCGTGAGACAGCATGTTGTTGTCCATGTTAATGTTGGCATAAAATCCCTTGAAAATGATACAGCTTTAAATAATAAGTGTGGTTTTAGTTTATAGGAAAGACTTGTTTTTCTTCCCAGCCATTGGAGAATGCCTTCAGCAAGAATTAATGGTTTAGCTGGGCCTTTTAGCATCACATTTCATCATCTGTCACCTTTTCAGTCCTCAGAGTAAGAGCCTTTCCTGCCAAGACCCGCCTCTGTTTTGAATTTGTGTAAAGCATTAAAGCACTTGCCCCTGGGGAAGCTTGGCCAGGATGGCTGCGGATGTTAGAGTATTTCAGGCCCTTTCTGAGCATTACATTTGCTCCATCATGAACCTGTTGTGTGTTTCTCTCTCATCCCCTCATCTCCTGCTGCCGTTGCCCACATAAATAATTCTTGGAAGCGGCACAGGTTGTCATCAGCTGAGTTCGTCTTTTTTTCCCCATTGATATCTGGTTTTCACGTCATGACCCCTGCAGTTCTAAATGACAGTTGAAGATGAGAAAAATGCCGCTATGTGGTTTGCTGCACACAGAGGTTTGGAAGCGTAGGTGGTCAGCTGAAGCGCTATGTGGATCCTGCCCCCAAGCCTGTGGCCCTTGCTCCCTTTTCTTTTGGTTTCCGTGGTTCTTTTCCCTGCTCTTGGGATTGAGATTTGATGTCTTCTAATTCTCCTTTTCTGTTATTCCTAAGTCTAAGTGGTCCCCAAGCCCTGTGGATTGGACTTCTGAGATGTCTCCCAATGACTCTGCAATCCACTGCATGCCTTTGTCACTGTAGAGAGAGTTGCCCCATTGGTCTCTCTGCTGACAGCCTTGTTTCCCGTTGTCATCCTTTAATTACACATGTGCCTGTGCCACTGCTCTGGCACATACTTTCCCAGTGCTGATGAGATAAAGTCCAGAGTCCCTCCTATGACATCCATGGTGCTTAAGGATCTGGCCCAGATCTTCCCCTTCAGTCCCTTTGCCCCAGTCCCATACTTCGTGTAAAGGGCGCTTTGCTCCTCGCCATTGCTGGGATATGTGCAGGTGGCTTACACCAGTGCGCTTCTGCACACACCTTTTTCTAACACTGTTCTCTCTCTTAAATGAAGATGCTTTATTCAACCTTTTGGAAAATACCTGTTTGACCTTGACCCATGTTACCATTTTTGTAAAATTTTTCTGAGTGTGACTTGGCAGAGTGGATTGGCCTTTCTGTGGGTCCCTTAACATTACATGTACTTCTGATAATGCACTTACCAGAGTGTATTGGAAATAGTTTCATTTGTTCCTTAAGCCGACACTTCCAAAGTTTCAGGTGCTATATAAAGAGATCACTGGTTTAAGAGACAAATGGAGCACAATTCCTGTTTTTTACTACCCTGATATAAGCTCATCCATCAGAAATAAAAGCAAATGGAAACCGGAAGCTATATAAAGGAGTGATGAACCTAATAAATAGTAAATAAGTGAATAAATAGAAAAGATTTGTTTCCTTCACTTTTAAAATTTCTTTGAAAGATTAATTGACTACTTAAAGAAATAAGAACATTTAATTCTGTAGTGTATAGCACATATGCAAATAAAATATGTAACAAAAAAGTGGCACAAAGAATGGGTGGGAAAATAGAAATTCTTGTGTTATATGCAAATTGTTATAATATTTTTTGAAGTTAAGATGTGATCAGCTAAAGATACATGCAAACTCTGGAGCAATCCACTTAAGGAATGGATGATAAGCCAGAAGACATAAAATGGAATATTTAAAAATACTTAACCCCAAAAAAGGGGAAGAGGTATCAAGAAAGAAGGAGAAAAGAACAAGGAACGTACAGTCAAATAGGAAACAGATGGCAATGTGTAGGACTCAAATCTACTGTATCCAGAGTTACACTAAACGTAAATAGATTTAATACTACCTTTAAAAATGGAGATTGTCAAACTATACAAGAAAGTAAGATGCCAACTACCTTTTTTATAAGAAATTGACATTAACTATGCATAATGTAAAAACAAAAAGATGAAGGAAAAGACATAAAGACAATTATTTAGTTGGTTTGGGTATCTTAATATCAAACGGTTAGACTTTCAAGAGAAAAAGAGGACAATTTTTAATGACAGCAAAATCAAGTCATCAAAAGTACATAATGATCAAATGAAACTGTTTACAAATATAACTTCATAGTAAAACTGACATACTGAAGGGAGAAATTGATAACCCCACCATGGTAGTTGAAAACGTCAACATTTATCTCTCAGTATTTGGTAAAATAAGTAGACAAAAAAATTAGTAACAATATAGAAAACTTGGACAATTCTTTTAATCAGCTCCACCTACTTTGTATGTGTACATGTGTATTTTTTTTTTTGAGATAGAATCTCACTCCATTGTCCAGGTGGGAATGCACTGGCACCATCATAGCTCACTGTAACCTCAAACTCCTGGGCTCAAGTGATTGTCCTGCCTTGCCTCCCAAGTAGCTAAAACTACAGGTGCAGAGGACCGCAACTGGTTTATTTTTTAAACTTTTGGTAGAGATGGGGTCTCACTGTCTTGCCCAGGCTGGTCTCAAACCCCTGGCCTCAAGCAATCCTCCTGCTTCAACCTCCGAAAGTGCCTAGTTGTTATTTATAATACAGTAAATGTTTGTATTAGAAATGGTGAATGGCTTAAAATCAGTGATATTGCTTCTTTATTAGATAAGGATAGCAAAATGTACCTAGAGTAAGCAGAAGAAATAATAGAGTGGATATCAGTGCTATAGAGTATGAACAAATAAATTCATAAAGTTGGTGAAACCAACAGTTGGTTCTCTGAAAATAGTAACAATAAAATTAATAAATTGTAACTAGGGTGGTCAGAAAAAAATGTGGAAACACAAATAACTAATAATGAGAATGAAAGAGGTGGCATTACTACTAATTCCACAGACATTAAAAGGATAATAAGATAATATTATTAAAAATCATAAAACATACAAAACATTAAAAAAAATTAGCCGGGTGTGATGGGACATCCCTATAGTCCTAGCTACTCAGGAGGCTGAGGCAGGAGGATACCTTGAGTGACCTACGATCGTGCCACTGCACTCCAGCCTGGGTGGCAGAGAAGGTGCCTGTCTCTTAAAAAGAAGAAAAATGACGGCCAGGCGTGGTGGCTCACACCTATAATCCCAGCCCTTTGGGAGGCCAAGGCAGGCGGATCACCTGAGGTCAGGAGTTTGAAACCAGCTTGACTAACATGGCGAAACCTCATCTCTACTAAACATAGAAAAATTAGCTGGGCACGTGGTGCATGCCTGTAATTCCAGCCACTCGGAAGGCTGAGGCATGAGAATCGCTTGAACCCATGAGGCAGAGATTGCAGTGAGCCAAGATTGCACCACTGCACTCCAGCCTAGGTGACACAGCGAGATTCTGTCTCAAAAAAAAAAAAAAAAAAAAAAAAAAAAGACACAAATTACTAAAATTGACACAGGAAAAAGAAATAGAAAAAATAAATAGTCACACATCAGTTAAAGATTTTGAATTCTTAATTAAAATCTTCTCACAAAGCAAACTTTAGGCCCAGATGGCTCTACTCTGAAATATATGAAGCTTTTTAAAGAAAGAAATAATATCACCTTTACAAAAACTTTTTCAGAAAATAAGGAGGAAATACTTCCCAACTTCCATTTTATGATACCAACATCACCTTGATGCCAAACCCAGTCAGAGACATTATGAGAAAAGAAAACTGTAGACCAATAACCTCATGTATATACATGTGAAATATGAAAACAAAAAATCAAATCAACTTCAGTGATATATGAAAGGGACAAAACAGCATGAACAATTCAGGTTTTACTCAGAAGTATGAGGTTGTTTTACCATTGAAAGATCAGTCATTAGAATTTGTCATGTTAGCAGAATAAAGGAGAAAAATCATATGATTATATCAGTTGATAAAGAAACATTATTTGACAAAAGTCAATGCTTAATTATGCCAGAAACACTCAGTACACTAGGATTAGAAGAGAACTTCCTCAGTCTGACAAAGGCCATCTACAAGAAACCCCACAGTTAATGTTATACTTAGAGGTGAAAGTCTGATGACTTTTTCTCTAAGAATAACAAGGCACGTTTCCACCGTATTCATTATTTTTCTGGCAGTCCTAATCAGAGCAATAAGGGAAGAAAATAAATAAGGGTATTAAAATAGGAAATGAAATAAAATTATTATTATTCACATGTCTTTCTTTGTATGGTACATATGATTATGTACATAAATATTGTGAGAAATCTGCCACACCAAAGAAATTAGTAGAAATAATAAGTCAATTTAGCAAGATTGCAGGATGCCACTCAATATTTAAAAATCACTTATGTGGCCAGGCACGGTGGCTCACGCCTGTAATCCCAGCACTTTGGGAGGCTGAGGTGGGTGGATCACAAGGTCAGGAGATCGAGACCATCCTGGCTAACACGGTGAAACCCCATCTCTACTAAAAATACAAAAACAAAATTAGCCGGGCGTGGTGGTGGGCACCTGTAGTCCCAGCCACTTGGGAAGCTGAGGCAGGAGAATGGCGTGAACCTGGGAGGTGGAGCTTGCAGTGAGCCAAGATCACACCACTGCACTCCAGCCTGGGTGACAGAGTGAGACTCCGTCTCAAAAAAAAAAAAAAAAATCACTTACGTTTCTATATACCAGCAACTAACAATTTGAAAATGAAATGTAAAAAATAATATATGCAGTAGAATCAAAATAATAAAACACTTAGGAAAACATTTCTACAAATCTTATCCCTACCTAGAAAATGACAAAACATGATAAAGAGAAATGAAAGATGACTTAAATAATTAGAGAGGTGGCTGGGCACGGTGGTTCATGCCTATAATCCCAGCACTTCGAGAGGCCGAGGCAGGTGGATCACAAGGTCAGGAGTTCAAGACCAGCCTGGCCAGTATGGTGAAACCCACTCTCTGCTAAAAAATACAAAAATTAACTGGGTGTGGTGGTGGATGCCTGTAGTCCCAGCTACTTGGGAGGCTGAGGCAGGAGAATCACCTGAACCCAGGAGGTGGAAGTTGTAGTCAGCCGAGATTATACCACTGCACTCCAGCCTGGGCAACAGAACGAGACTCTGTATCAAAAAAAAAAGTATACCATGCTTAGTGATTGGAAGAATTAGTTTTTCTTAAGATAGTGGTTTTCCCCGAACTGATTGTAAGTTGAATGCAATTCGGTCAAAATCCTAGCAGGATTTTTGTTTAGTGGAATTATAAAATTATTTTGAAATTGAACAGACCTAGAATAGACAAATAACTTGACAAAAAAGAACAAAGTTGGAGGACTTACACTGTATGATTTTAAGACAATGTAAAGCTATAATAATCAAGAGAGTATGTTATTGGTGTAAAGACAGAAAAAGAGATCAATGGACCATAATAGATAGTCCAGAAATAGTTCCAATTGTATCTCATCAGTTGATTTTTAACAAGATGCAAAACTAATTTCATGGGGAAAGAAAAGTCTTTTTAATAAAAGATGCTGGAACAACTGGACGTCTGTGTGGGGGAATAAAAACAACCCTTCACCCATACATCACATCTGCCCAAGAATTCACTGGAGATGAATTTTAGGCCTAAAAGTAAAACCTTTAACTGCAAGCCTTCTCAAAGAAAATGTAGCACAGTATCTTCTTGATTTAGGGGCAAATATTTTCTTAGATGGGGCCGGAAACTGCTAACCATAAAACTAAGACTTGATAGGACAAATTTCATCAAAATTAAAAACTTCAGCTTATTAAAAGGCAAATTACATTCTAAGATAAAAAAATTGTAACATATTTATGTAACAAACGTCTTGTATCTTATTGATGAAGTTGTACAATTCTAAAAAGGTGATAAATAGAAAATTTGAACAGATATTTCTCAAATGACCTGTTATCTCCGAAAAGTGTTCAACATTATTAATCATTAGAGAAATGCGAATTAAAACCCCAATTAGATACTACTATATACCCACTAGAATGGCTAAAATTAAAAAACAGAACACCAAATGTTAGGGAGAATGTGAAACAGCCAGAATTCACATAAACTGCTTCTGGGAGTATAAACTGGTGCAGCCACTTTAGAAAATCAGTCAGGCAGTTCCTCATGAATTAAAACATATTCCTCCCCAGTGATCCAGCAATTTCATTCCTAGATATTTTCTCAAGAGAAATATAAGTCCACATCCACAAAAAGACTCCTGCAAGTATTTTCGTAACAGCTTTATTCCTAATAACTCCAAACTGGAAACAACCCCAAATGCCCATCAACAGGTAAATGAATAAACAATGTGGGGTGCTGCCACACAATGGAATACTCCTCAGAAATAGAAACTGCTGGTACATGCAACAAAATGGGGTCAGCACAAAGTTACGATGCTGGTCAAAGGAATCGAGTCATAAAAGAAACATACTGTGTGACTCCATGTGTACACCTTTCTAGAACAGGAAAACCTGTTTTATGATGAAAGAAATCTAACCAGTGGTTGACTCTGGGTTAAGGTAACGTGGGGCAGGAATTGACTGGGAAGGGATTTGGGTTAGCAACTGTCTGGTTTGCCTGGGATTTTCTAGATTTTAGCTCTGAAATTCCCTCACCCTAGCAAAGTCCTCAGTACAAACCAGGACAGTTGGTCGCCCTAAAGGGAAGAGAAAATATCTTTCTGACTTGATGAAATGTTGCATATATTGATAGGGGTATGGGTTATAGGGTTGTAGACAAATAATCAGACTAGTATACACTTCAGATTTGTGTATTTCGTTGTATGTAAATTTTAACCTTGATTTAACATTTCATGTACGAAAATATATATACGTTGGAGAGAGCACCTAATTTTTACTGGGGAGAGCTGGAAAGGCATCACAAAAAAATGAAACGTTGTACTAATTCTTGAGGAAAGAAGGATTTCACCACCCACAGTGGGAGGAACAGGAGAGGTGTTAATGTTGGGTTTCTGGTTCTTCCACTGGATTTTGAGCTCTGTGGAACATGCAGCCAGGTGGTCAACCTCTGCCTCCCAGGACCTAGCGCCTTGCCCCACGGTGGGCAGCCGGGGAAGGTGTAGGAATGACAGGATGTAAAATACCAAGGCTCTATTCATTCAGGTGTTTCTTTTGTATAAAAGGGATGACCCCGTTTATATATATATTTAAGTTCTATTTTTCTTTTCTTTTGCTCGGGCTGGAGTGCAGTGGCACAACCTCAGCTCGCTGCAGCCTCTGCCTCCCAGGTTCAAGTGATTCTCCTGCCTCAGCCTCCCGAGTAGCTGGGACTACAGGCATGAGCCACCGTGCCTGGCTTATTTTTTTTTTATTTTTATTGTTTTTCATTTTTAGTAGAGACAGGGTTTCACCAAGTTGCCCAGGCTGGACTCTTAACTCCTGACCTCAAGTGATCCACCCACCTCGGCCTCCCAAAGTGCTAAATTCTATCTTTCTTAATAGGGACCTGTGTAAATTGCAAGGCCTGGAACACAACAGAATTAGTATGCATTTTCGGCTCTTGGCCTTTGCAGTTTATTGAAGTTACGTGATGCATGGTGTATTGTGAATTCATTACTTTTCATTTTGCTCACAGGTGAAGATTTGTACTCTGGCATCACGCCATGTTAGAGTTATATGCATCCCCAGAGATGGCCCATTTCAACACATTTGCATCACAAACGAGGCCCGGAGAGTTTTCTGATTTGCTCAGGTTCACACAGCTTGCAGGTGACAGGGCTGGCATCTAGATGTCCTGGCTTCCAGGCCACTGCAGCATGGACAATGAAGATGGCCACATACATGCCAGTGCGAGCCTACACAGAGATTCAGACTAATTTTGGTGCAAATAGAAGCCAAATATATGTCAAAGGACTACTTTACTGCTGGCATAACATGAATCATATACTCTATTGTGAAACCAAAATACAAATGGATGTGAGTTATTTACTCCTGGGGTAGTCTGTTTGTCTGCTCCTCTCACTGATACTGATAATTTCTGCAGTTTTTCTTATTGGTATTTTTTAAAATGATGGTTTTCTATATGAGAGCATGGGAAGGAAGAGCAGTCCTATTTATTCACGGCCTGCTAGACTCCAGGGCATGCCCTGGGTGTTGCGTCGGGCATCCCATGCACACTCCCGAGAACCCTCTGACATTGGCATTCCTATCTGGGGGTGTTACATTCCTCACCTTGTCCTGTGCGTTCGTGAGTGGAAGGGAGGCAATCTGAACTGTGGCCTTGGGGACACCCAGACCAAAGCTTGCTGCCACACCTGCTCTGACCTGGGAGCCTGGAGTCCTGGACTCTGGTGTCTATTCTGCCGCTGGACAGACCCTTTGTAGGAGCCGTATCTTTGGAGGAGTGTGTTTCTCTGCCGCAGCTTGGTCTCTGCACTCCCTAGGGGGAGAGTGAGCCTCTTAGCTCTGCTCACCTCACCAGGGCGATAAGAGAATCCATTTAAATAACAGAGGGGGCAGTTTTTTCTAAATGCCAAAGCCCAATATAGATAGGTAGAATTCTCATTATTATTATTATTATTTTTACTGTTCTCCCACCAGGGAGTACATAGGTCTCAGTTGACTTTTATTTAAAAGATCAAATTACCTTTGAGATTTGCTTTTTACACAGAGCTGCCTGGTAACCTTGTTAGGGACGAGATGGAAATGGATTAGGCTGGACCATCCCTGTCTGAGTGCCGAGCCTCCCTCTCTCCTGAGGAGCAATTTCTTTCTAGCCTGTTACAATAAACGATCCACTCTTAGACATTTCTACTCTGATCTATGTGGAAAATACACTCCTCTGAGCGGGGCGTGGGGTGTAATCGTTACGACATTATTGATAGACACCCTGCCACCGAGGCCTTCGTCACTTTCCCTGTGTGGTGGGGACAGCTCACCCATGGAAGGGGCACTGTGGAGTTTTATCGTGGTAGATCTTTTTCCAGTTGCTATGTTTACTTAGTAGATTGGTTTTAAATTTAACAAGAATTTAGAATTGCAGTGCACACCAGGAGTGAGAGCCCCATGCGCCTGTATCTGATTTCCAGTGTTGATTCTCCTGCTCATTGGCGCTGTGGTTTTGAGCGAGCCATTCACATTTCTCTCAGCATCATTTTTCCTTCATCTTGAAAAGGAGATAACACTGACTGTGCAGGGTTGTAAAACTGTGTGTTATAAAGTGTCTGAAAAATTATTAACAGTGCCTGACACAAGGCAGATAATTGAAAATTGGTGGTTGTCATTTTCCTTGTGTGTATGCACTTCTGTTGTGTGTCAGGTTCTAGGGACAAAGGGATGAGCCAGTCTTGTAAACACAGGCGGCTTTGCAGCAGCTGGCTCCAGCACTCCCGAAGGACATCACTGACCTCAGCGGATCCTGAAGCCTTTGTTGGCCTCCCTTTCACCTATGGTCAGCTCTCTGAAGGCAGCCACTCTGTGACTCTTTGTTTGGGCAGCAGCAGGTGAAGTAAGTAGTCAGTGGTCAACCGAAGTTTTGAAGAAACGCTGCAGTGTGAACGATGTGTGGCAGGAGCTTTGGAGACAGAACAACTAGATTTGCGTTGACCAGCCGGAGGACCTACAGTGGGATTTGAGTTGTTTGTTTAGACGACTGGGGAGTACAGTTTCCTTTCCTTAGGGTCAGGAGTGGCTTGACAGGAAGTGCAGTGCTGGAGAAGGGAGAAGTTTGGAGCCCCAGTACAGACAGGTTCCTGGAGGAGTGCACGGAGAGGCGGGGTCACGGTCCGAGTGGAACCCAGCTGCTGCGACTGTGATGGGCTTGATGGGCTTGAACTCCATCTGGCCCTTACCTGCCGAGCAGGTACCCAAGAGCAGCAGCATCTTTTCACAAAAGCATTAATTATCCATTACACTTAGGGTCCCATTGACCAGGCTGTTAGCGTTCTTCCTGCCTCTGTGTGGCCCGCTCAGCCCTGTGCATGTAGGTGTTGAGGCGCTGTCGTCTCAGTGTGTGTAAAGGAACTGGATCTGGATGGTTATTGAGCACACACTAAGTGCCAGTTGCCTTGCTACACACCCTGCTCTCCCTGTAACCCCTTTGCTTCCTTAGGAAGCATTTTCCAGGTGTTGCCACTTTTCAGAACTTACGGTGACCCTCTGCAAGGTGAGGTAGTCCCTCAATCCCCTTCAGAGGCTCATGGGAGACTTCAGCGCCTGTCCTTGTACATTTGACATGCTAGGGAGTGTGGGCTAGAGAACGTGTTGCCCCGTGTTGCAGGTGAGGGACTCAGGCAGAGTGAGAAGAAAGAACGAGCTTGGTGTTGTTCGTGGCTGCATCAGGACCCTAGTCACTGGGGGGCCTCGGCCTGACCAGCAGGATGCAGGAGGGCCGAGAGGTGGAGGACCTGGGTTTTGGAGGCTGACTGCCTCATGTTGGAATCCCAGCTCTGCCATGTTGGGCAAGTTACAGAATCTTTATAAAGCGGGCCTCCTTATCGGGCTGTCGGGAGGATTCCAGTAAGAAACTGTGTGCCTGATGCGTGGCAAGCCTGCAGCGCATGGGGTCCACGCCCTTCTTCCCTCTCATTCTCAGTCTTTACAGGTATGTTACAGGCAGTGTCTTTTCTGTGTCTCCCCTTTTAAGTAAGTCTCTCAGATGACTGGCACGTGATAGGGACATAGTAAATAACTGTGGCAGGGTACCTTGATTTTGTGGAGGGAAGAAAGGATTTGAAATTAGAGGGGATGGAACTCTACTTCCTGCCTTGAACAGGCCTCTTAGATACTCTGAGCCCCGCATTGCCTTATCTATAAATAGTAGGATGATTATATAAAATAATACGTTTTTTCCCCCCACTTCTTTCTTCTAAAAGCTAGTCATTCAAACTTGTTATACAAAATGTATGCCTGGCCGGGCGCGGTGGCTCACGCCTGCAGTCCCAGCACTTTGGGAGGCCAAGGCGGGCAGATCATGAGGTCAAGAGATCAAGATCATCCTGGTCAACATAGTGAAACCCCATCTCTACTAAAAATGCAAAAATTGTCTGGCGCAGTGGCTCATGCCTGTAATCCTAGCACTTTGGGAGGCTGAGGCAGGAGGATCACCTGAGGTCAGGAGTTTGAGACCAGCCTGGCCAACATGGTGAAACCCTGTCTCTACAAAAAATACAAAAATTAGCTGGGTGAGATGGCAGGCACCTGTAATCCCAGCTACTCAGGAGGCTGAGGCAGGAGAATCACTTAAACCCAGGAGGCAGAGGTTGCAGTGAGCCGAGATCGTGCCATTGCACTCCAGCCTGGGCTACAGAGCAAGACTCCGTCAAAAAAAAAAAAAAAAAAAAAAAAAAATTAGCTGGGTGTGGTGGCATGCACCTGTAGTCCCAGCTACTTGGGAGGCTGAGGTAGGAGAATCACTTGAACCCGGGAGGCAGAGGTTGCAGTGAGCCGAGATTGTACCACTGCACTCCAGCCTGGTGACGGAGTGAGACTCCGTCTCAAAAAAAAAAAAAAAAAAAAAGTATGCCTTCTGGAAGCATGTTAAGTAGAGACGAGTATCTGTTGCAATATCATCTCACATAGACACCCATTATTAAAAATTTGACACAAATTTTTCCAAATTTTTAATTCATCTAAATATATATAATATTGTTACTATTATTTTTATTTTTAAATTTTTCGAGACTGACCCTTGCTCTGTTGCCCAGGCTGGAGTGCAGTGGTACAATCTTGGCTCACTGCAACCTCTGCCTCCTGGGTTCAAGTGATTCTCCTGCCTCAGTCTCCCATGTAGCTGGGATTACAGGCGCCTGCCTCACCACGCCCAGCTAATTTTTGTATTTTTAGTAGAGATGGGGTTTCACCTTGTTGGCCAGGCCGGTCTTGAACTCCTGACCTCAGGGGACCCTCCCTTCTCGGCCTCCCAAAGTGCCAGTATTACAGGCTTGAGCCACCATGCCCTGCCTGTTACCATTATTTTTAAAATAGAAGTAAAATTTTAATCTTTTGCAAATTAAAAAAATACGATACATGTTGATCATCTTTCCACATCAGTAAATCTAGGTCTCCTCATTTGTTTACAGATCATGTGCCCTTCTGTCCGATAGATACCCCATAATGTGTTAAATGCTTCTCTGTTGAGTGAGGTTTGTTTTCTATGTTCTACTGTTTCAAGCAGTTTTGCATTGGACATTCTTGTATATAAACTTTGTGCATACGTGGGTGGTTTTTGTAATATAAATTCTAAAAATTTAGTTTTAATATGGAATCTTCCTCCATAATTTACCCTCCTGAGCATGTGAGACTGTTCGTTTCTCCCTATCATAGACATCATTGAATATCTCATTCTTTTCATGAAGGTTTGCAGTTTGATGGATGTGAAATATCTCACTGTGTATAATTTTAATTTCCTTAGTTTTGAGTAAGGTAAACCATCTTTATGTTTACTGAACATTTGCATTTCTTCTGTGTATTCTCTTATATGTAATCTTGGCCTCTTCAAAAATTTGTATTAATCTTTTTCCATTCATCTTCAGGAAGTTTTGTGTGCCGTATATTTTAACCTTATCTGAATTTGCTATCTGCATTTTACTACAAATTATTTTGGTCACCTTTTGCGAACATTTTTAGTAAAATTATTTTGTTCTTATTGGCTTCATTCGGGCTTCAGTAAAAAAAACTTACCCTACTTAAGATTAGACATGTGTTCTCCTTGATTTCCTGCTAATATATTTGTAATTTTACATTGAGATTATTCATCCATCTTTCATATGTTTTTTGTAGATGGTGTGATATTGGGAACTAATTTTTTAAATTGCAAAAATCTAAGATTTTACAAAATCTAAAATTGAAAGTATTCCACAAATTTAGTTGTTAAAACTGTTAAAAATTAAATTTCGATTTGTTATTCATGGTATAAATAAATAATGAAATAAGACTTACAAAAAGTCATAAGTAATTTCTAGATTTTGGTCTGTCATTTTAAATTGTTCATCAGAAATTCTTGGTATAGAGTACAGTGAAGTTTGCATCAATGGACCTGGTTCCCCGCAGCCTCACCAGCATAGCGTTCATCTTCCCTCCCTCTCTCCCTCCTTGGAACTAATACTCCTTGCACCCTATTTTCTGCGAAGCACTGTCCTAGGCACTGAAGACAGCAATGAGTAAAGTTGAGTTCATGCTCTCAAAGAGCTTATATTTGAATGGAGAAGGATAGGCGAGAAGCATAAATGTAGCAGGTTGTGTAGACAGCAAACATCAGCATAGCAGGGGGGACGTGCTATGAAAAGCTGGAGAGCTGCTTTCAGAGAATGTGCTGTTGCGCCACGGGCGGGAGTGGATGTCAGTCCTGCCGCAGTAATTCTGGGACAGGAGTAGGTCAAGGTGGAAAGAATGGTCAGGTTCTGGATATCCTCAGAACAAACATTAAATAGGCTAAGCCTTGCTATTTCACAGGAGGTGTGGTGGCTCCAAGGCCTTTGTCCTGAGAATCTGTGGAAATGGGGACGTCGTGTGTGAGAAGGGGAAGATGGTAGGGGGACAGGTTGTACAAATCTGTTGCTAAATTAATAAGTACAAAGTATAAATAAATGTAAAATATTTTTCACTATTTTTTATTTAGATCATTTAAATCATATACATGATTGGTTTTCCTGATCCTTGCTGACTGTACTTGTTAAAATGAGCATAGTAAGCTGGGCCAGTGCTCATTTGTCCTGTGATGTCTTGACAATATCAGTCTGCTGTTATAACAAGAGCACCATATTTGAACCACAGAAGTGATGTTAAATGTTGGTTGACCTAGTGTACAAATGGGGGAGTCTATGGATGTTCTTCTGAAGTATCAAGGACTTAAGACTTTCCTTTTTTTTCATGATAAGTACATTTCTACAGGGCAAAAATGGTCCAATTCCATTATGCTTCTAAAGCCTGGAAGGAGCTACAGGACCGTAGACCTCTTTTTCCCTTTTCCCGTCCTTAGATGACTAAAAATAGAAACAGTTTTTAGATTCTCTTGGTTTGATTCAGACCCATGTCATTTTTTTCAGTTTATTTTGAAACAATGATAGATTCACAAGAAATTGCAAAAGAAATAGATGTATGGGGAAATTCTATGCACCCTATACCCAGCCTTTCCTACTGGGATATAAACTCTTCAGGTCTGTGGCTGGGATATTTAGAAAATAAATATTGAAAGGAATTATCTTAAACGCCACATTAAGACTCCTTTGTGATATTTTAAAAGTCTGATCAACTTTCCAATTTTCTAAAAAAACCATTCTGTATCTATAATGAGGCATCGGATGTAGACGAGGTCTGGGAGGCCAGGAGGTGGCAGGTGGTCACAACAGCCGCAGGTGAGGGCGGAGTTTACTCTCGACCCTTGTGCCCTGTGCCTGCTGTTTGTCCAGCGCATGCGCAGCATCAAGCCAGGCTGGGTCTGCCAAGCAAGCTGTCGCCCTGCTTCCTCTTTGACGGTGCTGTTATCCTCTGGACGCTGCCATCAGTGGCTGCTTTACCTCTCAGAAATCCTCAGAAAGAATATTCCAGGGCAAGGTAAGGGGCTCCCCTCTTCGTTGTGGAAGTTGCAGAGAAAACAGCCCAGTCGGCGAATCCTTCGTGGTGGTTGATGAGAGGGATAGGGCTGTGCTTTGAGAAGCTCCCCAAGGAAGACCGAAGAAGAGATGCTGCGAGATCTGCACTGAGACCTGCTTTTGTGAGAAAAGGAGGCTGGAGAACAAACTGGAACCAGTGTCACAGGCTCCACGCAGCACCCTGCCCTGAAATTGCCATCACAGTCAATTCATAGACCCTCTTGTTGGAAGGGAACTTAACAATTCAATGTATCTGCTTCATCCCATCCCTTACCTATTGTCTTGTGTGCCCTGAGATGATGAACACACATTTTGTTGCCATTCCTATTATTAATATATTATAGCTCTGTGGAGGGCAGGAGCTGGCACCCAGCCTTCACACGGCAGGAGCAGGTTGACATTCTATCTGGACTGACACCGACTCCATAACTAGTGCTCCCGAGTTCCATGTGTCATCCACTTGTTATCCAAGCAACTGCACTGTCTCCTAGCGAATGATCTCACAGTATTCTGTGTCTGCTCACCGGTCTGTCTTGAGAGGACCCATTTTATGTTTTACTGATGCATATTACTATTAAAAGCAAGAATTTTACGTGATCTATATTTTATTTTAGATTGGTATATTACTAAATATTATATGTTAAAATTCATTTTAAAATAATAACAGATTTAAAGATTTTGTATTGATAAGCACTGTATACTTTTAAATACATTTCAAAGCCTGATTTATAAACATCAATTAAAAAAAAGTATACCATGCTTGGTTTGGAGATTGAATGTATTTTGAAAGGTAGATTGTGCAACATCATCAATTAGTCAGAGTTTCTTTTCAAACTTATGTTTGGAATTCTTGCATTTTGCATTTTTAAAGTTCTCTTCGTTTCTTTGTTTAATCATTGTAGAGTTTAATTTCCAAATGGTGATGCATGAAACATGATTTCAGGTTGTTATTTGCAAGTACTTTTCTACAAATAATTTCTTGTGAATTTGGATTGTCTTAATTCCCAGAAAACAAAAAGCAAAATTAGACATAATCATCATTATATGTTATATTTTAAACGTTGTATTTTGAGGCCTTACAAATGTCTTGATGTGCTGCAAATGGATTTTGATTAGATGAATGCAACTCAGAGACCTGGTTACCGTCACCCGGAGGCACAATTGCAGAGTTACTGTTATTGCCCCTGATTACGTGCGTTCTTCATGGCTCTCCTCTTTAACCAGTGATCCCTCGTGGGCACAAATTAGACAGTGTAACAAAGTTTCAACTGTTTGTTCAACAACTATGGCACTGCGTGTGGGTCAGTTGAGAGATGAAGCATTGCTGTGTGCGCCTTGAGTGTGTTTGGTGGATCTCTTCCTCCAATTCCTGGGCGCCCCTGCTTCCTGTACACTCAGGATCTCAAATGGCCTTCTTCTTTTTAAACAGCTTTATTGAAATATAATTTACATGTCACATAAGTCGCCCACTTAAACTGTATAATTCAACGTTTTAGTATATTCAGAGTTGTTTAGCCGTCACAACAATCTGATTTTAGAACTTTTCATCCTCCCAGAAGAAACCCTGTACCCATCGCTGCCATTCTCTATTCCCCTACTTCCCTCCCGCACCCTAGGCAACCACTAATCTACCACTAATCTACCTTCTGTCTCTCTAGATTTGCTTACTCTAGATATTTCATATAAATGGAAACAAGTGACTAACCTCTTTCACTTGGTGTGTTGTTTTCAAGATTCAACCACAATTATGTATGTTATTTCTTTTTATTGCTGAATAATTTTCTGTTGAATGGATATAATTTTGTTCATTCATTAGTTGATGGACATTTGGGTTGATTGCACTTTTCTGCTATTGTGAATAATGCTATTATGAACATTCATGTTTAATTTTCTGTGTGGATGCATGTTTTCATTTCTCTTGGGTACAAACCTAGGAGTGGAATTGCTGGATCATATGGTAACTCTATGTTTAAATAGTTTAAGGAGCTGCTGGATTGTTTTCCAAAGTGGTTGCACCATTTTACATTCCCATAGTATATGAGTATCTGATTTCTGCACATTCTTGCCAATATTTGTTATTGTATCTATCTTTTTGATTCCAGCCATTCCAAATTGTTTCTCTTAAGGGAACATTTAAAAAATTATATTTTTAAAGTTTATTAATTAAAAAATTAGAAACAGTTATCCTTACTGTCTTCAATAATGTAAAGCTTCAGAGACCCTTCACAAAGACTGGGTTGCTTTTCAGTTGTTGATGGGGAAATGCCACCACGTTCCCATCTGCCACTAAACCTGTTCTTTTTACTTGAATAGCCATGTGTTGACTCAGGCTTGTCACCTTTGTCCCCTAGGACAAGCCTCCTAATTTATTTCTTGAATAGTTGTGACAACTTTTCACAGTCATTTTGCCTTCAATTTCTTCCTTCAATTATTTCTGTCAGTAGATTCCAAAGTATTCTAAAAGACATACATGACATTTTCCTTCCTCCTCCTCCTCCTCCTCCTTTTTTTTTTTTTTTTAGACAGGGTCTTACCGTCACCCAGACTGGAGTACAATGGTGTGATCATGGCTCACTGCAGCCTCAACCTCCTGGGCTGAAGAGATTCTCCTGCCTCAGCCTCCCAAGTAGCTGGAACAACAGGCGTGCACCACCATGGCTGGCTAAGACCTTTCCCCCTATTTTCTTAATGTCTTTTAGTGAGTCCCATCATCTGTAGGTCAAGTTCCAGTTCTAGAGCTTGGTACCCAAGACTTCCCATAATCTGACCCAGCCCTTCTCCCTTGTCTTCCCAAAACCCACGTTTCCTCACTCCTGTGAGGAAGGTCCTGGAAGTTTCCCCCAATAAGCCGTGCTGATTGAGCTTGAGACCTTTGCAAACACTGTTCACAGTGACTAGAGAGCCCTCTCCCTAGTAGACCTGCTCGTTTACCCCCAAAACTTCACCAGGCTGCCGCTTAGAATTATACTCAGTGCCTTTGTGAGTGCAGGAGTCACTTCCTTTCGGAACCTTCCCTGACTGGTGCCCACGCTGCTGTGCTTCATGTGCTGGTGCTGTGTGCTGCGTTCCTTCCCCATAGAGATTTCAGCACCTTCCTACTCTGCAGGTTCAGCTTGCACAGTGAAGCCCAAACCCAGAGAAGTCAGAGTCCCTGGTGTCACTGCTAGAGGTTTTAACTCATTGAGTCTTATCTAGAGCTGAGGGTTTGGTTTTTGGTGGTTGGTGTGCTATGTTTCAGAAACCCTGATCTGGTAGATAGGTAGTCATTCATAGTCCTCCGTGAGATCAGGAAGCTCCATAGCAGTGTGGCAGAGGTAAGCGTGAGGTTACATCAGCAGAAAACCCTCTGATTCTTTGTTCTTTGTTTTCTCTGGACTTCAGATTGAATTAGGTTCCCTGGCTTTCTTAAAATGTGAAAAAGCTCTCCAGTCTCATATTGACTACCCATTCTGGAAAGAAGACTGATTAAGAAGATAGGCAGGCTTACAGAATTTTAAAAGACCACATGAATTTGACCAAAGGTGTGGGTGGCCATCACTACCTGTTTTAGTTTTATGCTAATTCACTTTAGTACACTCCTGGGAATGAGCAAACATTGGTGTCTAGACCCTGGGAGGCCTTGGGGATATCTGCCAGACTTGGGGAAAAGAGAGTCTCACTTGATTTCTAGTCATGGCACCATGGTTTTTAGACATGCTGGACCTTGGCGGGTACTCATTTTTAGCTGAGTCGATATTGAGTCATTGGCTGGTAGGTTTTGCAGCTCCACTGACAGCAACCAAGCTAATAATAGCCCCACCCCCCATGTTTATAGTGGTATTCTTCTTGTGATTTTACAAAGCACTTTCACTTACTTTTTTTCACTGGAGCCTCCTAATAATTCCATAGCATAGGCGTTGTTATCCCCATTGGAGGACTGGGGAAACTGACAGTCAGAGAAATTAAATGACTTGCTTATGATGTTATAGCCATTAAGCAACAAGACCAGTATTGGAGTAAACTTAATGCACTGTGGTCCTTCAAACTCATCGTGATGTTTGTTTTTTTAATTGCATTGATTTAAATGTTTTTTAAATTAACATAGAGTAAAATGAACTTTTTTGGTGCACGATTTTTTGAGTTCTAACTTTAATGAGCAACACAGATAGCTTGGTGTATCCATCACAGTCAGGATAAAGAACAGTTCCATTACCCGCAACACTTCACACACTGCCACTTAGAATCATGCTCTGCATCTCCCCGGCCCCACCGTTGTGGCAACACTGATCTATTCTCCATCTCTATAGTCTGGTTTTTCCAGAATGTCTTATAAATGGAATAATACTGTGTGTTCCTTTCTTGGAGTGGCTTCTTTGATTCTGCATTCTGTGATCTGTCTGTGTCACTGAGTCTGTCAACAGTTTGATCCTTTTTATTTCTGAGTTGCTTTCTGTTGTACAGGTATGTCACAGCCTGTGGATCCATTCACTGTTTAAAGGACATTTAGGCTGTTACCAGCTTTTTGTGATTATGAATAGAGCTGCTGTAAATACTCATGTAGAGTGATTCTTGTGAATTTAAGTTTTCAATTCTCTAGTTTAATACCTAAGACTGGGATTGCTGGATTATATGATGTATTTTTCACTATTCAACTTTGTAAGAAACTGCCAAGCTGTTTTCCAGAGTGGTAGTACCATTTTCCATCTCTACTAGCAGTGGATAAGTGCTCTGTTTCCTCATCAGCATGTGGTATTGTCAGTTTTCAAAAGATTTTCTACCCATTTTAATAGGCATATAGTGATATCTTCCTGTGGTTTTAATTTGCACTTTTTTTTTTTTTTTTTTTTTGTGACAGGGTCTCACTCTGTCACCCAGGCTGGAGTACAGTGGTGCGATCTCATCTTACTGCAACCTGTGCCTCCCAGGTTCAAGCGATTCTCCTGCCTTAGCCTCCTGAGTAGCTGGGACTACAGGCGCACGGCACCACATGCAGTTAATTTTTTGTATTTTTAGCAGAGACGAGGTTTTGGTTTTTGTTGTTCACAAACATGTTCACCATGTTGGCCAGGCTGGTCTCAAACTCCTGACCTCAGGTGATCCACCTGCCTCAGCCTCCCAAAGTGCTGGGATTATAAGCATGAGCCACCGCACCCGGCCTAATTTGTGCTTTCTTAGTGATGAATGACATTGATCCTTTCTTCATGTGCTTATTTGTTGTCTTTCTGGCTTTTTGGTAAAGTACCTTTTTAAGTCTTTTTGCCCAATGTTTTATTAGGTTATTCGTTTTCTTGATGTTGAGTTTCAAAAGTTTTTAAAATATATTATAGATACAAGTCCTTTATCTGGTATGTAATTTGTAAATGTTTTCTTCAATTCCGTAACTTTTTCATTCATTTAACAGTGTCTTTCACAGAGAGATATTTTTAATTTTAATAAATCTAATTTTCCTTTTTTGGATCCTACTTTTGGTTGTGCTTTTTTTTCTTTTATGTTTTCTTGTAAAATTGTACAGTTTTGTTTTGCATTTACCTGTGTGTTTTGAGTAACTTTTGTATAAATTGTGAAGTTTAAATTTCTTTTCCTTTTTTTTTTTTTTTTTTTTTTTGATAAGTGGAATCCAGTTGTCCCAACACTATTTGTTGAATGGATTATCTCTTCTCCGTTGAATTCTCTTCTTAGTCAAAAATAAAATGACTGTATCTGTGTGTAATTCTATTTCTGGACACTTTATTCTGCTCCAGAGAACTATGTGGATATTCTTTCACCAGTACAACGCTGTCCTGATTAGTGTACCTTGTAGTAAGTCCTTACTGCTATATTAGTGTACCCTAGAATAAGTCTTTACTACTATGTTAGTGTACCCTACAGTAAATCTTTTACTACTAAAATTGGGTCGAATCCTCTAAAACTCTGAGTCCTCAGAGTTTTTCTTTTATTTTTAATTGTTCTGTCTATTGTTTCTTTGTATTTCCATATAAATCTTCAGATAAGATTGTCTACATCTACAGTGTCATTCTAGGATTTTGATTGGAATTTTGTTAAATCTATGAATTAACTTGGGAAAAATGGATAAGTATATTGCACCTTCCAATCTGAGCACTGCATATACTTCTGTTTATGTAGGTCTTTGATTTTATTCATCAGCATTCTGTACTTCTTAGCGTCCATATTTTTTAAAGATTAAGGGGTTTTTTTCTATTGATGGGTGAGTGCTTTTTTTTTTAAATCATGAATGAAATTTGAGTTTTGTCAGATGCTTTTTTTGGTATCAAAAAATTTGTTGAGTATTATTGGTATGAAGGGTATTTGTGGTCGTTTTTTCTTCCGTCTTTGTCTGGTTTTGGTATTAGATAATGCTGACCTCATAAAATGTTCTGAGAAGTGTTTCTTCTGCTATTTTGTATAGAATTATTTCTTTTTGAAATGCTTGGTAGAATGCATAAGCAAACCATCTGGGCATAGAGATTTCTTTTTCAGAATGATTTTTAAAACAATATGTTTAATTTATTTAATTGATTTAGGACTTTTCAGGCTACCTATTTAAGTTTTCATTTCTCTAGGATAAATACCTAGGACTGGGATTACTGGATTATATGATGTGTTTTTCACTATTCAACTTTGTAAGAAACTGCCAAGCTGTTTTCCAGAGTGGTAGTACCATTTTCCATCACTACTAGCAGTGGATAAGTGCTTTCTTGGATGGATTTTTGTAGTTTGTGACTTTCAAGAAACTGGTCCATTTCATCTGAGTTGTCACATTTATGTGAGGAGAGTTGTTTGTAGTATTTCCTTATTGTCCTTCTAATGTCTGTGGCTGAAGTGGTATTCCCTCATTTATTTATGATACTGGTCATTTGTGTTCTCTCTCCTTTTTCCTTTGTAATTGTGGCTAGAGGTTTATCAATTACATTGATCTTTTTAAAAATCAGTTTTTTAGTTTACTGATATTTTTCTATTTGTCTGCTTTCATTTTAATTCATTTCTGCCCTTTATTATCTCCTTCTTATGCTTCCTTTAAGCATTTGTTCTTTGTCCGGTTTCTTTTTATTATTATTATTATTATTATACTTTAAGTTCTAGAGTACATGTGCACAATGTGCAGGTTTGTTACATAGGTATATATGTGCCATGTTGGTTTGCTGCACCCATCAACTCGTCATTTACATTAGGTATTTCTCCTAATGCTATCCCCGCAGCCCCTCACCCCCCTGGTGTGCGTGACAGGCCCTGGTGTGTGATGTTCTCCACCCTGTGTCCATGTGTTCTCATTGTTCAACTCCCACCTATGAGTGAGAACATGTGGTATTTGGTTTTCTGTCCTTGCAATAGTTTGCTTAGAATGATGGTTTCCAGCTTCATCCATGTCCCCGAAAAGGACATAAACTCATCCTTTTTTATGGCTGCATAGTATTCCATGGTATATATGTGCCACATTTTCTTAATCCAGTCTATCATTGATGGACATTTGGGTTGATTTCAAGTCTTTGCTATTGTGAATAGTGCTGCAGTAAACATACGTGTGCATGTGTCTTTAGAGTAGCATGATTTATAATCTTTTGGGTATATACCCAGTAATGGGATCGCTGGTTCAAATGGTATTTCCAGTTCTAGATCCTTGAGGGATCGCCACACTGTCTTTCACAATGGTTGAACTAATTTACGCTCCCACCAACAGTGTAAAAGCATTCCTATTTCTCCACATCCTCTCCAGCATCTATTGTTTCCTGACTTTTTAATGATTGCCATTCTAACTGGCATGAGATGGTATCTCATTGTGGTTTTGATTTGCATTTCTCTGATGACCAGTGATGGTGAGCATTTTTCATGTGTCTGTTGGCTGCATAAATGTCTTCTTTTGAGAAGTGTCTGTTCATATCCTTCACCCACTTTTTGATGGGGTTGTTTGTTTTTTTCTTGTAAATTTGTTTAAGTTCTTTGTAGATTCTGGATATTAGCCCTTTGTCAGATAGGTAGATTGCAAAAATTTTCTCCCATTCTGTAGGTTGCCTGTTCACTCTGATGGTAGTTTCTTTTGCTGTGCAGAAGCTCTTTAGTTTAATTAGATCCCATTTGTCTATTTTGGCTTTTGTTGCCATTGCTTTTGGTGTTTTAGTCATGAAGTCTTTGCCCATGCCTATGTCCTGAATGGCAATGCCTAGGTTTTCTTCTAGGGTTTTTATGGTGTTAGGTCTTACATTGAAGTCTTTAATCCATCTTGAATTAATTTTTTTATACAGTGTAAGGAAGGGATCCAGTTTCAGCTTTCTATATATGGCTAGCCAGTTTTCCCAGCACCACTTATTAAATAGGGAATCCTTTTACCATTGCTTGTTTTTGTCAGGTTTGTCAAAGATCAGGTTGTTGTAGATGTCTGGTGTTATTTCTGAGGCCTCTGTTCTGTTCCATTGGTCTATATATCTGTTTTGGTACCAGTACCATGTTTTTCTCGTTTCTTAAGATAGAAGATAGGCTTATTGATTTGAAGCCGTTCTTTCTTATATAATCACTTAATGATATGGATTTTTCTCTAAGTACTGCTTTAGCTCCAGTCACAGAATTTTGATATATCATATTTTATTTTTGTTCACTCCAAAATATTTTATTTCTCTTGGGGCTTCCTCTTTGAACAGTGGGTTGTTTTGAAGTGCATTGATTAAATTTCCAGATAGTTGGAGTTATTCTAGCTTTCCTTCTACCATTGATTTCTAGGTTAATTCTGTTTTGGTCAGAGAAGATACTTTGTATGCTTTATATTTTAAATTAGTTCAGGATTTTTTCTGTGGCCTAGAATGTGGTCTACCTTGTTGAATGTTGCTGTGCACTTGGGAAGTATGTATATTCTGCTCTTGGTGGGTGGAGTGTTCACTAATTATCAATCAGTATGAAGTGGTTGGTGGTGTTTATTACTTTTATGTCTTTATTGATTTCATGTCTGTGTTCTATCAATTACTGAGAGAAGAGTGTTGAAGTCTCTAATTGTGATTTGGTTCATTCATCCTTTCAGTTTTTTATTTCATGTATTTTGAAACTCTATAGTTAGGTTCATACACATTAATAATTATTGTGTATTTTTGGTGAATTAATGCTTTTATCATTATATAATGTCCCTCTTTAGGTGTCTGATGTTAATATAACAGCCCAGTATTCTTTTGAATCGTGTTTTCTTGGCATGATTCTTTTACTTTTAACATATCTATACCATTATATTTAGAGTGGATTTATTATAGATAGCATATAGTTGAGTGTTTTTTTTTGTTTAAACGTATTCTGACAATCTCTGTCTATTAATGAGACTATTTAAGTCATTTATATTTAATGTAATTCTTGGTATGTTTGAACTGAGGTCTACCATTGTATTTTTGGTTTGTTTTTTGTTTATTCACTCTGTTGTTTATTGTTCCATTTCTCCTTTTTTATGTTCTTTTAAACTATTTGATTTTTAAAGCATTGAGCTTTTAACTTTATCTCTTTGTAGAGCTGTTTCAGTGTTTTCTCTAGGGAGTATAATAAGTGCTCTTAGGTTTTCACAGTTGACTTAGAAATAATATTTTATCACTTGGTGGAATCTCAAATATAGGCGCTTTTATCTTTCCCCTCCTCATGTCTTAGTTGTATAATGTATTAAATCTGTATACATTGTAAACCCAATGTTATAATTTTAGCTTGTATTCATCATATATCGTTCATTGTTTTTTTTTGTTTTGTTTTATTTATTTATTTATTTTTTTGAGACGGAGTCTCGCTGTGTTGCCCAGACTGGAGTGCAGTGGTGTGATCTAGGCTCACTGCAAGCTCTGCCTCCTGGTTTCACACCATTCTCCTGCCTCAGCCTCCCAAGTAGCTGGGACTACAGGTGCCCACCAGCACGCCCAGCTAATTTTGTTTTTGTATTTTTAGTAGAGACGGGGTTTCACCGTGTTAGCCAGGATGGTCTCGATCTCCTGACCTTGTGATCCACCCGCCTTGGCCTCCCAAAGTGCTGGGATTACAGGCATGAGCCACTGCGCCCAGTCCATTGTGTATCTTTTAAGTAACTTAATAGGAAATTACATTTAACCAGATACTTACCATTTTTGTTACTCTTTTTGCTTCGTGTTCAAGTTTCCCTGTATTATTATTCACCCTTTGTTTAAAGGACTTTCTTTCCCAGTTCTTTTAGAAAAGTTCTACTGATGACTGAGATTCTTAATTTTCCTTTATCTGAGAATGTCTTTACTTTTATTCCTGAAAGATACTTTAATAGATATGGACTTCTGAGTTGACATTCTTTTCTTTCAGCATTTTAAAAATGATTCACTTTCTCTGCCCTCCGTGGTTTTTTATGAGGATTCTTCAGACTTTAGAAAAATTTGTTGTTTTGTTTCCCCTGTGTAGGATGCATTGTCTCCCTGTGTAGGATGCATTGTCTACCTGTGTAGGATGCATTGTCTCCCTGTGTAGGATGCATTGTCTCCCCTGTGTGGGATGCATTGTCTCCCCTGTGTAGGATGCATTGTCTCCCTGTGTGGGATGCATTGTATCCCCTGTGTGGGATGCATTGTCTCCCCTGTGTGGGATGCATTGTCTCCCCTGTGTGGGATGCATTGTCTCTCCTGTGTGGGATGCATTGTCTCCCTGTGTGGGATGCATTGTCTCCCTGTGTAGGATGCATTGTCTCCCTGTGTAGGATGCACTGTCTCCCCTGTGTAGGATGCACTGTCTCCCTGTGTAGGATGCATTGTTTCCCCTGTGTGGGATGCATTGTCTCCCTGTGTAGGATGCATTGTCTCCCCTGTGTAGGATGCACTGTCTCCCTGTGTAGGATGCATTGTTTCCCCTGTGTGGGATGCATTGTCTCCCTGTGTAGGATGCATTGTCTCCCCTGGGTAGGATGCATTGTTCCCCTGGGTAGGATGCGTTGTCTCTTCTGTGTAGGATGCATTGTCTCCCCTGTGTAGAATGCATTGTCTCCCCTGTGTGGAATGCATTGTCTCCCCTGTGTGGGATATATTGTCTCCTCTGTGTGGGATGCATTGTTCTCCTGGGTAGGATGCATTGTCTCTTCTGTGTGGGATGCATTGTCTCCCTGTGTAGGATGCGTTGTCTGCCCTGTGTAGGATGCGTTGTCTGCCCTGTGTAGGATGTATTTTCTCCCCTGGGTAGGATGCATTGTCTTCTCTGTGTAGGGTGCATTGTCTCCCCTGTGAGGGTTGCATTGTCTCCCCTATGAAGGATGCACTGTCTCCCTAGTGTAGAATGCATTATCTCTTCTGTGCAGGATGCATTGTCTCCTCTGTGTAGAATTCATTGTTTCCCTGTGCAGGATGTATTGTTTGCTCTGGCAGCTTTCCAGATGGCTTCTGTTCTTTAGCTTTCTGCAGTTTGATTATGTTTCCAGGCAGGGATTAAAAAAAATAGTTTTTGGGTCAGGCGTGATGGCTCACGCCTGTAATCCCAGCACTTTGGGAGGCAGAGGTGGGTGGATCACCTGAGGTCAGGCATTCGAGACCAGCCTGGCCAACGTGGCAAAATCCCGTGTCTACTAAAAATACCATAAAAAATGTTTAGCCTGGTGTGGTGGTGTGTGCCTGTAATGCCAGCTACTTGGGAGGCTGAGGCAGGAGAATCGCTTGAACCTGGGAGGCAGAGGTTGCAATGAGCCGAGATCACGCCATTGCACTCCAACCTGGGTGACAGAGCGAGACTCTGTCTCAAAAGCAAACAAACAAACAAAAAAATAGCAACAACAGCAAAAACAAAAAACTTTTTGGGTTTCTGAATCTGTTTATGTCATTTGCCAATTCTTTTTGGGGGTGTGGCCATTATTTATTTAAAAATGGCATGTTATTTTCTTCTTTGTTTCTTAGTCTCCTGTGACGTGATTTTTAGAGGTTTCGTTGTCCCATAAGAGTGTTTTTTTTTTCTGTTTTATTTTCCCCTGTTGTTTCCATTGGATAATCTGTTAATCTATCTTCACATTTACTTGTTTAATTCCTTACTGATCCCAAAAACACATTGTATGATTTTTATTTTACAGTTGTTAGAGTTCCCCCACCACCCCCAACCCATGGTCTTGGAATGTGATTGGTGGTAAATATTGCATGTACACTTGGGTAGTATGATTATTCTGCTGCTTTTGGGTGGAATGTTCTCTGAGTATTAGTGAGATCTGGGTGGTCAATGGTAATTTTGTTTATCTTATATTCTTTCTGATTTTATGTCTACTTGTCCTCTCAGTTACTAAGATAATTCACCATGTGGTGAATTTTTCTTTTTTTCTTTCCTTTCTTTTTTTTTTTTTTTTTTTTTTTTGCTTAAGTTTTTCTGGTTCTTTTTTTATCTTCTTTTTCGCTGAGATTTTCCGTCTTTTCACTTGTTTCAAGTATGGTCAGTTCTTGGAATGCATTTAAAGTCTCTTTCTAATAAGACAGTCATCTTGAAGTTATTGTCTGTTACTTACTTTTTCCTCATGACTTGATATTTTCCTGGTTCTGTGTTGAGTTATTTTAGATCGTATTCTGGACATCTTGACTATAATATTGGGAGGCATTGGGATCTTGTTTGAATACTGAGGAAAATGTTGGTACTTTTTTTTTTTTTTTTTTTTTTAATGCAGAGTACCTTTTGCAGGCTGTGCTGCAGTTCCAGTTTCAAAGCATTTGTGGTGCTTCTTGGATCAGCCGCATGTGGGTGCCCGTCGGCATTCTTGCCTGGAGATCAGTTATCAAAGCCCGTGGTTTGCTCTTGAGGGTCTGATTCTGTCAAGCTCAGCTCCCTGGTGAGCTTAGGAGTTCATGCTTGACTTTGTCTGCTCTCTGAATCAATCTCCTTTCTGAAATCTTCCCAAATTACTGGGGGCTCTTATCCCTATGTGCCTGCTACAAAGGCAGGATATGAGCTTCCCCCTCTGTGTGTCTACATGGAGGACTGACTGTCCAGAGGCACAGAGAAGGAAATCAGAGTGATGCAAACTGGCCCCCTGGTTTTGGGACCTCAGCTCTTTGGGTCAGTGAGGTGGTTTGTATCAGGGAGGTGTGTGAGCCTGTCCCGCCAATACTGCTCTGATGTCATTATCTCCTGTGGTTTGCTTTGAGGCTGGGCTGGGAGAAAAGGGAAGAAAAAAGGGAAAAGACTCAGGGATTCTCCTACTTTCTGTGGCCCTTCATAGTACCTTTTCCCACTTGTTGGACCAGGAAGAGAGGCTGCCCTGGGAGCTCTGTCTGGCTATACACAGGGCACGCCTCTGGAGTCCACGCTGCCTTTCAGTTGAGGCCAGGTGGTACTGGAGAGAGATGCAGCTCACTGCCAGTTCAGAATAACTTCAGTTTCTGGCTCCTACTGTGATCCACCTTCTAACATTTATTTTTTGAGTCTTCATCTTCAGCTCAGTGCATTCTATGATTTATAGTTGCATTCAGTGGGAGAGACAGGGTAGATTGTGCTTACTCCATCTTTTCCAGAATTGGAACTCACCATTTTTTTTTTTTAAACACAAACCAATTCATGTCACTCATCTGCTTAAAACTCTCAAAATACCTTCCCATTTTGCTTGGAATGAAATATGAGTATTTCCCCATGACCTTTCCTCTGTTTTTACTCCTACACCACTCTCTGCTTGTTCTGTTCCTTGATCACACTGTGCCTTACGATTTTTGCTTTAACTGCTCATTCTCTCTGGAAAGCTGTCCTCCAAGACCATCACATGATTGCTTTCTTGTTGTTGGATTCCTAACTGAAACATCATTTCTTCAGGGAGGCCCTTGTTTACCATCAGATCTGAAGTCATTTTAAAACATCCGTGTTAATGTCAAGAGACTCACTTAATTTTTAAGAAATAGTTGTGTCATACATGTCTTATGCTCTGCCTCATATAGTAGCCCACTTTTAGACTAGCTATTGCCGTGGCAACCAAATTTATGCAGGTGTCACCTGACAGCACCTTACCATAGCCGTCGTGAGCATCTCTTGCTTTCTGGAATATTCTAACTGCCTTCTCTGAGGCTGTAGGTTTGGGTGGCTATGGGTAGTCTCTCTGCACAGTGCATGGATGAAGTGTGAGAGAACTGACCCCTCTGGGGGAAAGCTTGACTAGTGAGGGAAAGAGTTGGGAGAGCAATTATTTCCTCTTCTGTGCCTCAGGCGCACAGTGTGAAGCGCAATCCTCTCGGCTCCACAGAAGGACGATGATTGAGCCCCAGCTGCCCACAGGGCCGCCAGCTCAGCGACGCACAGCAACATGCCCTCTGGCATCACCTTCTCCTCTGCTGCCCCACTTTGCCTACTCTACATGCTTCCTGGCATCCCTTCCCTAAGCACTAGCTCTGTGCAAACCCTTTTCTCAGGCTCTGCTTTCTGGGGGGATCCCAGGCTAACACATTAGTCTAAATGACTTTAAAAGTAACTTTTTATAAGACATTTCAAGTATAAGAAACATAAATAAATGTCTAGGAGGTATCAATTTGTCTACCATACAGACTTGTCCATTTTTAATATTTCAGTATATTATATTTGCTTTTATGTTTTTAATTTAAAGAAATAAAAATATGCTGTTAAAGCTCTGTATATTCTTCCACACTGTGTCTCTTGCTCTCTTAGCATGAATGACTACTCTTAAATTTGATATTTATAGATAATATCGAGTATTTTAAAACATATTTTAAAATTTGATATACATATATATTGTATATCTTCTGCAACTTATTTACCCAGCAGTTTTAATATGAGATTTGTCTGTGGTGGGGCATATAGTTCTTTTAAATTCATTGTCACCTCTGCATAGGTTTCCATCATATAACTCTACCATTGTATGTCTGTATCTACTCTCCAGTTGATGTGCACTTAGTTAAAAGCAGTTCTTTACTTTTATAAATGATGTTGCATTGAACACTTTTGAATGTGCCCCTTTACCAAACTCTGAGTTGATCCAAGATAGGCAGCTACAAATGGAATTGTTCGGTCAAACTCTTTTTCTGTCTGAAGGAGTTGTACCAATTTGTATCCCTACCAGCAGTGACAGGAATTCCCGTATTTCCTGTTGATCTATAGCTTGACCAACTCTTGGTACTGGGACGCTTTAAAAATATTACCAATAGGTTGGGTGAGAAATAATACTCTTGGGGTTTATTTCCATTTCTCTAACTACTAGTTGGATTGAGCTTCTGTTCCTGTTTATTGGTCATTGGGTTTCCCCTACTTTAAATTATTGATTCTTGTCCTTTGCTTAATTTTCTATTGGGTCATTTTTTTCTTACTGATTTATAGGAGTTCTCTATAAATTCAGAATTCAAATCCTTAGTCAATTTAATATGTTGCAAATGCCTGTGAAAAGATATTTGCAACGCATTAAAAATGAAGCTTGTCTTTGCTTTGGTTTTTGATGTTTTTCATTGTACCAAAATTCTTAATTTTAATGCAGCCAAACATTTTATTCTTTTCCCTTATATTTTATATGTATTGTAACTCATTTGAGAAGTCTTTCTTTTTTCCAAGGTCATGAACTGTTCATCTATATTTTGTCTAAAGATTTTTAAATATTGTTTTTCTATATTTAGCTATTCATTCTGTTTGGAATTTATTTTTATATATGATGTGAGGTAGGGATCTAATTTTCTGTGTACCTGCATAGTCATTTTTCCCAGCACTATTCAGTGACTCTTGTCCTAATTAATCAATGCCACCAATACAATCATCTCTCCAGTTTCCTTATATTCATGGGTCTGCTTTGTAGCTATCTTTTCTTTCACTAATGTATTTCTCTGTCACTGCCCCAAGTGCCTCTGTCTTCATGATTACAGCCTTATAACAATTCCTGACATCTAGTAGGCCAGATTCCTTCCAAAAAACCTCCCACATCATTGTTTTAACAAAACCCTTTTGGGATTTTTCTTATTGAGTTGCATTGAGTTTATAGAAATTTGGAAAGAGATAATTTCTTTAAAAATATTAAGTCTTTCCATCTTTGAACATAACGTGGGTTGAGCATCCCAAAACTTGAAATGCTCCAAAATTCAAAACTTTTTGAGCACTGACGTGATGCTCAAAGGAAATGTTTATTGGAGTGTTTTGCATCTCCGAGTTTTGGATTTGGGATGCTCACTTGGTGAGTATAATGCAGGTATTCCAAAATCTAAAAACAAAATTTGAAACACATCTGGTCCAAGCATACTCAACCTGTACATCTCTACACTTATTTTTCTTCTTTAATATTGTTCCATGAATTTATAATTTTTTACATAAATATCGTGCATATATTTTGTTAGATTTATTTCTACCTGTGTTGTGGACTGTGTTGCTATTATAAATGTATTTTCTCAAAAAGTTTGTCTTGTAATTGTTTTTAGTTGATGTGTATGACTGGGATTGATTGTATGTCTTAATCTTTTATTCAACAATCTTTTTCAGCTTTTTTTTATAAGTTTATAAAAAATGACAGCAAATTTTATTTTTTAAAACAACCCCATTGGTCCTGCCCTTTTCCCTCACAGGAGTATAATAGCCATGAATGTAGGGATCTTGTGTTTCTCATTCAGTTCCTCAGGAGGTATTTTTTGGATGAAATACTTAATAAAATCTCCAATTTGGGGCTGAATAAACAGTGCCCACTCACTGTATCAGAGTGGTTTTATTAATACGTAACTGCTCTCTTTGCTGAAAAAGGGCTTATTTTTTTCACCTGGCAGCCTGGTCTCCCACACTCAACCTGACTACAGATTCCCAAAATAGCTGGGCTCCTCCATGCTGCCAGGACTTTGTTCCCTTGTGTCTTCTAAGCCAGGCAAACGTGTCTGTCCCCTTCAGAGACTCGCCTTGGTCTCAGCTCTTCCAGGAAGCTTTCTTGGATTTCCCCATACTTCAGACAGATGTGTCCAGAAAAAAAAAAAAACAAACCCAAAAAGCAAACAAGAATTAAGGTAAACCATATGCTCAGAGCATCAGCCTTAAAACCAAGCATCCAAAGCCATATGGAAAGGTACACAGAATAAATGACATTATGATGGCACAAACCACTGCTGCAGTCTGGGAAAGGAAACTTATTCACAGATAGGAAGCCAAGCTCCACCAATACATCATCATGTCAACAATTAGAAAGAATAGAAACACTAGATCAGACGCCCCCACACTCAGACAGTGAGTCAGAAAAAAGAAGAGCAAGAGGACAGAAATGCATTGTGTATTGATGCTGCTCATTCCTGTGCCATTTCGTAAGCACCGTATTCTGTGAGTGAAAACAAAATATATTTGAACCTTTTATTCCAGGCTTTTAAAAAATCACTTCAATTTTCCTCCTCTGATAAATGTTTTACGAGTTCCCTTTTCTGATGAAAGATTTTGCTGTGATTAAAGATTTCATGAAGTTATGACAACAGAGGAATAGATCTTCATTCTCGGAAGCTCATTTTTCTGTGAGCTGAGTGAAGAGGCCTCTTGTAGGCAGCTGTCAGAGCTAATGAATGTTTTCCAAGCGCCAAACCTCTGGGGAAGGCAGCCCCACCCAGAAAACCCAGACTCAACTGATGGGAGCTGTCATCTCAAGGTGTGCGGCACCCTGTTGACGCTGTGCTACATGATATAAATGGTGACATGTGGCCGGGTGCCGTGGCTCACCCCTGTAATCCCAACACTTTGGGAGGCCTAGGCGGGCAGATCACCTGAGGTCAGGAGTTTGAGACCAGCCTGGCCATCATGGTGAAACCCTGTCTCTACTAAAAATACAAAAATTACCTGGGCATGGTGGCGGGCACCTGTAATCCCAGCTACTCAGGAGGCTGAGGCAGGAGAATCTCTTGAACCCAGGAGGTGGAGGTTGCAGTGAGCCGAGATTGTGCCACTGCACTCCAGCCTGGACGACAAGAGTGAGACTCTGTCAAAAAAAAAAAGAAAAAGAAATGGTGACATGTTCCTGCTTTCTGCCTGAGAGCAGGTCACACGCCCACGTTCTGAAAAATTGATATTTCACAGATGCCCCGTGGCCTTTTGACAAAGTCCTACTTGTGTGTGCATGTGTATGAGAGTGTATATGTGTGTGTGTGAACTTCTGGGCCTGTCACTCTACCCCCTGTACCTCAGTTCTGCTCTCTGGAAATTGCCGCGGACATGTGTGGCTTTGGAATGAATAGAGGTCCACATCTATTGGGAAAAGCCGAGGGTTTCGAGCTCTGCATCCAGGGCCTCGGGCATCACAGCAGCATGGCTGTCCTCTCCTGAGCCTCCGTCTCCAGTGCAGGGGGCTCCACGGACTACCCCCGAGGCTGTTGTCATGAAGTCACAGGCGATTGTCCCTTTCCTTTGACCAGACTTTCCTTTAACAGCCAGCAAAGCCTTGCCTCCCACTTGGAGAAATACATTTGAGAATTCAAATGCCCTTTGGAAGGCCATGTTTTGAAGTCACACTAGGCTGATAATAATGACCCAGAGCACAGATCTTTTTCTCTGTGTTTTCTCCCCCCATGAAAACTGTTTACCCTGCTCTTCCAAGAAGAATGGCCTCTGCTCAGTTGCTGTCATCTGTGTCTGTCCTGTCGTGGGTGCAGCCATCCACTGAGCTCAGCAGACATTTATCGATGACCTGTTACGTGCTGACTGTGATACTTGGTGTCTGAGATACCGTATGAGTTTTCGGCAAGCATTCAACTGTGACGTTAACCTATCAGATGGTGACGGACACGGACGGCGCGTTTGGGGCTGGACTTTTCCACTTTGTACATGGAGCTCACACGGCTAGAGAGAGGCCGGCAGTGCAGGGCTGCCACGGCCACCCAAAGAAGTGACGGCTCTCAAGCGCCTCCGACCCTGCTCTGTCATCCACAGCCTGTGGTTTTTGTCCCTGATGGTTACTGAGCTTCTGAGCATCCTGTTTGCTTCCAGGGAGAAAGGAAGGGGAATGAGGAAGGCGGAAGGCTAAAAGCCTTCTCCCAGGACATCGCGTTTGTATTTGGGAAGGAAAGTCTCTAGGGGACTGTGCCTTACTGGCTAGAACTTCATCACATGGACCAGCCCTTGCAAGGAACAATGGGAACTTGAGCATTTTACTTGTCACCTCTGGAGGAGAGGAAACAAAAGAGTAGAGGCTTCGGAGGGTGATGAGTAGACCCCGCAGTGTCTGCCCCAGTTCGAGAGGTGCCCGCATGGGAGAAGCTCGTGCTGGATGTGCACACACACACACAAGCAGGACATGCGTCACCACGCTTCAGGGCCCAGCGTGGAACCTGGTAGCTGAAGATGCTGGCTTGGACACAGCATCCTTGAATGGCACTGTATGCCTGTGTTTCTCTGCAGATGATCAGACTTTAGAGTCAGGTGTTCCAGTCGTCAGTGTATATTGAGGTTTGGAGAATTCGGGTTACCTTCCCAAGGCCACTTGGTTGGTAAAAGGCATGGCTGAGCTGTGAACACATGTCCCCAGGACCCCGGGCCCAAGGAGGACCTGATGAGGACCTGATGCCTACACCCACTCCTTAGAGTTCACACTCGTGTTCAGAACCAGTCTCCGTAATCCTCTGAGCCCAGGAGCACTTGGCATTTCGATATACTTTGCCCTTCTTAAGTGGTGGGAAGTCTTTGGAGAGGAGAAAAAGGGAAAGTCATTCCTCTTTGGCTGTCAGAGGATTCTGAACTTTCTTTTTTCTTTAACGCAGTACCCGGCAGTGTCACCTGCTCCTGGATGTCTTCAACTCCACCGAGCATGAGCTGACCGTCAGCACCAGGAGCAGCGAGGCACTCATCCTGCACGCCGGTGAGTGCCAGCGGTAAGTGTCCCATAGACCCTCGCGCCGCCGCAGGCCACCCTCTGCCTTCACCACGCTGCTTGGGAGGGTGTGGAGATAATCCACCCCAAGTCCTCAGAGGATGGGCAGTTTGTCTCCCTTTCAGAGATACCGTAGTGACTATTCAAGTTTGGTGGGAGAATCTGGAGTCGTTTTAAATTAGAGCTAAGTGCAAAGTAGGTAAAGCCGGATGGCGTCTGAGGAAGTAGCAACATGTGCTTTCAGAGCCCACATTTGAGGACCCAGCAGCATCCGGGCATCTTTGCTGTTAAATTCTTGAGAAAGTGGTATCTGGGCTGGGTGTGGTGGCTCACGCCTGTAATCCTAACACTTTGGGGAGGCCAAGGCAGGCAGACCACCTGAGATCAGGAGTTCAAGACCAGCCTGGCCAACATGGTGAAACCCCGTCTCTACTAAAAATACAAAAACTACCCGGGCATGGTGGTGCATGCCTGTTATCCCAGCTACTCGGGAGGCTGAGGCAGGAGAATCGCTTGAACCCGGGAAGCAGAGGGTGCAGTGAGCCGAGATCGATCGTACCACCGTACTCCAGCCTGGGCGACAGAGCGAGACTCCGCCTCAAAAAAAAAAAAAAAAAAAAAGAGGTGGTATCTGGAAATATTTGGCATCAGTCTGGGAACTGCATGTCAGCATCAAGAGGAATTAATGCTACAGAAAGACAGGCAAGGCTCAGGCCTTCGGGAGGGGAGCACAGTCACCCAAGCCCAGTCTCTGTAGGGCAAAGAGAGGCCGCACTACCAATTGCTGGCCAGGGTCAGCCTCAGGAGACCCCTGGCCCGGCAGAGGTGAGTGAGGAGCTGATGCGGAAGTGAGAGCTGGTCAGGAGCGAGGCCAGGGCTTGCCCGGAGGCAGGTGGAGCTCAGTGACTCCGGGGTGATGCTGTCCTTCCATGGCGGAGCCCCTCAGTGGCCCCTGACCCACTCTCCACTCACCCTCCCTCCATACTAAGAGGCTGTGCTTCCAAGCCCAGCCCGGTTCTAGGGACACACACTTACACATGGAATTCTAGAGGGAATAATATTTTTATTTTTAATTGCTGAAGACTTCAAACATACAGAAAATCACTTAGAAACTGGCATACCCACATCCTAGATTTTGTTTTATTTGCCCCAGATCTTTCTCTCTCTCTCTCTCTCTCTCTGCCTCTTTCATTTGTTTTAAGGAAATAAAATGTTTTTTAAAATAGCAACATTAACATTATCAATCAGTGGTGGAATGTAAGTCCAAACCGCGATGAGACAGCATGAGACACTCATCAGGATGGTTAAAGACAGCACCAAATGTTGGTGAGGGTGTGGAGCAACAGGAACTCTCATGCCTTGTGGGTGGGGATATAAAATAGTGCAGCTGCTTTGGAAAAAGGTCTGGGGCTATCCTGTAAAATTAAACATACACTTACCCTTTGCCCAGCTATTTCAACCCTAGTTATTTATTTAAGGATAATATGAAACATATGGTCACAAGAAGACCTATACAACGTTCTAGCCAGAAAATAGAGGCCAGGTGTCCATTACAGGAGAACGGACAAACAAATGGCGGTGTTTTCTTACAAACGGAATGGTGTGGTACTCTGCAACAAAAACGAATGAATTACTCATACACAGAACAGCACTTGCAACTCTCAGGAACAGGATGCTGGGTGAAAGGAGCCTTACCCAAAGTGCATATGCCATGTGGTTCCATTGATACGAAATGCTGTAGGTTGCTGCAAAAGTAATTGCGGCTTTTGCCATTACTTTTACACCAACCTATAGAACAAGCAGAACCAATTTACGATGGAAAAACTCAGAACATTGGTTCCTTCTGGAGAGATTGGAACAGGGTTTGATCAGGAAAGGGCATAAGGTAATTTTCTAGGTGATGGTCATGTTGTATACATCAGTAGGGTTTTGGGTTACACACATGTATCTATTCGTCAAAACTCGGCAACTAATCACTTGAGATTTGTACATTTCATGATGTATCAGCTTTATAGCAGAAGGAAAAACTAAGCCAGTGTTGAGCTCTGTTAATGATATGCACACTGGAGGGTTTGGGGTCGGGGCATGATAGCTACAATAGTCTTTGAGTTCTATAAAATATCTGACAGATTAATAGATGGGCAGATGAACACATTAGGTGGTAATGCAAATATAGTATAATGTTAACAGTAGCGTCTCTTAATGGGCATATGGGGGGTGTTCAGTGTAAATCTTTTTCACCTTATATTTGAAATTTTTTAGAAGAAATTGTTGGCAAAAATAAAAGTAAAAATAGCTAAGCTCTTCTTTTCTGCCCACCTCATCCCATCTTCTTTTCTCTTTCCTTCCTCTTTAAGGTAATTTCTTTCTTAGAGGTGATGGTATCATTCCACATCCATGTTTTACTACTTTATTGTATAGACATATATCCCCACCCAAACATTATTTTGACAGTTTTTTTGTTTTTTGGTTTTTTGTTTTTTTGATACAGAATCTCGCTCTGTCACCCAGGCTGGAGTGCAGTGGCACAGTCCTGGCTCACTGCAACCTCCACCTCCTGGGTTCAAGCGTTTCTCCTGCCTCAGCCTCCTGAGTAGCCAGGATTACAGACACCTGCCACCACGCCCGGCTAATTTTTGTATTTTTAGTAGAGATGGGATTTCACCATGTTGGTCAGGCTGGTCTTGGACTCCTGACCTTGTGATCCGCCCGCCTCGGCCTCCCAAAGTGCTGGAATTACAGGCAAGAGCCACTAGGCCTGGCCGAGAGTCTTTTTTTCAATGGCATAAGTGGTTCCATATCATATATGTCCTTTTAAAACTTTAAAAATCAGCGTTATTCTTTGGAGCTAAATATAAATCTGGTTCTTTCATTTGAACTGCTATTAATATTTCATTGTGTAAATATGCCACTTTATTCATTTCCATGCTAATGCACTCACTGTGAGGTGGCTTCCAGGGTATTCATATTTAATGTGATTATTGTTAATGACACGCATGAATGTCAAGCCAGGCCCTGCAGCCTTGTAGCAGGTCCTGTTTGGGCTGCTGGAAGCTAGAGATTCAATGGCTTGGGGGACATTTATGGCCTGCCTTTGAGAGGTGCCAGAAAATCCTCCTTCCCAAGATCCCTTGGAAAGGACTTGTCACTTGGGTGTGGGTATGCGCGTGGGGCTGGTGTATGCTTCTGTGTGTATGAGCCGTGAGGGCTGTGGCTGGATGCTGCGGCACCTCAGGTTCCTCAGGATGAGGACAGGTGCCTTCAGGGAGCATCGATGCATCCTCTGGGGTCTACGCCTTTGGCAGTGCTGGGTCCAGTGCTGCTGCATAGGGAACTGTCAGCCCTCGGACTGCTCTTTCTTATCTAAATAACTTGATGTAGTCCAAGATCCCAGAGAACATAAATCTGGTCGTCTTATGACACTAGTATAAAACACTTTAAAGAAATTATAAATTGCTAAGCTTGTCCTGTATAGTAAGCTTGACTCATTCTTGGCAATGTGAGGCTGATGACATTAACAATCCCAGCTGCAAATAATCACAATTTAGTCTTGTGCTTCAGGCTTTTTTGTTATTAAGTTTTTGCTTAAATTCTCATTTCTGAATGCTTCTAACTCGAATATTCTTTTATTTATTCATAAAATATTCATTCAATAAATATTGATACTTCAGCAATTTGCTGTGTGGTAAGCCCCGTGTCAGGCTTCAGGCGTGCTGAGAAGAATAAATAAGGGCCCCTCCTCGCTGGGGATTGGCAACACATTGGGACAAGTGTCTAACCCAGCCAGAGCGGCTGCCCTTTTCTGCCTGACAAGGGCATCTTGCTGTCCCGGGCCGGGTGGGAGCGTTGGGTGAACTAGAGGTCATGAGGTTACGTCCATCTGGGAAGTCATCTTAGGCGCTTCCCCTGCTGTGCCCACTGCTGGGGATACCCATGAATCCATGCAACTCTGCCCTGAGCCCTAGAATGCATGATTCCCCTCCCCTCCCTTTCCCAAACCTCTCTCAGTGCCTCACCGGCCTCCTGTGGGTCAGATGCACACTCGGCCTCCGTGGAGGGGTTGTGCAGAGCAGTGCAGGTGGAGGAAGTGGAAATGGCTCTACCTTACTTCGCAACGCCGGACAGCACCTTACAGACCTCAGACCTGGTCCCTGTCCTTCCAGGCTTTGTGTCTTGAGTATCCAGTTCCTTCCCAGAGTCCTGAGCCGAACCTCTCTCCTGGCTCTCCCGTTCCCCTACGAGGAGGCACCCCTGCCACCACCCCCCGGCCCCCCACCCCCAGGCTGTGCTAAACCTAAAGAAGCTTCTTTTGCCTGCGATCTGCCCTCTGGAGTGGGGAGGGCATGGGCTCTGCCTGGAGGTGTGGGCAGTAGTGGGGCTGAGACTCCAGCTTCATCGCTACCAGCAGGAGCGGAAGGTGGTGCTCTCACTGCTACCTGGGAGGGAGGCAGGTGCACAGAACTTTTCTCTGCAGATAGCACAGCCTACTCTTAAAGGAAGAGCCAGATTCCTGGAATTAACATGGCTTGGATGCTGCCGTTTGCAGAACTGGCATTCAAAGGTGGCCTGCAATCTGAGAGACCAACCCCAGTTAGATAATTGTGGTGCCTGCCGCCTCTCCTCCCTCCTAGTAGGAAGGGGTGATCTCATCTCACCCAGTGCAAGAGCTATGGATAGAAATGTGTCCCCAACAGCACGAGGAGGAGCAACATGCTTCCTGGGGGAAGAGAGGATGGAAATAGTATTTACTGAGCACTTCCCATATGAAGTCACATTCAGTCCTCATAATATTCTCATGTGGGAACAGTGTCCTCATTTTATAGATAAGCAAAATGAGTGGCTGATCAAAGCCACTTTGTGGAACCCCGTCTGTCTGACATCCAGGCTCTGCCCTGCTGCTCCACACACCAAGGGGAGACGATGCTGGAGCCAAGCTTGGGATGGTGTGAGAGAGGCCGGGGCGGGGGCAAAATTCTGTTTATTTCCCACTTTCTGCTCTGTGCAGCCTTTGGTAAGTTGGGTTCAAGATCGTAAAGTCCAGCTTCACCCAGCAGAAGAAAGGGTGAGATGGAGAAGCAAACTGGGCCTTTGATATCCAGGGTGTTCATTTGTTAATTCACCAAGTATTTCCTGTGTATCTCCGAGGTGCCAGGCCCTGCTGGGAGTGAAGCTGCTGAGTACGTGTGGTGTTGCCTGTGTTTTCACTACACTTATATTTAGGTGTGGAAGAAAAGCACACAAACAGGCAATTGTTATACAGTGTGAGGAGAATGCAGAGCACATAGGAGGGGGGCCTAGGACTGGGGGGCCAAGGAAGGTGGCTAGGAGGGCTTCCTGGAGAGGTGATGAGAATATGGAAATGCTGAGTTGCTGCAACAAAATACCATAGACTGGGTGGCTTATAAACAACCGAAAATTATTTCTCATGGTTCTGGAGACTGCAGGTTCAAGATCAAGACGCTGGGCAGATTCTGGAGGCTGCAGGTTCAAGATCAAGACGCTGGGCAGATTCTGTGGGTGGTGAGGGCCCATTTCCTGCTTCGTAGTTGGAGGCTTCTCACTGTGTCCTCACATGGTGGGAGGGGCAAAGGGTTTTTCTCAAGCTTCATTTAAAAGAACACTGATCCTAGTCATGTGGATTCCATCTTCATGAGCTGATCACCTCCCTGAAGCCCTGCCCTTTAATATAATCACCATGGAGGGTAGGATTTCAGCATGTAGATTTTGTGGGGCATAAACATTCATTTACAGCACGACGTGACGAGTGAGCAGGAGGTGGCCAGGGCCAGTGTGCCAGGGAGAGCCGTGCAGGCAGGGGGAGCAGCATGGTGGAGGGGAGTGTGGTGGGGTGGTAAGTGTGAAAGAGGTGTTCATAGACTGTGAATATTAGAGTTTTTAGAAATTAGCAATGCCACTCTTATCATATTTCTTAGCGAGATCTTGTTAGTCTCATACTTTACAATGGAATACTGAAGCGATTGGATGTAGAAAGTACTTTTTCACCTTCCTAATCTCTCCTTTAAAAGGTCCTTTGGAAATTAGTGACTCATTCCTCAGCTTGTGAGTTTCTGTGGCATGTGTGATACATCAGTTCTGTAATTAAGGACCATTAGTTAACTTTGCTTTTGCCAGATGTGATTTGTGATGCTTGGTGCCTGGTGAGTCTGTTTCCTGGGCCCCAGGCCATTGGTCATGACATTCGGAACCCTGTTTCCAGTCGAGCAGCTGGAGATCTGTATTAACTTGTATTTCTACCCCGGGGCAGTGTTGGGAAAGACACCACTTTCATAGGGAGTTCTACAGGGAGTGGGCTTTGCACTCATTTTTCCCTATGAGTAAAAGAGGTCGAGACCCACCAGGGGCATGCAGTCAGTTGGAGCTGGAACTGGGCTGCTGAGCACCAGCCACCTGTTCTCCACCGCCCGCCTTTCTGTGGGAGTTGCCCATGGTTCCCTAGGCTGCGTTCCCAGAATCGGCCTTCCCTCCTCGTCCATTTTCCATGCACAACCGGAAACAGTGGATGTCTCTCCTTAGTGAAACCGCATGAACTTTCTTAGGAAAATACAGTGTTGGCAGCAGCAGCAGCAAATTTACTGGAAAATTAAGATACGACAATTGTGGGTTTTTTTGCCTAATTATCAAACCATTGAAATTAAATTTCATGACAACCCTCATGTATGCATAAACCTCTTTATAATGTATGATAATAGATGTTATCTCATTACATGCTTTAAGATGCCCGGCTCTGTCCCCCTCGCTTGCTGCAGGGACACCGCATTTAGAGGGTGCAGCGGACCTGGCACCGAAGCACCCAAACGCTGCGGCTGCTGGGGAGATGGACCGCCGGCAGGATCTGAGCGGCCAGCTCTGGCTGTGTCTTGATAGAGCATCCACGTGGATCATGGCATGGCTCTGCTGCGAGAGGGGCAGGGAAGAGCCCCACAGGCAATGGCCAACCTGGGGGCTCCACAACTTCTCCTCGAGGATGCTTTGAGAAAGTGGTTTCTGGGCAACCCCATCTCCTGGGGGTTATGTGGGTGCTGCACTTTCCTGTTTATCCCAGGTCAGAGCAGCCCCCAACTCAACTATCTGGCTACTCCTCTCGCCTGTCTCTTTTTGTTTCTGGTTTAATTCCTTCAAACATTCCAAAGAACCTTGTGAATCATCAAAGTGATGCTTAACCGTGTGGCGCCCAGTCTTCTTGCAGGTTGTTATTGAGGCTTATTTATACTGTGTTGGCATTGCTCATCCCTCTGTGTTCCTTCTGCAGTATGAGTTACAGATGAGTTTTTGCGTGGATTTTCTTTGTACCTCGTTTTTCAATCTGAAAGGAAATGAGGAGAGTCCCTCAGAAACATAATTTCTAGAAACAAGGGGAAAGCATCCTGATGTGCCCTCATCCCTTCAGCTGATGCGGGGAGATGGAGACCCGAGGTCAGTTAGTGAGCCCGTGGCAGAGGCCTGATAGAGCCTGGGCTCTGGACTCCCTGGCCAGAGCTGTCTCTGCAACCCCCACTGGCCCCACTAATGAGCAGTTTTTACAGTTTTCCTGATACAAACCCAGATGGCTCTGGGATCAATAGGGACCTCCCAGTGATTAATAGGCAGAGGGAAGGAACGTTTGCGTTCAGCCTGGAGAAGCAATTGGATTCGAGAAATTCAATGCTGGGGAAGATGCAGTGGTTTGCTGACTCAGGTGACAAGAGAAATTCTTCTCTTTCTGTGAGAAAAGAAAAATAGGATGACTTGATTGGCTTTCCACACACCACGCGCCTCTTTGTTCCTCAGAAACCTTCGACAGGAGGTTTTCCTTCTGGGTCTTTGCCTCTGTTGTCCGTGGGTGGCTTCTGCGGTGGGGAAATGTCTGGAGCCTTTCCTAGCGCGTGGAAGGTGGGGGGCGTGTGGCTCCTCCCACGCCCACCCTGTCTGCAGACCTGTCCCCAGCTGTCCACTTGCTGGGCTGAGATGAACACGCACGGGCTGGAGCCACGCGGAGCCCTCTGCAGCCTCAACTCCGCCCCGAGCTGGCTTCGCGTGCCTGGGCAGGGCCTCACCGTGCGCCGAGTGCTCTTCATAAAGTAGGAATCGAATCCATGCCCGGCAGGTTGATCTAAAGAGCAGCGTTAGAGGCCATGCCCGATGCATGGCCAGTGGCCAGCCGTTGGTGATGGTGCTGTTACCTCCTGGTGCCCCTTTGTTACAGTGATAATTTCAAAGCTGTCCCCCTCCAGATCGCACGGCTGGAGCACGTCATGGCTCGTGTGCAGGGCAGGCATTCCGGGACTTTTGTTTCCTTCTTGTGGAGGTGACCGGACCCAATTTCTGCTCAAGTAGTTGGTTGTTATTTGGGGCCCCATTTGCCTGGATTCTCAGTGGCATTGAGAGTGGAGGCAGAGAAAGTTCTCCTGGCATTGGTCAGGAGTGAGGAGCCACCCGCTTAGTGAACAGAGAAGATTCGCTATGGAGAACTGTGTCCGAGGTGTAACATTGGTAGCTGGGCCCGTTTAGGCAGAGGACAACACTGAGGTGTGCCAGTTATGGGGCGGCTGCAGGGAGGGGTGTGGTCCCTCGGGGTTGGCATCTTGTTAGAGAAGTCTGGGGGGGCATGGAGCTGCCACAGCCATTTGAGAAGGGGACACCTGGGGTCTTGGAAGTGAGGTGCGATGTCACTGGGGGGTACCTGCAGGAATCGTAGACAGAAAACTCTCGAGGGGCAAGGGGAGGCCCAGGGAGAGCAGATCGCTTCTTCCCTCTGTGGTCCGAAGGCCTCCCGCCAGCACCCATGGGCAGAGCGGGAATGTGGTCTGTGGAGTCTCAGCCCCACACCCCAGCTGGCAGAGAGGAGTCAGGGCGTCACTTGCCCATCGGCCACGGCTCTTCTTTCCCTCAAGCCCCGCTTTAGGCCAGCTCTGTCCTGGGTCCCCCTGGCAGTGCTGTGAGGGGCACTGTCCTGTCCTCGACGCTGTGGGTCTCTTGGTTCCCCAGCCTTGCTGTGAGGGGCGCTGTCCTGTCCTCCTCGACACTGTGGGTCTCTTGGATGGGGTTTGTTGTTTTCCACCTCAGATTCTCCCTCTTGCTGTACTAGAGGTTCGTAGACTTTGCTGTGTGTTGTCATCACCCGGGGGTCTTTACTAAAGAGGGGTGCCTGTCCCCTCCTCTCACCCGCCAGCATCCTGACTGGACTGGCTGGACGCAGCCTGGGCATTGGCATATTTAATCTCCTCTGGTGCCGACCGTGCACCCGAGTGCAGGAGCCATGACGCCAGGCTGCAGCTGTCTGCGAGCAGCACCCGTGTCCGTTCGTGTCCGCCCTTCCCACCACCTTGGTCCTCCATCTGGCCTGTGCTGGGCTAGAGACGTTTGGCTTGCGAGTGGGCGGGTGAGTGGGAAGCTCCGTGGCAGCGTCTGGCCAGAGCCCAGGACCCCTCCTTCCTGGGGCAGGTGGTCCCACCGGAGCCTTCACTCCCAGGCTCTCACCACCTACACGGTTCTTAAGCCAAGCCTGGCCCAGCAGGAGATTTTTCAGAGGGACAGGGTGGTGGTCAACCTTCAGGTCACCAGGAAGAGACACCAAGTCCTGACACCAGTGGTTAATTCTCTTGTGGTGCTTGCATTCCTGTCAGACCTGACCCTCACGGCTCCGCACCTGGCCTGCTGTCAACCACGGCGCCCCAGTTGGTCTGCGGGCAAGAACTCTTCACTCCCCTCCTGGGGATGGGAGCCCGGCCACCGAGTCCCACACACACATCTCTCCTGTGAAGCCCACCCAGATGTCTCTGCCCGTCTATGAAGAAAGCAACTCAGGTTATCTGTGGAAAAAAAACCAGAGTGCTCTGGACGGAGCAGAGACGCGTTGCGATCCCAGCTCCACTGGTTCTCTGGGACCTCGGCCTGCCTTCAGCCCCTCATCTGTCCAGCGGGGAGTGAGAATCCCAGCCACACCCGCCTCAGGCCTGGGCAACTTCCGTGAAGGTGCCCGAGTGAAAGGGCATTGCAGAGGGTAGCCTGGCACAGACACAGCCATCGCTGTGTGGTCTTTCACGTCACAGCTTTATTATGGAGATTTCACACACATACACAGAAGGCACCATCTTCGGATAATGACCCCACGTGCTTGTCGCCCACCTTCAACAAGCAGCAATGCTCGGTGGATTTTTCTCATCTGTTATCCCTACCTATTTCCCCATTTCCTCTAATTTTGAAGCAGATCCAATCAATCATATTATTTCATCTGTAAACATTTTCATATTTAATGCTGTAACTCTTTTTAAATGTCACAATACTTCATTATGCTTTAAAATTAACAATGAACAGTTCCTCATTATCAACAAGTACCCAGCCGGTGTTTAAATTTCCGGTTGTCTCAGTGACCTATTTCCTAACATTGGTTTGCATCAGAATTCAAGAAATGGCTATGTCTCAATCCATGTTTAATGTGCAGGTTGACTGTTCACCTCTTTTCCTCTTGGACATTTTGCATTTCGTTAAAAAGGTCCCAGGGTGGGGTTCTGCCGGTTGTGTGCCTGTGGTCCTCTTAAACTTGTTCCTCAGCCGGGCGCCGTGGCTCACACCTGTCATCCCAGCACTTTGGGAGGCCAAGGTGGGAGGATCCCTTGAAGCCAGGAGTTCGAGACCAGCCTGGCCAACAAGGTGAAACCCCAGCTCTACTAAAAATACAAAACAAAACAAAACTTGTTTTTCGGTCTTCTTTCTCTTTTTTTAGTCCTCATTAAATTAGGAGTAGGAGGCTGGGTGCGGTGGCTCACACCCATAATCCCAGCACTTTAGGAGGCCGTGGTGGGTGGATCACCTAAGGTCAGGAGTTTGAGACCAGCCTGCCCAACATGGTGAAACCCCGTTTCTACTAAAGATACAAAAATTAGCCGGGCGTGGTGGCACACACCTGTAATCTCAGCTATTCGGGAGGCTAAGGCAGGGGAATTGCTTGAACCCAGGAGACGGAGGCTACAGTGAGCTGAGATCGCCCCACTGCACTCCAGCCTGGGCAACAGAGTGAGACTCCATCTCAAAAATGAATGAATGAATGAATGAATGAATGAATGAGGAGGAGGGAGGCTTGATCGTATTCAGCATTTTTTTTTTTTTTTTGAGACAGAGTCTCACTCTGTCGCCCAGGCTGGAGTGCAGTGGCGCGATCTCCGCTCTCTGCAAGCTCTGCCTCCCAGGTTCACACCATTCTCCTGCCTCAGCCTCCAGAGTAGCTGGGACTACAGGCGCCCGCCACCACGCCCGGCTAATTTTTTGTATTTTTACTAGAGACGGGGTTTCACCATGTTAGCCAGGGTGGTCTCGATCTGACCTCGTGATCCACCCGCCTCGGCCTCCCAAAGTGCTGGGATTACAGGTGTGAGCCACCACGCCTGGCCTCAGCATTTTTTTTCGAAGCTACTTCATGGATACTGTTGTGAATCTCCATCGGCAGATACTGAGTGTTTATCGGTTCTGTGATGGGGCCGTTTCATTTGATGGTGTTCTCTTACCCAGCCCTGTCCCGCACGGGCCGTTACACCTGTTCTGGCACATTCAAGCCCTCTCGTCCCCAGAAAAACCCTTACTCTTCTCCTGCATGGCTCGAAACAAAATATGAAAGTGCTTTACTGCTTGAGGTTTGGAAGTGATCAGGTGAAGATGCGAAGACATTTGCTGTATGTTTTCAGGCCAGAATCGTCTTACTCATCAGATAATCCAGACCCAGTAGCTGCCCAGGGAGAGAAATTGGGGCAGCATTGACCCTGATTCCGCGGCCCTGCAGGATTGGAAACTTCCAGACACTTCTGGCAGCTCACCAGTTTGTCTCGGGGACCCTGTGTCTCCCCCTACAGCTCCCCCACACTGCTCCTCTCAGAGGAGCAGAGGTGAACAGGCAGCATCCTGCCTTCCAGGTGCCTGTGAGTAAGTGACTCTGGTGCCAGTATCCCCGCAGAAGGCGAAGGGCACCGGGATGGCAGCTGAGTCCTCCCTGCCAGACTCTGCAAGGCTGCTTCATGTACGTCTTGGCCTGTGGCTTCTCCCTGTGGTTTTCATTTACCTCTCCAAGGGCTGATGGGAGCGTTTTCTCAGCTCCTCACGAGCCGTGCGCAGATCCCTTGTGGTGAGGCACCTGAGCCTTTGGCACCCTTTTTAAAACCAGGTTCGTAGCCGCCTTATTATTGAGTCAGAGAGTTCCTTGTGCATTGTGGTCATAAGCCCTTTGTCAAATGCCTGGTTTAGAGATACTTCTCCCAGTCTGCGATTTGTCTTTTTCTTAGCGGTGAGAGAAATTGTAGGTGCTGATGAAGTACAGTTTATCAATTTTTAAACATAGGCTGTACCTTTGGTGTCATAAGCCTCTGCATAATCCATGGTCACAAATATGTTCTCCTATGTTGTTTTTAGAAGTTTTATAGTTTTAAATCTTACATTTATGTCCATAATCCTTTTGAGCTAATTTTTTGTGTCGGGTGTGAGGTGAAAGCTTTTCTTATGTTGCATATGGATATCCAGTTATTCCAGCATGGGGTGTTAAAAAAAACCCTGGCCAGGCGCGGTGGCTCACGCCTGTAATCCCAGCACTTTGGGAGGCTGAGGCGAGCGGATCACGAGGTCAGGAGATCGAGACCATCCTGGCTAACACAGTGGAACCCCGTCTGTACTAAAAGTACAAAAAATTAGCCGGGCGAGGTGGCGGGCGCCTGTAGTCCCAGCTACTGGGGAGGCTGAGGCAGGAGAATGGCGTGAACCCCGGGGGGGTGAAGCCTGCAGTGAGACTCCATCTCAAAAAAAAAAAAAAAAAAAAAAAGACTGTCCTTTCTCCATTGGATGGCTTTAGTGCCTTTGTCTAAAATCAGTTGACCATAAACATGAGGGTTATTTTCTGAAGACACTTATTAGAAGAGAGAGCAGCTGATGGGGATGTCAGTGGATGGGCTGACAGGTGACATGAAGAGAGGAGGGGCGTTGGCACAGCCAGGGCAGCTTGAGTGGGGTGAAGTTGGGAGGGAAATGGCGTCCCATGGCCTGGATGCTGATGCTCGGTGCTAATGTAGGAGTGTGGGGGTGGTGAGGGGTCAACTTGGCTGGGCCAAATCCTAGAGGACCTTGGCTGGCAGGTTGAGGGAAATTGATCTTTATATTTTTTAATGAGGAATTTGTAGGTTTTTGAAGAGGATGCCTTTGCCTTGATCTTTGTCTTTTGGGGTTTCTCTGTTTTCACCTGTAGCATAAATGACCACTTCACAGCTGGCTTGAAAGCCTCCTGTGGGAGTCGTGGTTCTCAAAGTGCGGACCCAGGCCAGCAGCAGCACCATCACCTGGGAACTTGCTAGAAATGCAAATTCTTAGACCCACGCCAGGCTTACTGTGGGGCAGGGCCCAGCGATCTGTAGTTTAAGAGGCCCTCCAGGTGCTCTGACGTTCAGGGAAGTCACAGAACCTGTGTGCTAGCGAAATGCGGAGGCCAGTGATCCAGGCTGACCAGCAGTCGCCACTGTCTCTAGTGCTGCCCAGAAGCCACACCTGTGTATGGAGCCTCATTCACATGCAGTTTGGTGGAAAGTCTCGTCTAGGGCAGTCCTTGTTTTCATTGGCCTCTAGTGAAAGTTGCCAGACCTTGGTCCTAGGTTCACTCATAATCACCGCTGTCCCTTCTTGGTGGTGCTTTCCAGCCTGGAGAGTGAGCTGGAGAGGCAGTCTGGAGACAAGGATGGGCTTTGACTCTGATGGGGTGCAGTGCTGGGGGAGCCCTTTGAATCGGGTGCGGCTGATCTAGGTCTGCTGATGGGAGGCAGAGCAGGCAGCCCCAGGGATGGCCTGTGGAGGTGCCCTCGGCAGAGCTACAGCCCCTGGGGAACAAGGCGGAGAGGGAGAGGCAGCCGGAGGCTGCCGGGCGGAGTGGAAGACCACGGAAACCTGGGCCCAGCCTCCACATGAGCTGGTCTTCTGTGAGCCTCGCGTCCACGTCTGTAAAATGGAGCCCTGTAGGAGCTGAGAAGGAGCATGAACAGCACACACAGCAGGAGCCGGCACAGTGGGCAGCCTGGGGTGTGCCTCACCTCCCTTGTCTACAGGGATGCTTTAGTGGGCCCAGGGCCCTGGGCCCCAGCTGGCTGAATGTCATGGAGAAAACATTGACCTCAAGCCATCCTGAGTTGAATAACTTCATTTTCTTAACCTCTGTGAGCTTTAGTTTCCACAAGGGCTGCACAATCAGGACTATCATAACTACCCCTCTGGGTTGCCAAGAGGTTGTAGTGAGGTCATGTGGGTGTTTCTGTGGTGGGCACTTAATGTAATCAGTGGTGGGGTCTTGTCTGCTGATGCTGCAGCTGCTGGAACGGGGAGATGTTGGGTTAGCTCAGGAAGAACCCGTCACATGGCGGAGGCTCATCCAGGAATTCCTGCCCTTCCTGGGAGACTGTACATCCACGCTCTGAGATTCTACTAGCTTTCCATTTTCTGTTGTGTTGTCTGTAACTTGTTCTCCTAGAAGCGCACAGTTTTCTCTTGCGTACCGATACATGAGCCTGCTGGGCGAGCTGTGAATTCAGCCTCTTATTATCTCAGATTCCCCATCCATCTTTCAACCGTGGCAGGCACAGGAGAGAAACCTGAGCCTGAGTAATCTCAAACTCCTTTCCTCACCGCCTCTCCCTGACGAGTACCCAGTGTGGCCTGGAGGCTTGGGCGGCAGGGATGGGGGGACCATGGAGCCGTCAGGCCGCTCTCGAAGCTCCTGCTGCTTTCTTTGGTACTCTGCCCTTGCTCACCTGCCATTCGTCCTTATAGATCATTTCTCCCTCCCAGGTGGCCCACAGGGTGTGTGGGGAGGTTCGCAGGGACTCGAGAGGGATGGCAGTAGCTTGACGGGCCTGGTGCGTGTCTCAACATCCAGGAGTGGGTCTGTGGAGAAGGTCCCTGGGGTGGTTTGGGGGCCTGGCACTCACCTCGGCCTCCTCCCCCAGCCTCCCAGAGGGTCCTGCATGTGGGGAAGGAAAACCTTTCTCAGTACCGCCTTCGACTTTTCCCTGGTGCTGCTCAGTGTGGTTTCACCCGTGCCTTCCGGGGTCAGCGCCAGTGACTCCAGAGGCCGGAAACTACTTTTGTTCATTCGTCGTTTTCCAATTTCATAGAAATTTCTCAGTGATTTTTATTTCCGTTACTATTCCCTCTTCTCTTAGCAGTGGAACATTTCAACTTTTTCAGTTTGCCCCCTGTCCACGTCAGGTCTTGGTAGGAAGGTAGACTTGGTAAGCCCTGCCTTGTGTGACCCTCACGGTCAGTGTGAGAGCAGGCTAAGGCAGGGTGGGTGCCACGGCCCTGTGGTTTTCATCCAGGACTGGAGATTTTTGAGAATGAAGGGCAGACAGTGATCACAGATCTTGCAGGGACGGCAGGCCTAAACCTGGACTGTCCAGGGGCGCTGGCCCGTGGCCACCCTGCTGCTGGGGTGATACGGTGCGGGGCCTGACCCCTCCAAGGCCTCCCCTATCCTAGACCTTTCCTCTTGGACGGATGCCTCAGAGGCCAGTCTGTGCTGGGTCCCTCTCTGTTCACATGACAAGGACTTGCTAAACGTTTGTCTATGCAGGGCCACAATAACTGGGACGTACTTTTTCTTATGGTAGAAACATTTGCCATAGAAAAAGGGTGGCTTTTAAATTCCACCTGCGCTCTAGTTGTTGAAGCCATTTCTTCCTCCTCCCCCTAGTCCATGGGGTAGCTGGGGGCAGGAATGAGAACGTGGTCGTCCCTTCTGAGTCAGTGGTGGGAGGAGAGGAGCTGCTGGGCTTCAGCCGAGCCCCTGGACAAGGGGAGCCTGAGGCCGGGTCTGGGACGGAGTATCAGCTGTGGGGAACTGGAACTCCGACCTTCTTCCCCGTCTGCCTCATCTATAAGCATTTTGGTAATGGGAAAAGAAATTTTTGTTTATTTTGCATCCTCCATGTTTTAGGGAAGTTCTTTGGGGTCCAAGTTTTCATTCTCTCTGTGACCCCAGGGATCCAGCCTCAGATGCTGAGGCTTAGTTGAGGTACAGATAAAACATACTTTGGCCACAGCACCTGTGATTTGTGTTGCTCTGGGCCAAGTCGTGGCCAGGGCTGTGGTGTCTGGGGCCCAGGTCGTGTCTTGTGTGAGTTGTACGTGGTCTGGGGAGTCTGAACCTTGAGCTTCTGAGGCCCTGTGCCCTTTTTCCAAGTAGCCTGTCAGATGGAATGGGGTTCTGTGGCGTAGCCTCCCCGGAGAGGCACATTTGCAAGGATGCAGAGGAATTCTGTGTTTTCCTGTACTCCTGGGTAGAGCCTCCTAAAATACGGTTCTTTTCATCATCTTAATTTTAATCTATTACTGTGAGAAAACTTTGGTAAAAACAAGTATCAAATGTTGTTGTTCTGTACAGAAGCACCTCCCAGGTAAGTTTGGGACTCACCCCTCCTCAGAGTTGGGCCATGGGCATTTTATAAGCTGAGAGAGTCAAAGGTATTTGTTTCCTTAAATGCGTTTTGCTCAATTCTCCCTGAAGCTTTGGTGGTGGCATGAGGGCATGGGTGTGGGGTGGTATCAGGGTGTGTTCTTTATACTGAAAATTAAAAATATGTAACTAGGGCCGGGCATGGTGGCTCACGCCTGTAATCCCAGCACTTTAGGAAGCCAAGGCAGGTGGATGACTTGAGGTCAGGAGTTCGAGATCAGCCTGGCCAACATGGTGAAACCCCCATCTCTACTAAGAATACAAAAAAATTTAGGCGGGCATGGTGGCGCGTGCCTGTAGTCCCAGCAACTTGAGAGGCTGAAGCAGGAGAATCGCTTGAACCCAGGAGGTGGACGTCGCAGTGAGCCATCACTGCACTCCAGCCTGGGTGACAGAGCGAGCGAGACTCTGTCTCAAAAAAAAAAATTGTGTGTGTGTGTGTATATATATATATGTATATATATATGTGTATATATGTGTGTGTATATATATATGTGTGTGTGTGTGTGTATATATATATGTGTGTGTGTGTGTGTATATATATATATGAACTTTAGCATTCATTCTTGCCATTGATTCCTCATGTTAAGTGCATGTCATCTTGCCAGGCACGCCTGGTGCTGGTGAAACAGCTGAGAACAAGGCATGGTTCTTTGTGCAGAGAGCACTGGGCTCGAGGGGATAGAGCACCCACCTCTGCAAGGTATGAAGGCAGGGGCAGGCCCAGAGACTGCTGAGGAGGGGCTCATCCTCCAGCCAGCCTGGGTGCAGGTGTTGGGGACAGCTTTCTGGTGGAAGAGGCCTTCAGGGGAGATTCACCGGCCAGGAGGAGCTGGGCAGGCAGAGGGCAGCTGGGTGGGGATTGCTCACCAGTGAGGACTGCCTGTGCCAGGCCAGGAGGTTGGGGGCGGGGGAGCACACTGGGTTCCCGAGGCTGAAGCTGTTCAGGGTGGGAGTGAGGGCAGAGACGATAGTCCAGGGTGAGGCTGGAGGGGCAGCAGGGCCCATGAGCCAAGGTCGAAGTCAGGTCTCTTGTGAGGGAAGGGACGGTCATGAGAAGGCAGGAGAGTGTGCCATCAGATTGGCCTTTTGGGAAGTGCCTGGAAGGGGTGAGTGACGACTGGCGGGAGCCTGGGTGCTGATCTCGGGGTGGGTTGCAGTGGCTGGGCCTGGGGGTGCCATTGGTGCAGAGAAAAGAGGTGGATTCCGGGATGTGTGGGTAGGAGGAGAATTTGGCAGGGTTTAGGGGTGTGGGGTATGGAGAAGGAGGGGAAGGGTTTGGGCCACAGGGCAGGTGGGGTTGCCGTTCACTCACTCGGGGAGGGCAGGAGTCACAGCTGGGGTGGAGGGGGTTCGACAGGGGGCAGAGGTTGTCTAGCCACGTGGCCCCCATCCCTTCAGGTTCAGCTGGCTTCTGGCCACACCAGAAAGGTTGTACTGTGATCCTGGACAAAGGGCACTGGGCTGCGCATTGCAGGCCTGGCACGTGACTCTACCCCTGCCACAGCCCTGCTCCCTGAATTTGGCCCTTGACACTTAGGTCCAGTCCAGCAAGCTGGGCCTCTGCTGGGTCCCATGAGGAGGTAGAAGTAGAGCTGATTATAACCCTGTAAGGCACCTGGAAAAGGTGACCCTTTTTCTTCCCTCTTGTGAGTGAGACCCTGGGAAAGGCGGAGGGAAGCCGCGCCCCTCCGTGTGTCTGAGGTCTCTGGGACAGGCTGTATGAAGGGGCCTCTCTCTGGGGTGCCAGAGGGATCTCAGGCTACTGGCTCCCGCTTCTCCCAGCCCAGATCTGCCCTCCTGCCTTCCCTTGTACCCTCCCTCCCCTTGATCCTCTCCTTCCTGCCCATTCTTGAGTCCTCAAATGCCTCTCATGTCCTGGGCTCCCTAATTTCTAAGACTTTCACATCTTCTCTCATGTGACATGCCACTGAGGCTGTGAACAGCACTGGGGACCGAGTTCTGCAGTTCCCAGCAGAGGGCTGTGACGCCCAGAGATGCTGCGGGCGCCAGCGTCAGGCGGCAGAGCTGGGACCTGGACTCCTGATGCCCGGCTCCTTCTCTTTGGGCATCGCTGGCGCCTGTTTCCGAGGTGCTTCCCTTCAGCCTTACATGATGCTTTTCTGCCTAGGAAGGGCAGAAAGAGCAGGAGGAGGAGGTCTCGTAGAAAACAGGCTGTGGTTTATGACCAGGCTGTTTATGGCCAAGAAAAATTGCTGTCTTTCCTTAGACTGTGGCTAACACAACATTTTTTGCGTACTGAAAGAAATACTTCAATGTGGAAAACTGGCTGGAAACTTGGATAACAAGACAGTGTCATAGAGCAAAGTGCTTGCCTGTTAGAACTGTTGGCGGCAAAACCAAAGTGAAATGAGGCTGACATAATGGAGTCATTTAATTTGTGTTAGTTCCTAAAGTCTTTGTGAAGTTACATTAACTCCAGATCTATTAGCCACTGGAAACTCCCCAAGATAGACACAATCAAAGCAGCCATGGCAGGGGAGAGCATTTTTGGCTTCCCAAGCTTGAACCTTTGTGCCTGGTGGCACTGGGGGGCGAGGAGCATTCCACGGCATCCCACTGACATTTGCTGACACCTTTGTGCTCTACAGGTTCACATTTTCCAGCCCTTCAGTGTTAGCTGCAGGTTTGCAGATGTGCCTTGTCACCTCTGTGATCCTTGTCATATTCCTGCTAGCCCATTGAGGAGACCCAGGCTTGGTGAGGTGAAGCCCCTTGCCCCAGGTGGCGCTGCTAGGATGTGTCTGAGCCAGGATCCGAACCTAGGCCATGAGACCCTCCTGCAGTGACTTCTGTCAGACCTGCCTTGCTTGGCCATTCCAAATATGAATCACGTTTTCTCCAGGAGCCAAGCCACGCACCAGGCGCTGCAGATGCGGCTATTAAAAGGACAGTGGCTTTGAGACCCCAGTCTAGCGAGAGGGAAAGGCTGCAGTACAAATGAGCACAGGAGGCGGGGGCATCCAAGGAGGGGCACAGAAGCTGCCCTGGGGTGGGAGGTGTGTGACATGATGCCCTCTGTCTCATGCCCAAAGCAGCGACACTGGATCTTGAACATAAGAACGGGCATTTGCCCATCCGGGCCATCTTCTCAATTCCCTTCGCTCATCTTTCCACTTGGAATGGCTGCGTTAGACATGCACGATCCACGTGCAGTGTGCGTACGTGTGTTCAGAGAATGTGGCTGTGTTCACACATCTTGCACACACACACAAAACCATGACTCCTGTTCCTGCTATCTCTGGACTCCTGTTGTTCTAGCCATGGAGTTTGTCTGAAGTGCAGCTGGAGCTGATGGTCTCTCCATGTGACAAATTGTGGACGGGCCATAAGCTTCTGGGCTGCAGAGACGGGGGTTAGAGTCCTTCCTTCACCACATTTGCATGTGGTGTAATCTCGGGTCAGTGACTTAACCTCTCTGAGCCTCAGTGTTGGCATCTGTGAAACGGGGATGATGTCAGTACCTCCCTTGCTAGGCCGGGATGAGGACAAGTTGGGTGACTCGCTCTTGTGCACCTGGTGTAGTGCCTGTCTTGTATTTAACAACTCATCCGTAAGTGGTAGTCGCTCCACTTATGAGTACTCTTCTGTGGCAGGCTCCTGTCATTCTGAAGAGGAGAACGGGAAGAGGCCCCTCCACATGAGCCTTGTCCGGAGTAGACAACGTCTCCCTTAAGGAGCGGGTGACTTTGTGAATGCACGTATCCCTGCCCACTAGCGACGTGATTCTGGAGCCCAGGCTGGTCTGGCCCAAAGGCCGGCCGAGTCCCATTGTTCCTGCTGGCCTTGTCCCCACCATATTTCAGGGTCGTCTTGGAGCTCTCTGAGATCCCAGGAAGGCAGGAGTCAGACTGGGCATCCCCTCCTGGGAAAGAACATAAGACTTTTAAGTGGGGCTGGTTTCCAGGGCTTGCTGGAGACATGGGGACACACAGATAATAGGCAGCTAAACATGGGGGAGATAATCAGGCTGTGGGCCAGGGGTGCGGGTTTCTCAGCTTTACGTAATGAAAGAGCACACAGAAGCACCATTGTGCTTTTTTTTATTTTTTGTTTTTTTATTTTGTTTTGTTTTTTGGTTTTTTTTTTGAGACAGAGTCTTGCTCTGTCGCCCAGGCTGGAGTACAGTGGTGCGATCTTGGCTCACTGCAGTCTCCCAACCTCCACCTCCCTGGTTCAAGCAATTCCCCTGCCTCAGCCTCCTGAGTAGCTGGGATTACAGGTGCACGCCACCATGCCTGGCTAATTTTTTTGTATTTTTAGTAGAGACAGGGTTTCACCATGTTCGCCAGACTGGTCTGGAACTCCTGACCTCAGGCAGTCCGCCCGCCTCGGCCTCCCAAAGTGCTGGGATTATAGGTGTGAGCCACCGCGCCCGGCCACCATTGTGTTTTTTTTAAAAACAAAAACAAAGCGTGCTTTTTAAAACCTGTTTTATTATACAGTTTCCAGTTATTATTCCATAGCAGAGGGAGAAGACAAAGGAAAAATGCTGGGGTAATACAACATACAGTGCTGTGGGCGTGAGGCCATGAACAGCCAGTTGTGCTCTTTCTTCCTGGCGGGCCCAGGCATTTCCTCACCATGTCACCTGCCTTTGGCTTCCCCAGCCACTGTGATCAGGGCTCCTGGAGCACTCTGTGCACATGTCCTGCACAGCATATGCCTAGTGTCATTGTTTAGACATCAGTCTCTCCACTGGGAGCCCCCTTTGGCAGGAATCCTGTCTTCATCATCTCTCTGTACCGACACCTAGCTGAGTGGCCAATACAGTAGGAACTGGATCGAGTCATTCGAACCCTGATCTGTATCATTCTGTGCAGGATAAGTTATTCTCCAGTAACAAATGGCCCAGAATCTTAGTGACTTAGTGCAGCAGCACAAATACTTGTTTCTCATTTAAGTTCTGTGTCTATTGCAGCCTGGTTTTGGCTCTGCTGCGGTCTGCTTTCATTCAGTGACCCAAGTCCTCTCTGAGACATACTGGGGAGTATGGCAGAGGGAAAAGTGAAGGGGAAGGACCCAAGAATTGCTCATGAGCATTCTGCTTGCAGGTGGCCTGTGTGACTTCCATTATGCTCTCAGTCAAACAAGTCATGAGGCAGCCAGAACCCAACAAGGTGAGGCTGGATGATCCTGTAGGAAGGGGCCCTGAGTGTTTCGGACAGTAACGCAATCTACCGCACTTCCACTGCATTTAAAGACAAACTACCATGCTTATTAAAACTTCGTCTTTACGTTGACTTTTTGCTCTCTTTAAAAGGTGCATGCTTTTTTCTTACCCTATGTTAATATGTCATCTTACAGTTGACTCTGTATTCTCTTATTCTTTTCTATTTTCATTCCAAAGACTTTCATGGAGCACCCAGTTTGTGCTAAACCGTATGTCGGGAATGGTGCTGAGGTTGCACCGAAATGACCATCTGAAACCTGCCATGATATGTATTGATGCACGTGTGTACTCAGCATGTAAATGAGGCTGTTGTTCTTTTCATTGGGGTTTATTGAGCACTTATTAGACTCAACCCCCTATGGCCGGTACAGAAAAACAGCTCTCTCCCTGCTCTTGAGAAGGTTTTGTTACAGTGGGATTAGAAAGGAGCTGGCATTTATTGAGACGCAGAGTGTGCCAAGCATCGTGCCACCTGCAGCCCTAAGGAACAGGCAAATTTATACCCATTTAACACAAGAAACAGACTGAGACAAAAACAGAAGCAATGCGTGCACAGTAGGCTATTCTGGAAGAAGGACCAAGCTTGGGCCTGTGTGCCTCCCTGCAGGAGCCCCACCGCTGCAGGAGCTAGGGCTGAGGAAGGGTGCAGCATGCGTCCTGTGGGAGCAGAGAGCAGGGTCTGATGGGTGAGAAGTCTCAGCCCTGGGTGAGAGCACCCTGCCCTGGCAGAGAGAGGAGCTTGTGGGCCCAGGGTGATCCTGCGTTTCCCACCACTCCGTGTGCCGGGAACCCAGCAAAGTGGGGCTTGGATGCAGGTTATCTGGCATCTGGTCTCCTTCTCTGGGGTGGAATGGGATGACTGTGCCCCATCTCCACCTCCCTTCGAGGATGAGAGATGGTCAAGCCAGTGGCCTTGTCTGTTCTGCCCCCACCTCTCATACTGTGACTCGCTTGGAGGGGCCCAGAGGCACTGGCTGAGCAGAACTCTTCACAACTTCATAGAAACGTCCTATGTGAAAGTAGTAGTCGTAGTTACTGTTTTTCAAAATGGATAGGTACCAAGGACATTTTCCCCTTGCAAAGCCTCCCGCAGACAGGCCTGGTGCTGTGCCGGAAGGCCTTGTGGCGCAGGCTGTGCGAGATGTCAGCCCGAGATGTCAGTCTGCTGTGCTTCCCTCACTGCTGTTTATTGGTGATTAGGTTAAAGGAAATTCTTTTATTTCCAATTAGTCCTCCCCAGTGAACCTGTTCCACATTCAGCACGTAGCCAACTCTGCTCAACATGGAGCCTTCTCTCCCCCGTGTGATGCGTCTCTGCTTTTTAAAAGTAATTGCATTGTTTGTATTTCCCCTTGCACTAGGGTATGTCTCTGGAACAGGGAAGCAGAGGTTTGGTTGGTGAATGTGAATGGATATGGGATGGAAAATCTCAGCCAGTGTCAGCTGGGGGCTCCTGGAGACCAGCAAGCAAAGCTTCTTTGCCTTGGAAACCTTTGTTCTTTGTTCTTGATAAATTTTCTACTATTAAAAATTCATGAATGCATCATTTTCGGCTCAATGAGATCCTAGGACCTATCTTGTCAGCCCCAGTTCTGCAGCTCTGATGGACTCCCCTGAGGAGGACGTGTGCAGACTTCAGTCTGTTCAAAGGAAGCTAATGAGGTGGCTGGGAGCCTCGGGAGCTGCTGCAGCACCCCAGGGTGTCATCCTGGGGAAAAGGTGGCTTTTCAAGGATTGTCATGCGGGGAGAATCTCCCAACATTGCAAGTTATAGAGGGCACATTTCAGAAAACACAGGACTATCCTAAATGGTCATTTTCCACTGCACAATCATTTCTCAATTCCTGAACGTGCAAAGCACTGTGCTAGGGGCTGAGGGCCTGCAGATGAATGGGCCGTCATCCTTGCCTTGTGGTTAGAAGCCTGTGGAAGGCAGCTGGGCCCTGTGTCCCCCAGAGACCCCCTGCTGAGGGACGAAGACAGGCCAGTCCACAGAGAGTTACAGCCAGCCTGGGCTGACTTGGAATAGACTCAGTCCTACAGCTGAGGACAGTTCAGCACCTTCACCTGGCCCCGAGTCCAGTGGATCAGTAGGAGAGCAACAGCCCCAGTTAGGCTCGGTACGATAGGATAGATCAGCTGCATTTGGGCAATGTTATGGACAGCATTCCTCTCCTGCTTTCACGTAAGCTTCTCAAGTGCATGTATGAGCAGCACTGGGGTCTAAGGTCCTTGGTGGGAATAGTACTTTAGGGAAATTAAAAATCTGGCCTCCAGCAAATATTATTTTTCCTCAAATTTGTTGAGGACTCAAAGGTATACAGTGTTGCCATGCTTCCTACCATTTCATCTCTTTATGTTTTCTTAAATAACTAGGCTTTATCATCTTGGAGATGCTGTTCTGCATATTTGTAATGATTTTTCTGTATAGAAATACCTCCGAAGTCCCTTAAGCTTTGGAATGGTTAAGTTGGAAGGGATCTTTGAGATACCGAAAGCCCTGATGCCCTGCCTCACAGATGAGGATCCTGAGGCTCAGAGTGGCCTTCTCAGTGCCTGGTAGAAGAGCCTCGAGTAGAACTTGGCTTTCGGCTTCTTAGATCATAGCCACTGAATCTTCTCCAAGGCGGAGGATTCTTAGAGAGTGTTGAGTTAGTGCTCTGTGAGAGAGTGCATTCCAGAGTTGGCTATGAACTGATTGTCCACACACCCTGTGGAGAGACCACCATCCATCTGTCAGTCTGGAGAATCCCGCCTCATTCTCCCAGACATCATCTCTGCCCTGAGGCCTTCCCTGGCCTCCTGAGGTGCTCCCCCGCTTTTTTTTTTTTTTTTTTTTTGAGACAGAGTCTTGCTCTGTCGCCCAGGCTGGAGTACAGGTGGCGCGATCTCTGCTCACTGCAAGCTCCACCTGCCAGGTTCATGCCATTCTCCTGCCTCAGCCTCCCAAGTAGCTGGGACTACAGGTGCCCGCCACCACGCCCGGCTAATTTTTTGTATTTTTAGTACAGACAAGGTTTCACCATGTTAGCCAGGCTGGTCTTGATCTCCTGACCTCGTGATCCACCCGCCTCGGCCTCCCAAAGTGCTGGGATTACAGGCGTGAGCCACCGTGCCTGGCTAAAAACAAACATAATTTTTTTATAGTTGCATAAGTCAATTCTACATATATACCATAATTTACTAATCATGCCCTATCATCAGTCATTTTAATTGATTCCATTGTTTCTGTATTTTAAATAACATAGAAATAAGCATCCTTGTGTTTGAGACTTGGTCTGTAGTTGTTTTTTTTTTTTTTTTTTTTTTTTTTTTGGTAGAACTGGTTCTCGGAGGGAATCCCTCACTGGTTCCGACGCCCTTTAGGTCCTGTGTTACATCTATCAAATGGCTTTGCAGGTATGCTGTAGCATGAAGGTGTGCTTAATTTTCATGAAAACCTGAACATTTCCTGGTAGATCATCTAAAAGTGAAAGGGAAAGGGGCCCACGTGACCTGAGGCCATGAAAGGAGAATGAGTTGTGTTGCCTTCAACTGAAAGGACGAGTCTCCCATCCCTCCAAAAGCTCCTACATGGCCACAGGAAGCCACGCTCACCCAGGGAATAAGGATGAAATGAAATGAGTGAGCAAAACAGTAAATAAGTGAAAATGGGCAAATTCCTTAACTCCTCTACACCTCAGCCATCCTTGGGAAGCCTAGGGTTAAATCTAACCTTCCTAGAAGTATCTGCTCTGCTGTTTCCGTAGCCCGGGCTTAGAAGGAGGCAGACGCAGCATTGTTAGCCTGTTAGCCATGATTTAGTGCAAGGCTCCAAGGGAGAGCATGAGAGCCACTGGGGTGGGAAAAAATAGCAGTATTATCACCGATTTCTATGTATTGTATCCAAAGGTCTATGAAAAATTAAACCTTGCTACATGATACTTAATATGCAGGCCACATTAAATATCATGTAGTCTTTAATGAGAGACACCTCCGTCTCTCGTTAGTGGTATTAGTTCTCTATTGCTGCTGTAACAAATTATCACAAGCTTATTGGCTTAAAACAACACACATTTATTATTTTCCACTCCTGGGGGTCAGAGGTCTGAACATGGAGGAGTAAGCTGTATGCCTGCTGGAGGCCTGGGGGGAATCTGTTCCCTTGCTCCTCCGGCTTCCTGAGGCCCCTGCACTCCTTGGCTCATGGCCCAGCCTCCCTCCAGCCTCTGCATAAGTTTGCCTCCTTCTGTGGCTCCAACCCAACTGCCTCCCTCTCTCCATTATAAGGACCCTTATGCTGCTCAAGGCTGTGATGCTGGGCCTCCCTGAGCTGACAGGGGAGGGAGCTCTGGTGGGTTCTTGCAGAAGCTCTTTGGGTCCTGCTGTGAAAGTCCATGTGTCCTCCTGGTCACCGTGGCCACATGCTTCCAGTGGGGCTGGGAGAATGGCAGTGGGTTCTCCAGGATTGGGACTGATGTCTGGCACCATGTCAAGGTCCAACTTCAGGCTCACCCCAAGTTTATTCTGGCAACATGGATAAATGTTCCAATGACTAGATGGAAGAGGCAGGATATGATGGTGTTTGGATGATAGATACTACTGAAAAACCACAAATACTGTGTGTGTGTTGAATGAATGGATGAATGAAAAAAAGAGAACATACAACTTGTGTTCTTACACCTTGGTGCCTTTGCTCAGCTTCACGGCTTATGGATGGCTATCAAGTTTATTCTGATGTGTTATAATAGCTATTTAGCATGTGATATGTTACAGACACTGAATCTTACTGTTCTGGGATCTTGGGATCTTTGGAGTGCCGATTTTCTTCCCGGAAATCTCTGCGGCCAGTGGTGCCTTTGCCCGAGTTCTTGTCCTGCATCCAGGAAGACTGAGGTACAAAGACATATGAAGGGTGAACAAGATGAAGATGAGCGTCATTGAGTGTTACAACAGCTAGAGGAGACCACAGTGGATAGCTCCTCTTTGTAGGCAAGTCATCCTTCAAGTGTTCAGTTCTCAGCAGAGAAGAGGCCCTGGAGAGGGTAGCTCCTCTGAAACTGGTTGTCCTGATGTCTGCAGTTCTCAGCAGAGAGAGGAGCTCCTCTCTGCAGCTGGTTGTCCCATCATCTCCAGCTATCAGCAGAGGGGTTATTTGTCTCTGCAGCTGGTCATCCCGTCATCTCTCTGCCCTGTTTGTCCTCTGGCTATCCTCTGTCATCCTCTCTTCTACCCTGGCTGAGTCTGGGGCTTTTATAAACCTCACAGGCGAGGAAGTGCCTGCCGACTGGTCCATAGGCAGCCATGGGTGGGTCCAGAAGAGGCAGCACAAGTCCCCCGCTTTGAGATCAGAGCAGGCACCAGGAGCTGAGAGAGGCCAGGCAGTGGGAGCAGACACCCCTGAGCCTGCAGGGATGAGGGGAGGGTCCTTTCTGGGGCCCCCAAGGGTGCAGGCTACAGGCTGCAGAAACGCCCAGGTCCTGCACCTGGGAGGATGGCTGCAACCACACCTGGGAAGGCAGTTCCTGCCTGTTCCTGGCTCCCCTGAGAGCACAGGGAGGCTTGGCTCCATAGCTGCAGTTTCAGTGGCTGTAGCCCTGCCCAGTAGGGTGGGGCTCTTGCCTGCTCCGTAGAGCAGGAGGCCTGGGTCTGCAGCTATGGTTTGGGTGGTGGTTTGGGCAGCTGTGGCACCCCAGGTGCTCCCACTCCAATTCAGAAGGGGTGGGGCTCTCACTGGCTCCATGGAGTATACAGCCCCAGCCATGCCTCCCTGCCATGCTCCCTGCCACAGCCGGCATGATGGCAGCAGCTACTGCCATCATATAGAAAGAAGGCCCTTGAACCAGAGCCTGTGTGCTCACAGCTATCCCTGCTCTGTGTAGTGGGCAGACGGTAGAAATGTGCAGGCGCAGCTGAGGACACACGTGGGTTTGTCCGAGGACACATGTGGGTTTCCTGCTGTCCTCCTCTTCAGCATATACCAGGAGAAGGACGTTCTGTGTTGGGATCTCATGTCCTGTAATCTGCCTTGTTTGTTTTTTTCTTCCTGTCTCTAGCTCTGAAGGGGTTACAAAAGGAGATGTTTTGTTATTTGTTTGCTTGTTTTATGGAACTTGGTATTGGGGACACGTGGACCCTGAAGGGAAATCCTAAAACGTTAGGGGTTAAGCCACCGAACAACCATTATTTGTCCCTACTGGCTCCTCACGGGCACCACTGGGAACAGATTGTGACTTGCTGTGGAGCCCCCATGCAAGCTGAGCCCCACCAGCTGCAGTGGCAGGAGTGCAGAAGGGACAGCAGCTCTGTCACTTGGGGCTCTTCCTGAGGGCCAGGTGGGGTGCTTGGGTGTCCCCCACATGGTCACCGTCCTCTCCACAACTCTGGCTAACAGGCAGGATTCTGGCTTCTCCGTTGAGGACGGAGAGATTGGTGAGTCCTGGCCTACAGCTGGCGAGAGGCAGAGTCCAGACTTGACAGCTGGGTCACCTGTCACAGTGGTTGGTAGCCGTGGGGCGGTGTGGCCTGTGGAAGGCACAGATACGGGTAGTAGTGGAGCTGGCCTGACAAAGGGTCAGGCTGACAAAAAGGATGAATGACATTGAGAGGCGGGAGAACCCAAGGAGGGGTGGCCAGTTCAGACCAGGTACAGAGGGAGAGGGCTCTGGAACACGGGGTGTCGGGGCTCAGGGCCAGGCTGAATCTTCCGGAGGGCGATGCTGGGCAGACTCACCCCAACAGGAGTCTCACTGGGCCTTTGTTCTTTTGTAAAGGCTTTTGCCACTTGGGTGTCCAAGCTGTGGGAGGTTCAGTGGTGGTCAGAGGAGTCTCATCAAGGGATGGGGCTCAGGCCATTGTCTGTGGACAGCAGCTGCATGCACTGCAGGGTCCAAAGTATGCCGACCACAGGTGATGAGGCCAGACGGGGTTATATTTAAATTCCAACCTGGCATTTATTTGCCATCCATCTTGGGCAAGATACTTAACCCCTGACACCTTGATTTCCACATCTGAAAAATGATTCCTCGTGACTAATACATGAGCTGTTCTCTATAAAGTGTCTGCTCAAGCATCTGACACAGGTGCTCAGTCTGTGAGAGCCTCTCGCCGCCGCCTCCTTCCTCCATCGCCCACAGCCCTTGCTCTCTGTGTCTTGGGTTGTGACCTAACTTAAGGCTTTGCTGAGACTCCTGGGTCTTGTGTGGTCTGAGCCAGTGGCCAGGGTGGCCTCATTGGCCCTTTGAAGTTCTCCACCTGCCTGGGGTCTTGAGTTAGCCTCTTTACTGTGTCCCTGCTAGGATGATATCACAGGGCCAGGTACTGGGTGGCTCCCTTCGCCCTTCTCTTCTGGCTTGTTGGCCTAGTGGCTGTCCTGGCTTAAGCAGTGCCTGTAATTGTAGCTTGAGACATGGTCCTGGTCGCTGGGTTCTCTGTCTTTTGTTCTGCTTCCATTTGTTCCCTATAACAAAGCTCTTAGTGCCCAGGGAGCCACTGGGGAGGGGTGTTGGTGGTGGGAAGGTGGACCCTGGCAGTGCTCTTCCTTAAGAGGGCTTGCCAGCGTTGGTGCCCAACAGCTCAAGGTCCACGGCTCAGCTTCACCTCTCACCAGCTGTGGGGCGAGAAGCAACTCATTCCCTCTCTGAGCCTCCATTTTATTGGCCATAAAATGGGGATAATGACCTATTTTACAAGCTTTCCTTGGAGGCCATTGATTTATGGATGTTGTGGCTCCCAAAAGAGTACCTGGCACAGAGGAAGCCCTCAGCAAGTGCTCGGTGAAGTTGGCGTTTCAAGCCCTCTGTTGGTGTTGGCATCTTAGGCCAGGAACTTCACCTAAATACTTCATCAAACTCTCCTGACAGCTTTTGGGGCTTGACAACTGTCTATAACCTTATTTTACACACGGGTAACTGTGGTTAAATGATCTGCTCCCAGTCAGAAAGTGGCCAAGCTGGGAGCCAGTCCCCTGTGTGACTCGGAATGCAGGGCTCCCCCGTGTGACTCGGAATGCAGGGCTCCCCCGTGTGACTCGGAATGCAGGGCTCCCCCGTGTGACTCGGAATGCAGGCCTCCCCCGTGTGACTCGGAATGCAGTGCTCCCCCGTGTGACTCGGAATGCAGGGCTCCCCCGTGTGACTCGGAATGCAGTGCTCCCCCGTGTGACTCGGAATGCAGTGCTCCCCTGTGTGACTCGGAATGCAGTGCTCTGTGTCAGGCTGTCATCTCTGGCATGTGTTCCCGAGGGCAGTGGTCACATCTCATGGTGTCTACACAACTCCCCTTTTCCTTGTGGAAAGGAAAAGGCACTCCTTACATGTCTAAGGAAGCTGACTGCACACCCTGTCCTGCCTCGGGGCGTGTCTGTAAATAAGTGTGGTGCCTCCGCCATCCCAGACACCGTGTTCCTGGGGCTACAGAGTGGTCGGCCTCCCTTCAGGAACCTGGAGTCCCTTTCTTGGTGGAAGCAGCCCTTTTGCAGAAGAGCGTGGGTCTCTTTTATCCAATTAGACACATTTTACTGAGTGATGGCTCTGTGCTGAGTGCAGTCGGGATAACAGAAACTGTTGAGAAGTCAGCCTTCCTGTAAGCCTGCAGAGCAGGCACAGACGCAAATGCCATCATGCAGAGCCGGGGGTGGGGGCAGCCACCTGGAAACTGGGGTCGGCAAAGACTGTGAGTCTCATGGAGACATCTGAGCTCAGAGCTGTGGGAACGGTGTGGTTCCAGCATGCTGAGATAATGGGGAAAGGAAAGAAAAGGCATTGAGGTTTAAAAAACCAGAGCATTTAGTGGCAGGAACAAAGACACACACCTGCCAGCTCAAGAGGTGTGAGTGTGTTGTCAGGGGAAGGGAGCCGTGGGGACTGGCCTTGGGACCTGGAAGCTCAGGGGCCAAGGCGGCCACTTTCCTTCCCTCCTTCTGGGATGCCTATCTCAGCTGCTGTCCTCATGCCTGCAGTGGCAGTGAGTCCTTTCAGCCCAAGTCCCCATCACCAACTGACTCGCGCATGATTGGCATCTGACCCACAAGGGGTCTGGCTGGTTTGCATCAAGAGTCTGTTTGTGGGCCAGTCAGCCACCATGTCACACTCAGGGTCTTTTTGTTCAGGGAGCCTCTCCTCAGGGGCTGTGGGTGGAGCTGGAAGGTTGGCAGAAACCTCTGATACATTTGGGAACAGAAACGACGTCAGTTTGATTAGAACACGGGGCCTTTGGAGAAGACGAAGAGGAGGCTGGGATGGTTGGCAAGCCCTTTGTGATGGGCTCCCCTTATTCTGCTGATGGCTCGGCCCGAGGGGGGCAGTGTGACCTGCATGGCACAGGGGGGTCCTGTGTCCCCTGAGCAAGCGAGTGAGCCACCCCTGCGGCTGTGGCTGAGGGTTTCCTGCATGGCATGCACCTGGTGCCGGGCCTTCTGGGCCAGGGAATGTGACACTTGCTTCTTTCTCCCTCTGCCTCTCCAAGCTTGGACAGCTGGAGGTGGAGAGAGCACAGCTCTGTGTACTGAGCACACGTGCCAGGCGCCAGAAGGCATGGTACGGTGTTGCCATCCCCCTTTTATTCCCGAGGACACCCAGACACAGCGTGCCCTACCTAGGTCCCCAGAGTCAACTTGTGACAGGTCTCCTGCTGTCCCTGCCTCTCTCTGACTCCAGAGTCCTTGCTGTCTGCCAAACATCCCTTCATTTATTTTAAAAAGAAAAGGCTACACGTAGAGCGATACAGGTTGCCTGCTGTTCCCCTCCGATAGGTGCCGCCCACCCTAGCGTGCCCCGTCCAGGACAGCCACCTCAGTCGCCCGAGTCCCCCAAGGCTGCAGGGCAGGTACGCGGCCCTCCCTGCTCATGGCACCCTCCCAGGTCTGCTGTTTCCATGGCAACCCTCTTGGCCTGGGCTGGCCCAAGCTTCCGGACTAGGGTGGCTGTGGCTGTTGGACTCATTGGAACTGTGTTAGCTATTTTTAGCTCCTGTGAGGAAAATCTTGTGGCTTATAAATGTCACAGGATCAAATATGTTTTCAGAGCATGGGGCCCGCTCTGTGTGGAATGCGATTTTGCTGTCTCTGAGGAAGTGGCCTTTGAAGCCGTGTCCCTCCCGCTCGAAGGCAGCAAGCACCTCAGGGCCTTATCCGGTGTCCTCACTGACATCCCATCCCCTCTTCAGCTCCTGAAATCCCATCAGATTTGTGGGTTAACTGAGAGAGAGTGGCTGGGTGTTTTTACCACAGAATTCACCCCTCAGCACGGCCTGAAGGAGGTGCTTGTCCTCCAGGGTGTGGGAGGCCACTCTGTAGGGATAGGGGAGTAGGAGGCATAGGACCTGCCCGGGGTGGCACAACGAGTCTACGCGGAGCCGGGATGGAAGCAGTCTGGCCAGTGCTTCCCCTCTGCATCCACAGGCGCCAGGCTCTGCTGAGCTGAGCAGTGCTGTTCCAGGCACACAGGTCTTTGTTTCTTGTCAATCAGAAGGGCCTGTCCTGATTGGAAACAATTCCTAGGAGGCATTTGCCATGTACGAGACACCGTGGTGGAGGGTGGAGAAATAGGTCAGGCGTAGGCCCAACATCAAGGAGACGCTATGCTGGCAGCTGATGGAGACACATGCCTCAGAAACAACATCCCATGGGCCGGGCGCGGTGGCTCACGCCTGTAATCCCAGCACTTTGGGAGGTTGAGGTGGGCGGATCACAAGGTCAAGAGTTTGAGACCAGCGTGGCAAACATAGTGAAACCCCGTCTCTACTAAAAATACAAAAAATTATCTGGGCGTGGTGGTGGGTGCCTGTAATCCCAGCTACTCAGGAGGCTGAGTCAGGAGAATTGCTTGAATCCGGGGGGCAGAGGTTGCAGTGAGCCGAGATCACACCACTGCACTCCAGCCCAGGCGACAGTGTGAGACTCCATCTCAAAATAAAAGAAAAAAAAAAACGAAACAACATCCCATGTAGGGTGAAATGCACGAAAGAACAAGGTGCTGTGCACACAGGGGTGGGTGTTTCGAACGAGGAGCATCGGAGCTGGTTCTAGGCACAGCCACACTCTCGTCAGGTCTCCGCGTGCTAACCAGCTGCCTCCCTTCCAGCCACACGGCGGGAGAAACGAGGACCCAGACACAGTCTTGAGGGCCAAGATGCATCCATAGTTGAGCATGAGGGAGGGCGGGGCACTGGGGCAGTCATGCTGGATGGCAGCAAGGCAGACCACACCAGGCATCACAGAAGCGCTGCAGAGCTTTCAGTTTCTCTTGGAAAGAAGCCCCTGGGACCTATTTGAGGATTCCTCGACGTTAGTGGACACAGAATGTTAGCACAGCCCTCACGAACAGGAAACTCAGACTGGGGGTGAGTCTGGTCGGTAGCTGGCTGAAAAAGGTGGATTTCCTATTTCCAGTAGTCCTGACCCACATTCCCACTTTTGCTGTTGTTGTTGTTTTCCAGTTAGATACTTTTCATCTCCTTCCAATTGTGCAGTTCTCGAGGAATCCTGCATTGCCTGTTTCTGGACTGGCTGCCTGGGAGGGAGCCTAAATCCCTTCCTGTCTTAGAGCATTTGCATCAGTGGGGTTGGAGCCTTTCTCAGTTTTGATAAGTAGGAGCTGTTTAATGTTGTATTTGCTTCACGTGTTGATGCTGAACGTGGGCGCTTGAAACCAAGTTTGCTCTTGGATCCATCTCGGAGGAGCCCCTGGGTCCGTCCAGGGTTTTTTTGCAGTGTGTGCGGCTGGTGCTGTGTGTCACAGCATGCAAAGAACCCACACGGAGATGATCAGGCTCCTGAACTGAACCTCAAGAACCCAGTGAACAAGACCTACATGAGGCTCCTACAGGATCCCTTCTGGCCCTGATCATTCCTTCATCACTGTTACCAGAAACGGGGAGGTGAGGGTAGGAGGTGGTCAGATGGTGCCGATGGCTGGTGCAGCTGGTGGCAGAGGCTTTGAAATCCGACCCCTTTCACAAGAAAAAATGTGCTTGATCCCTACCATTTATGTAACCAGTACTATAATAAAAACATTAAATATGCATCAACATAAAATTAAATACAGAATCCTTATGCTTATAATACTTAAATCTGTGAAACCGCTTTTCCAAATTATATACATGCCAAATTGTAAGACCAATACAAATAAAATTACCAGATTAACTTGATGAGATGTTTTGGTACAACTAAATTGCCAGTAGAATTGTGAACGTATATGGACAGCTGCAGAGCTGGCTCCTTTTATTTTAACATGCCTGTGTATACAATGGAGTGGATCTGTATTCTCAACATTGGCCTTTATTCAAACCAGGGCAAATCTTCACTGACACGCTGTGATGTCACTTGAGTGTCAAGTGGCGTGAGCACCTCTACCTTTGTTCCTTATTGTTAGCTGGTGGCAGTGAAGGTAATAACACTTGCACAAGCAGCCAAAGACACAAACGCAAACACAGGTCCTGAGATTACCTCGCAGCTTCTTCTTACAAATGGCCATTTAGATGATTTAGAATATGCTTATATTGATTTTTAAAAGCTTGGTCTGCTGGGGCTGCCGTAACAAAGTACCACAGACTGGGTGGGTGGCTTAAACTGCATACAGTTATTTCTCACAGGTCTAGAGGCAAGCTGTCTGGCATCTCTTCTTATAAGGACACTAATCCAATCCTGAGGGCCCACCCTTATGATCACACGTAACCATAGTTACCTCCTAAAGGCTTTACCTCCTAATACCGTCACTTTGAGGGGAAGCGTACAACATATGAATTACTGGGGGACGCAGTCACTCAGTCCATCACAACTGCTTTTTTGAGGTAAAATTGACATACTAAAAACTACACATACGGAAGTGTACACTGTGATCATTTGGGGCATCTGTTTACACCCAAGAAACCATTGCTACAATCTGGACAGTGAGCATATTCATCACCCCCAAAAGCTTCCCTGTGCCCTCATCATCGCTCCCTACCCCTGGCGCAGTCCCCAGGTAACCACCAATCCAATCTACTCCCTGTCGCTGCAGATAACTTTGCACTTTCTAGAGTTCTATTAATATGGGGATGGATCATACAGTACTATTCCTCTTTGATCTGGCTTCTTTCACTCAGGATAATTATTTTGAGGTCTGTCCACACTGTTCAGTGTATCAGTGGTTCTCTACATCGTCTGCAGCATTGGATGTGGTCAGTCTTTTTCATTTTAGCCATTCTAACAGATGTGTAGTGGCATATCATTATGGTTTTAATTTGAATTTCCCTGATCATGAGTAGATATCATTGTATATAGTGATATATTTTTATCATATGAAGCATTTTTATATGTCTGCTTGCCGTCTGTAGATTTTGTTGGTGAAGTATGTGTTCAGGCCCTTTATTTAAATAAAGTTGGGCTGTTTGTTTTGTCACTCTTGCATTTTGAGATCGTCACATACTCTAGATACAGGCTGTTAATCAGATTTATGATTTGCAAGTATTTACTTTCAATCTAGTTTATCTTTTCAAGCGTCACTCAGAGAAGTTTTTAATTTTGATGAAGTCCAATTATCAGTTTGGAGTCATGTCTTCTATGTCTTTTCTAGGAAATTTTTTCCTTTAATGTTTACTTCTACACATTTTTTTTGAGACAGAGTCTTGCTCTGTCACCCAGGCTGGAGTGCAGTGGCACGATCTCGGCTCACTGCAACTCTGCCTCCTGGGTTCAAGCGATTCTCTTGCCTCAGCCTCCTGAGTAGCTGAGATTATAGGTGTGCGCCCCCATGCCTGGCTGATTTTTGCATTTTTAGTAGAGACAGTGTGTCAGCATGTTGACCAGGCTGGTCTTCAACTCCTTGACCTCAAGTGATCCACCTGCCTCGGCCTCCCAAAGTGCTGGGATTACAGGCGTGAGCCGCAACTCCTGGCCTACTTTTACAAGTTTTATAGTTGTAGGTTTTACGTATCTTAAAATGATCCATTTTGTTAGTTGTTGTAGATAGTGCAAGGTGGATCGAAGTGGGTGTTTTTGCATGTAGATAATTGATTATTCCATCGTGTCCTCTGCCTCTGAATCCAGGGCACTGGAAACAGCCATCCTCTTACTTCCTGTGGCAGGCAGTTTGGCCTGCGTCTCAGGCTTGGTGTCTAGAGTCAGACTACTTGGATTCAAGTCCAGCTCTGCTTCTGACAAGCCGTGGGGTCTTGGAAAGTTAGCTGACCTCTTTACCTTCAGTTTCCACATCTGTAAAGTGTGTTAATAATAGAATGTGCTGGTTTGGGTTGTTATAGAATCCGATTAGAGAATGGATGTGATGTGCTTAGCACAGTGCCTGGTGCAGAGGAAGTGCTCAGTAGAGAACAGCATCGACACTGTCACTGCTGCCACCACCCTGGCAGTGTGAGTCGACTGCCACAGCTGCTTTCCAGGTGCCCCACCAGCACCCCTCGGCCCCATCCTCTGGCGACCTGCCTTGTCTTGCAGTATCTTGTTCTCAAACATAGGCATCCTAGGATCTTCACCTCTGAGTCTTTTTTCTATCCTCTTGTTCCCTTTTCTTGGCACACTCTTTGCCCAGGCCTTTGTTCACTGCTCCCGGGGAGAGCCCTCTGGTGACCCGAGCTGCCGGGCTCCTGTGCAGTCTTGCTGTTTCAGGTCCTGTTTGGTGCATTCTACTTTAGTCTTCCTTAAAAGTTCCGTGAAATAGAAAGCACCACGCCTGGAGTCACACAGACCTAGGTTCACACCATGCTTTCCTCACTTGTTTAACCATTTGATTTAGGCAAGTCACCTGAACTCAGCCTGACCCTTCTTCTGTGACAATAATAATAATAAAATGATTTCCTCTTTTGTTATTGTGATTATTGTGAAGATTAAATGGGATTCTGGATACAAAAGCCCCTTACGCAGTGTCTGGCATGCAATTTGCTATTAATCTAATTCTGAAAGTAATGTGGATCAGGGCTTTAGCCACAAAAATGCAAAAGGAAGAAAAAGAGCCATTTTGAGACTGAAGTTAGTAACAGCTTAAGTTGTGGGTAAGAAGGTAAAGTATTTCTTCAGCTTTTAAGCTTGAGGAGATGATTATTTCCTTCACCTTACTCCTTAGAAAGAAGGAAATTAGAAGAGAAAATTTATCCTTGATGAAAATACATGTTTGTGTGATCCTGATGCGCAAATGATTGGAATGTGGCAATTTAGGTGGCCAGAACACCTTCCTCCCAGATAATGCTTAATTGCCACAGTGATGAGAAGGTATATTCACCTGCTGCTTGGCCTTAAGCGTTTCAAGAGCATGTTTTTCTTCACTTGCATTCTATTTGAAACAACTAAGTAATCACTATTCAATCTCTGGCCTTTAGAAGATCTCTGTGAGCCCCTTTTCTGTCCTGTCAGTGCCCTTTGGTGCAGACTCAGAGGTGCGTGGAGTGAGCTCGGCATCTGTAATCACATAATGAGAAGAACAGAGGCCTACCTCTGCCTCCCAGCCTCTAACTCTGCAGCTTGAGGTACAGCTTCTCCTAAGTTTCAGTGCCCTGTGCAGAAAATGGGCATTTATTCCTTACATGAGCAACAGACATGTAGTGCCTCTGGCCCTCTGGACTTGACATTCTAATGGTACGAACAGAAGAGGAGGTGCTGGAGATCCAAGGACTTTGTCTGCAAGCAAGAGCAGTCTGCTGGGGAAAGTGGCAAAGGCCGGGATGGTGGCAGTGAGGACACCTGCCCCCAGGCAGCAGAACGTGACTGTCACATTTCTTCTCATCTTGAACCCTCATGGCACAGTTTTTGTTCAGTGGTTTGAATAGGAAGGCGACAGAAAAAAATGAGTAGCTCCAACTGGCCTGACTCGTGTGCTAACCACTGGGACACCCAGCTGTGACCACTTCGAAGAGAACGGTGGGGCCTGCAGGCATCAAGCCCCTATAGGAGTAGGGCTTTGTGTGAGGAGCGTTGGCAGAGGCTTTGTTCCTTCCCATACCAATTCTGTGAGGTGTCAGGGTGATTCTCCAACTTCTTAGGAGGAAGAAATGGAGCTCAGAGAGGTGGCGTAACCAGGCCTGTGTCACAGGTGGGGAGGTGGCGGTGGGGATGTGCGCGCCTGGGTCTGGCTGACTCCAAGCCGTGAGCAGGTGAGGCACTCTGTTTGGCAGGGCGTTGTCCTCGGTTGACTCACCTCACCCTTTTATAGTTCATTTGTTTGGCTGTAAGGCGGGTGCGGCTCCCTCCCTGCCGCGCCTCCTCTTGCCGCATGCCATGTGTTTTGGTGCATACCAAAGAGGCCTTCGGAGCTGGTGTTCACTTACTGGTTGGTGTGCAACCACTACATCAGTCCGTTTTTTCTGCTCTTGTAGCCTAATTGAATTGTCAGTTGCTGAATGTTTTCACCAGTGTTTAAGTTGTTGATTTCTGGGACTATATCAAGAAACCCATGGTGATTTGGGAAAGGTCTGATTCATACCTGTAGCATTCTAAGGTTTGGGGGTTGGTTTGTTGCTTTTATCACCAGTTCTTGGAAGGCCCTTGGCTGGTGCAGCCTTGTCAACATGATGTCTGTTATGCCTCACAGCGGCAACTTAAGCATTCATCCTGTTGAAAGTCACAACTCGGCCAACTGGTTATCTTGCTTAATGCTGTCTGTTCAACAGCAGATTTGACTTGAGCCCTGGTTTACTCATTGTGAAATCAGCAATACCACTCTGGACAAGTTCCCCAACCACCCTGAACTTCAATTCCCTCAGCCTTGAATTCGCGAGAACCATTGTTAATTGACAGGCATCATCTGCTGACAGGTTCACCTTCCATTTCGTAGGCAAGCGATAAAAAGCCTGAGCTCCGCGGTTTGCCAAGTAAAAAGTATTTGTGCATATTGTTACTTTGAATCCTCATGAGAACTCATTGAGGATGAAAGTTGCCTTCATTCCATAGACGAGGACTAAGCAGAACCTGGACTGTGGACCAGCAATCTATCCTGGGCTCCTGTGGCCACACGCCCCGCTTCCCCCACGGTCACCTGAAGCTGGACTTACCACTCGCCTCGCCATCATGGGACAAAAACTTTCTAGGGGGTGCCGTGCTACCTTGAATGATTTTATAGACCTTTGTTCTGCAGGATGTGGTGTATAAGCTGAGATGTCTGTGTTGAAGGTGGGGCAGAGTTATTTATATCAGACATGTATAATCAATAACAGTTTCTTTTCTTTTTAAATGACAGTTTTATTGAGATGTAATTAACATATCCTTTGATGCACCTATTTACAGCTCGTTAACTCATTGGTATTGAGGATACTCACAGAGTTGTGCAGCCGTTACCATGATTGATTTTAGAACACTATCACCTACCATGCTACAAAAACTCCTACCCATTGGCCACCACTCCCCCTTTCCACTTCCCCCACCCCCAGCCCTAGGCAACCATTGATCTACTTTTGGTTTCTATGGATTTACCTATTCTGGACATTTCATATAAGTGGAATTCTGTGTGTGTTCTGTTGTGACTGGCTGCTTTACTCAGCATGTAATGTAATCAGGGTCTATTCATGTTGAAGTATGTATCAATACTTCCTTCCTTTTTACTGCTAAATGATATTCCATCACATGGATATTGCACATTTTATTTAGTGGTTTATCGATTGATGGACCCTTACGTTGCTGCCCCTTTTGTCTGTCACGAATGACGCTACTGTGTGTGCTCTTGTGTGCGTTTTTATATGGAAATGTTCTCATTGCCCACGGATGTCTCCTAGAAATGAAATTGTTGGGTCATACGGTAACGCCACGTTTAATGTTTTCTGTTTTTTCTTTAGTCAGCTTTGGTGAGTTACATGTTTTCTCCTTGAGAATTATTTCTCAATTTTATTATATCTAAGGTTTTAAAGTTTATTGGCAAAAAATTATTCATAATTTTCTTTTACCCTTTTACAGTCTTAGTACCTGTAATGAAATCAGGTTTTCTTATTCCTAATATTATTATTTGTGTCTTTGGTTTTTTTTCTCCTGTGATCATTCTCACAGAAATTTCTGTTTTAATTAGTTTGTTATTGTCTTTTTTATTTTTATTTTTTTGAGATGGAGTCTCACCATGTCTCCCAGGCCGGAGTACAGTGGTGCAATCTTGGCTCACGGCAACCTCTGCCTCCTGGGTTCAAGCGATTCTCCCGCCTCAGCCTCCCAATTAGCTGGGATTACAGGCGCCCACCACACTAGCTAGTTCTTGTATTTTCAGTAGAGACAGGGTTTCCCCATGTTGGCCAGGCTGGTCTCGAACTCCTGACCTCAAGTGATCCGCCACCTCATCCTCTCAAAGTGCTGAGGTTACAGGTGTGAGCCACTGAGCTTGGCCTGTTATTGTCTTTTTAATATTTCGGTGAGCAGGCTTGGTTGACAGGCTCACCCTGATAATGGGAAAGGCTGCAAAGGGGGCACCTGTGCGTGAGGCCTGGCTCCTAGCCCCAATCCTGTGGCCAGATCAGGGTTGCCGTAATTGGAAACCTTGATAAGAATTTTACATTTGAAGGTGGAGGTGGAGGTAGGGTGGGGGGCTCCTCCTAAAGGAAGGGGCTGCCGTAATGAACAAAACTTAGGGAGAAGGGCATCGGGCCAGCCTGGTAATTTGTGGCCTCTCCTGCCTGCCCCTCTGTCTTAGCCACATTGGCTTCCTTGATGTCTTCTGACCTTCCCAGATGTCCTCTAGCCTTAGAGCATCAGCATTTGCTGTCTGCGCTCCCTGGGATTCTCTTTTCCTTACTCAAGGCGAAGCCGTTATATTGGCAAAAACAAAAGGGAGGGTGTGAACACCAGGGCAGGGGTCATGGGGAACACGCTAGGATCTGTACGTCACAGTGTGTGTGTGTGTGTGTGTGTGTGTGTGTGTGTGTGTGTGTGTGTGTTTTATGAACCATCTTCCCCCACTCAGTGTAAGGAGGGCTCTTCGTTTTGTTCGCTTCTATTTCCCTTCCATCTAAAACAGTGCCTGGTACAACGTAGTTCCCGGATGAAAGAGTGAACCTAATACTCAAGGACCCTGTGATGCAAGGCTTATGATTCGCACTCCACAGATAAGGAAACTGAGGCTCAGGGTGGGTCAGTAATGTTCCCACGGCCATGCAAGTGCCAGTGGACAGAACGTGGACAAGAATCCAGGTCTGTTGGACTCAAAATCCCGTGCTGTCAATTCTCCTGGCTCCCTTATACTCTCTCTCTCTCTCTCTCTCGCTCTCTCTCTCTCTCTATATATATATATACACACATATTTCTTTTTTTTTTTTTTGAGACGGAATTTTGCTCTTGTGGCCCAGACTGGAGTTCAGTGGTGTGATCTTGGCTCACTGCAACCTCTGCCTCCCAGGTTCAGGTGATTCTCCTTCCTCAGCCTCCTGAGTAGCTGGGATTACAGGTGCCCGCCACCATGACCGGCTAATTTTTTTTTATTTTTATTTTTAGTAGAGACAGGGTTTCCCCATGTTGGCCAGGCTGATCACAAACTCCTGACTTCAGGTGATCCACCTGCCTAGGCCTCCCAAAGTGCTGGGATTACAGGCGTGAGCCACCTTGCCTGGCCCTTAATACTGTATTTTTAATTATACAAGATTTCAAGGGGAATAAGAACTTTATTCTACTTTTCAACAAGGACAAAACAAAGCCTTATTTAAATTAAAGCAAGGGAGATATTGGCATATATAACAAAGGTCTATTTTTCTTCATACTTTGTCCTGGTTAGTTTGTCATTCTTCTGTCCTTTGCTCCCGGCGGCTGAGTAATACAGCATTGCTTTTCCTGCAGCCTGCCCTGGCTACAGAACCACATTATCTCTTGTTAAATGCTATTTGGTGGCGTTGATGGAGATTAGTACCTGGTGGTTTATGAAAATGGTGGGAATCCCTCACTCGCATCTGAAGTGTGAGAATATTTATAGCAGAAGAAATGCGCGTGTAGTTCATTTCCTCTGTTCCCTATCATGCTAATATTTCTTTAATGATACCACCCTGTCTTGCTACAACACGCTACTTATTTGACTTGCCAGGTGAGTTGCATGGAAACCCTGCAATTTAATTACCAACTCATTTCTCTCTCCATTTCCTTACGCAGGGTGTGAAAACCTTTCTTTTCCCAGCCAGGGCCTTTTTTGGTTTTTTGTTTTGTTTTGTTTTTTGAGATGGAGTCTTACTGTGTTGTCCAGGCTGGAGTGCAGTGGTGCAATCTCAGCTCACTGCAACCTCTGCCTCCTGGGTTCAAGCGATTCTCCTGCCTCAGCCTCCCGAGTAGCTGGGATTAGAGGCGCCCGCCACCATGCCTGGATAATTTTTTTTTTTTTAAATTTTTAGCAGAGACAGGGTTTCACCGTGTTAGCCAGGATGGTCTCGATCTCCTGACCTCGTGATCCACCCGCCTCGGCCTCCCAAAGTGCTGGGATTTCAGGCGTGAGCCACTGCTCTTGGCCAGGGCCTTTTTTTTTTTTTTAGAAGAAAATTCTGCGGATACTCTCATATCTCTTCACCTGCCTCTTCTTTCCCCTTGTGCTGCCACCTAACATCTTTATTATCTGGCCTTTGAGACACTGGCATACCTTGCTAAATGCTTGCTTTTCCTGCTTCTTTTCCTCTATAAGCATTCATGGTAAATAGCACTGCTAGAGGAAGAGCAAAGAAGCAAAACTCCAAGCATGTCACTCCCGACTCCAGAGGACAAGGGAGAGAGGGTCAGTGTAGATTCTCAAGCGCCTGCTATATACCAGCCATTGACGAGGGCTTCTAACACACCTGGCCATGCCTCGTTCTTACGGAATCCATTGAGTGCATGCAATTTTTAGCCCCATTGAACAGATGATGAAAGTGAGACTCAGAAAGATGAAGTAATTCCACAGTGAGGAATCAGTGAAATTAGAATAAAGATCAGGTTTGCCTGGCATAAAGCCTGCTAGGGCCTATTTGACCACACCAGGAGGGTCTTTGAGCCTCGATTTCTTTGAGATCTTCCTTAAAAGGGGTGGGGGTTGGTTCTTGAGAGAGATCAGTTGGAAAATTCCGCATATCCACCTCCCCCCTTGGGGATTTCCACACACATTTGTATCTTAAGGATTCTGAGAAGTCTTCCATTTCAGAAAATGAGTTGATTTTTAGAAATGTTTTTAATTGTAAAGATTTTTAAACATACAGCAAAGTTAAATCTAGGTGGTGGGTACAGCAGTGATTGTACCACTACTATTTTGCTATAATTCCTTTACTGAGTGTCTATTACTATATCCACCTTTTTATCCATCTGTTAGTCCATCATATTTCGTTCATGCATTTGAAAATAAATTGCAAACCTCAGTATATTTCCCCTAACAACCAAGGGAGATACATCCTTCACTAGAGTCGAATGTGTACTCTGTATCACTCAGTCATTTGACATCTATTCAGACTTGTCTCATGACCCACATGAGCTTCATCCTGGTGAGCACACCTTATGCACTGGAAGAGGACGTGGGCCTGAAGTTGTTTGCTGTAGTGCTGTCTGCACACCAGCTCTGGAGTTGCACGTGTTGTTCAGTTCATTTATGTCTTTACTGACTGTTTTTTGTTGGTTTTTTTTTTTTTTTTTTTTTTTTTTTTTTGCTAATTGTGCTGTCAATTGTGGAGAGCAGGATCTTAAAACCTCCAACTATGATTGTGGAATTGTCTGACTCCCTCTAATTGTGTCAGTTTTTGCTTTGTGTATTTTGAAGTTCTTTGATTGTATCCTCATATGTTGGTGAGTATTATGTCCTGCTAATGGATTCACTTCACTTCATTATGGACAATGATGAGTCTTTGATACTCTTTGTCTTGAAGTCTATTTCATATGATGTTGATATAACCACTCCAGTATGGTAATACAAGCATACTATTTGCAAAGGATGCCTTTTGCAATCCGTTCACTCCAAACCTGCATAAGTTTTCATATTTAAAGTACTTTACTTATAAACAACGTATAGTTGAATTTTGCCTTTTTATTTTTTTGTTTTACTATTTATTTCTTTATTATTATTATTTTTGAGATGGAGTCTCACTCTGTTGCATAGGCTGGAGCACAATGGCATGATCTTGGCTCAATGAAACCTCCGCTTCCTGAGTGCAAGTGATTCTCTTGCCTCAGCCTCCTGTGTAGCTGGCTTTACAGGTGCATGCCACCACACCCAGCTAATTTTTTGTATTTTTAGTAGAGACAGGGTTTCGCCATGTTGGCCACGCTGATCTCAAACTCCTGATCTCAGGTGATCTGCCCACCTTGGCCTCCCAAAGTGCTGGGATTACAGGCATGAGCCACCATGGCTGGCGTGCTTTTTTAATCTATTGTAACAATCTCTGTCTTTTAAGAGTATTTAATTTATTAATATTTCAGGTATTTATTGGTATTTGGTTTAAGTCTGCTATGTTAATACTTGTTTCCTGAATGACCCCACTGCTTTTTATTCATTTGTTTCCCTTTTCCTGCCATCTTTTGTATTATTTAATTCTATATAACATATATGTATGTATTTATATATGAATTACATATTCACATATGAATTTATCTGTCAGCTTTTTACCTATACCTCTTTATGTTTTTAGTGGTTGCTGTTGGGATTACAATACACAACCTTAATTTTCATGGTCTATTTAAAGTTATTATTGTGTCATTTCACATAAAATATAGAATATTTGCAACCACATCGGTTCCTGTGTCTAAGCCCTGTCATTGAAGCTATAGTGGTCAAATGTGTCAGATCTATGTACATTATAAATCACACAAGGATAATGATATGTTTTAAGAAGTCATCTGTATTTAAAATAAATAAGAAAACAATATTTTATATTTGCCCAAGTATTTACTATTTCTGATGGTCTTCATTATTACCTAAATAGCCAAGTTTCATTTCCATCTGGTACTCGTTTCCTGTAACTCCAAGAATTTTCTTCTAGCATTTCTTGTAAAGGGAGACTTCTGTTGATAATTTCTTTTAGTTTTCTTTAATCTGAAATGTTTTTATTTTGCTTTCATTTCTGAGGGATATTTTCATTGGATATAGAATTCTGGTTGAAAGTTCCTTTCCCTTATTCTGCTTGGGTTTTGCCAAAGTTCTTAAGATTATACATTTATGTTTTTCACCAAATTAGGGGAAATACTGGTTATGACTTCTTTGAACACATGTGTTTTTCGGCCTCATTCTTGTGCCTCCAAGGACAGGTATGTTAGAATGTTTGATATTGTTCCACAGGTCCCTGAAGCTCTGTTTTGTTTTGTTTTTTTCCTAGCTGCTCATGTTTCATTTATCTGTCTTCTTAAGATTGGATGACTTACTTTGACCTGTCTTCTGTCTACTGATTCTTTCCTCCATCACTTTCATTCTTCTGTGAAGCCTATCCAATGCATTGTTTATTAAAGATACTCTATTTCTCAGTTTTAGCTTTTCCACTTTTTAAAGTAATTTTTATCTGTCTGCTGAGTTTTCCTATTCTTTCCTGAATTGCCACAGTATTTTCAATAATGTTCTGGAGTATAGTTTTAATAACTTAAAAAATCTTTGTCTGCTAATTGCAACGTCTGTATTCTCTCAAATTGATGTCAATTTATTGAGTGTCTTTTCTCTTAAGGATGGGTCAGTTTCTTGGTTCTTCTTAGGTCAGTTAACTTTCAATTATATCCTGAACATTGTCATCTTATGTGTGGAGTCTCTGGATTTTGTTATAGTCCTTTGGAGAGAGTTCATTTAAAAAATTATTATTTAGCAGTTGTTTATCTTTGTTGGACTGTAATTGAAAACTCCACCTCGGCTGGGCACAGTGGTTCATGCCTGTAATCCCAGCACTTTGGGAGGCCAAGACA